>NC_000002.12:108398708-108701739 GCF_000001405.40 Homo sapiens
CCTGATGGCATGTACCCAAGGTGGTCTGAGCACAGTTTGGTTTTATACATTTTAGGGAGACATGACACATCAGTCAACATATGTAAGATGAACAATGATTTTGTCTGGAAAAGGCAGGACAACTTGAAGCAAAGGCAAGACAACTTGAAGTTAGGAGGGGGATTCCAGGTCACAGTGATACAGACTGTAGGCAGGGAAATGCTAGGTAGAAAAGTGCAGGGTCCCTGGTGAGGGCTCCACCCTCAAGCCTGGAACTGCTTTCTAAAGTGAGAACATGCACTCCTGTTTTTCCACCCAAATGTTGCCTTTTCCAAACCCACCCTGGCCCACCCTGCCCCCCATTCTGTATCCATTAAAACCCCAGACTCTATTGGCAAAGGATCAGAGCAGTGTGGCAGAGAAGGAGAGAAGCAGCAGCTTGACATTGGTGAGAAGCAACTTGACTTCAGAGTTATGGCTCAACAGCGAAACCTCGGAGAAGAGTTCGGCCGGCCAGGGCTGGCCGAACTCCAGGGTAAGACCACCTTCCCAATCCATCCCCTTGCTACCTCCCCATCCCACTGAAAGCCACTTTCATCAGCAGTGAAATCCTCCACATTTGTTATCTTCAATTTGTTCGTGCAACCTGATTCCTCCTGGTCACTAGACAAAGACCCAGGTATGGGTTCAAGAAGCTGTCACACTGACCCTCCACTGAGTTATCTAATAGTTAAGCCATTCATGGATGGCAAAGCTAAAACAGCACACTGTAACACATGCCCTCTGAGGCCCCAGGGGTCACAGGCTACCCCTAGACACTGCTATGGGCCCATATGGAGTTCTGTTCCTGCTGGCTACCCAGAAGTGTTCATCCTGGTCTCTGCACTCACTCACCTGCATGCTTTCCCTCCCATGAGGGGTTGAAAGCTGTGGGCTGAGCAAACAAGTCACTCGCTTCACAAGTCCCGTGAAGGGGTCAAGGGAACTATCTCCTTTCATCTGGGGGCTCATCCAGGATCCATCAGAAGGATGAGTACAAATGTGGAACTATCAGCTCTGTCTCTTTTCCAAGACACTGCCACCTCTCTGTTTCTTTCAGGGGAAAGGAATGTTGGCTTGATTTCCCTTCATGAAGGTTTAGCCATTGAGTGGGACCAGAAAAAGGTCCTGGGGCAACTGGAAGCATCAGCCAAGACCCCTAGATTTTCCTATAGTATCTTTCCTTCCTTCTTTCACAGTTTGAAATGGCTCCTGTCTCTTCTTTTATAATGTTAAGGGTTTTGCTACAAACTAGAGATATTAAGTAGAATGAGCTTTTGGCCCAGCCATCAGACATGCAATTCAGAACAATGTGATTTCCATTTGTTCTTAGAGGTGTCATCCCCACCCCCACCCCAAAAGCTGCAGGTATGCATGGTGTATGGTGGCTCCCCTCCTTACCCCCTCCCCTTCCAGCTTGGGCACCTGGGCATATCCACCACATGCATGTGCCATGCCCAGTGGCCAAGCAGAGCAGGAGTAAGCTGCACATGCCACCCAGACCCCAGGGCAATCTCAGAGGTCAGGGACCCTGTGAGCCCAGCTGCTGAGGAGCTCAACTCAGTCTGAACAAGGGAAGGTATACAGTGATTGAAGGAGCCCATTTGTACAGAGAAAGAGGTTCTTCCCCCAGGACAGACCCCCGCCTTTTTTTTTTTTTTTTTTTGCACTTTAAGCTATTTTTTTTCTAAGTGAGAATGTTCTTTTCCTACCTCAGAACTCTGCTTATGATAGGGAAACAACAGAGGAGTGACCCCTGGTGTCTGATGACTGCAAATTTGGCAGGGCCCATATGGGGGTTAATCTAAATGGACCCATGCACCCCCCTGAAATACCTTTTTTGTCCCAAACTCAATTCCAAGCTTTAGGTTGAAGCCTTAGCATGGAAAACCAGATCTGAGGGATCCAAAGCCAGGCAACAGGCACAATGTAAATGGGCAGGACTAATTCCTGCCAATTAAACTCCTGCTCCATGGAAGGAGGCCATGCTCCATGGCATAGATGAGGCCTAGGGAATTAAAGGTTGTCAAAAGTAGGGGGGATAGGTTAGTGCAGATAATTCCTATTCTCTAGGCTCTCCCTACTTCATGGGTGCAAGCCACATTGGCACCCATGGGTGAGCACCTGTCAAGGTCACCAGGAGTCAGGGATGAAAACATGGAAGAGAAAGTGAGGAACACCTGCTTTCTCTCTCCCTCACACCCTGAGTTATTGCTGAGAGAAGGAAGGAAAATGAGGGACATCTGTTTCCTTTCAGAATGGGCAACCAGCTATCCTCACCATCCCCAGTTTATACTCCTCTGGGGTGTATCCCGAATCTCTGGGACTGTTTGACCTTCAGACTCTGGAAGAAAATGCCTCATAGCCCTCTGCACAAAGGTTTGGCCAAATTATGACTTACAGGAAGGGCTGGCTTGGCCTCAGGAAGGAACCATTCATTTCAATACCATCCTCCCGTTGAACCTTTTCTGTAACTGTGAGGACAAATGATCGCAGGCCTCCTATTTGCAGGATTTCTACACCTTTCAGGGCAATAATCCAGACCTTTGCCAACAGTGTTAGGATTGATCCAGCCCTCCTGTTTGCCATCTTAGGTGAGGCTACAAGGTGCAATCCCAGGGAACTAAAGAAATGAATCCCAGAGGCACCTTCAGCAGGGGAGCCAGCTCCCTCCAGCCCTGCTTCTCCGGGTCCACCCCATCCTCAGTATCCAGCTTCTCTCTCTTGCTTGCCCCCTCCTAGAAATTCTCACCATAGACAAGCCCCAGTCTCACAGTTGTCCCTCCAAGATGCCAGAGAAATTGGAACTCCCTTTCAAACTGAAAGACACCTTTTTGTAGATGGTTCTTCTCAAGTGATAAAAGAGAAAAGGCCTAACAGGTACTCAGTGGTAGATGGAGACACCCTCACAAAAATAGAATCAGGAAGATTACCTAATGACTGCTCTGCACAAACACATGAGTTGTTTGCACTAAATCAAGCCTTAAAATCTCTGCAAAACCAGAAAGGAGCTATTCATACTGACTCCAGGTATGCCTTTGGAGTCATCCACACCTTTGAAAATTTGGGCAGAGCGAGGTCTCATTAACAGTAAAGGCCAAAACTTAGTCCATAGAGACTTAATAATCTAAGTACTAGAGAACTTACAGCTGCCAGAAGAGATAGCAGTTGTTCATGTTCCAGGTCACTAGAAGAATCTTTCCTTCGAGAGCTGAGGGAATAACATAGCTAACCAGTAGCCAAACAAGCTGCCTCTTCTCAAGCAGCACCCATTTTCCACCTAACCCCTTATCTTCCCGCTCCAGCTGTAGTCCCTATCTTCTCCCCCAGAAAGCAAGAAAAGCTAGAAGAAATAGGAGCCAAAGAAAGCCATGAGGGAAAATGGGTACTACCAGACAAGAGAGAAATGCTGTCTAAGCCCCTCATGTGAGAGATATTGTCACAGCTACATCAAGGAACTCACTGGGGCCCCCAAGCTATGTGTGATGCAGTCCTTAGAGTTTATGGATGCATAGGAATTTATACCTTTGCTAGACAAGTTGCAGATAGTTGTATATAGTGTGCAGAAAAAACAATAAACAAACCCTAACAGAAAATGGGAATACCACACACCATGGCATTCACCCTCATCAGGGAAAGTAGCAAAGCCTATTTCCCTGTTGAGAGTCCGAACTGCTCCCTGAAAAGATATAGGCCTATCCCCTTATGAGATGCTCTATGGATTGCCTTATCTACATTCTACTACTGGTCTTCCTACATTTGAAACAAAAGATCAGTTTCTCAGAAATTATATACTTGGTTTATCTTCCACTTTCTCTTCCCTCATAACTAAAGGTTTTTTAGCACAGGCACCACTCCTACAGTTTCCAGTACACCAACATCAACCTGGGGACCATATCCTCATCAAAAGTTGGAGAGAAGGAAAACTCGAACCAGCTTGGGAAGGGCCCTACCTAGTGTTTCTAACCACCAAGGCCACAGTTCGAACAGCAGAAAGAGGATGGACTCATCACACCCGGGTCAAAAGAGCACCACCCCATCCAGAATCATAGACAGCTATCCCAGCGCCAACTCCAACCAAGGTAAAGCTAAAACTGGTTTGATCCTCTTATGTTGCAACCCTTTCTTTTCCCCTTCTATTGTTAGTCCTCTCGTTATTAATGTAACTAGGTCGAGTTCACCCCGAACTATTACTTTTGATGCTTGCTTTGTGATGCCCTGCGGAGATTTGCCAAGCCAGAGGAAACTCTCCACTTCAGAAAAGTATCTTTGTCCTTCCTAGCTCTCCTCAGACTGGAAATCTGTTAGCTAGGATAAGTTAGTTTGGGAAGAGTTTGACAAAGATTCCAGTATGAACTGGGAATCTTGTCCTCCTAGAGCAGAGCTTCTCTGCTGAAGTTGGTCCAATGCTCTATGAAATACTAAAGAGCAAGGATGGACTGCCCCAACTAGTACTTGCAGTTTCTTGAAACCTTATATTCATTTTACTAAAGGAGTTACCCCTTCCAATTGTCAGCTGAACCAATGTAATCTAG
Source organism: Homo sapiens (assembly GCF_000001405.40). Lineage (NCBI taxonomy): Eukaryota > Metazoa > Chordata > Mammalia > Primates > Hominidae > Homo > Homo sapiens. The sequence continues at coordinate 108,403,262 of NC_000002.12, forward strand.
TACAGATTACCATTGCTGCTCCCCAGAGTTCTTCCCCTCCATTAAGCTGTTTCTGTGGTATAGGAGTAGAAGTCTCAGGGAAGCACTCCATAGGATCCTTTGAAATGTGCTTCATGCTTCCCCACCTCCTGCACCCCCTTCTCCCTCTCCTAAGTTCTCCACTAACCAAACCTTCTCTTGTTATATACCCAATAATAAAACCAAAGTAGCTGTTGTAGAGGTTAAAGATTTAAAACAAACTATAGCGACTGAAACAGGGTATCAGGATGCAAATGCTTGGCTGGAATGGGTTAAATATTCTGTTCGCAAGCTAAACAAAAGCGACTGTTACACTTGTGCAACAGTTAGGCGAGAGACCCAAATTGTCCCCTTTCCACTTGGGTGGTCCTCTCACAGACGCGGCATGAGCTGTGTGGTAGCTCTCTTCCAGAACCCCACAGCCTGGGGCAATGAGTCATGCAAGAGTCTTTCACTGCTTTTCCTTGAGGTCAAGAGCCCTGCAGTCAGCCTCTGAGGGCCATCTGGCCTCCAGCCCCTGATGTTAACTTCACCTCATGCCTTTCACGGCAGGGGGACAAGTTAGCATTTCCTGGAGACTTAACAGGGTTCAGTAAAACCAGACCTTTTCAAGAGCTTACCAATCAGTCTGCCCTTGTTCATCCCTGAGCAGATGTGTGGTGGTATTGTGGGGGACTATTGCCGGGTACTCTGCCAAGTAATTGGAGCAGCATTTGCGCTCTAGTCCAACTGGCCATCCCTTTCACCCTAGCAGTCCGTCAACGTGACAGAAAAGAAAATAGTAAAAGAAGAAGTGCCCCACATAGGTCCTTTGACCCCCAAGTTTATGTAGACACTATTGGAGTTCCACAAGGAGTACCAGATGAATTTAAAGCCCAAAATCAAATAGCTGCAGGATTTGAATCTCCACTGTATTGGTGGTCAACTATAAACAAAAATGTAGAATTAGATAAATTACAATTATTATAATCAACAAAGGTTTGTTAATTACACAAAAGATGCCATTAAAGGAACACCTGAATGATTAGGCCCCACCAGTCAGATGATTTAGGAAAATAGCATAGCTCTTGATATGATGCCAGCAGAGAAAGGCAGGGTTTGTGTCATGATTGGAGTCCAATGTTGTACTTTTATTCCTAATAATACCACCCCCGATGGAACAATAAGAAAAGCCTTACAAGGCCTTACCTCCTTGTCAAATGAGTTAGCTAAAAATTCTGGAATAAATGACCCCTTTACAAGCCTCATGGAAAAATCATTTGGGAAATGGAAAGGAATTATGACCTCAATATTCACCTCCCTTGTAATCATTATAGGTGTGCTCAGTCTTGTAGGATGCTGTATCATACCCTGTACTCATGGTTTAGTGCAAAGACTTACAGAAACAGCTCTCAGCAAAACCTCCCATAGCTCTCCTCCACCTTATTCAGATAAACTCTTCCTTTTAGATGCCTAAGAACAACAACAGAGCTGAGATATGCTGAGGTGTTTTGAAGAGGAAAAGCTATAAAATCAGGTGTTTTGAAGAGGAAAAGCTATAAAATCAAGAGGGGGAAATTGACAGAGATAATAAATTCCTCTTCAAAAGGTTTTAATTCCCTGTTCTTCCGGTTCTTTGTTTCTCTAGTTTCTATAGTTACCCATGCTGTAAACAACCCTTCCTGCCCTTCCTGCACCTTGACATGCCCTGAGAAGCCTAGACATGCCTTGCACCGTAATGGATAGTCTTCCCCTTCCCACCTAGATAGCTGTGTTCAATTTCAAACATTAGCCAATCAGGTCAGTTTAGATTGTGTGGTCCAATCCTAGCCAACAGGGGAAAGACACAGCAGTAGGGACCAGATGCATTAAAAATAAGGATCCCTTCCTCTCCCTTGTCTGGTGTGCTCTCGCCATTGCCCCAACTGTGAGATGCACCCTTCTATAGAAGTAAATTGCCTTGCTGAGAAAACTTTTGCCTGAGTGCTATTTTCACTTGGTGGCACCGAGCATTTACTTCTAACAAAGAGGTTGCCAGTATATGACAAAAGTAGAGTTAGTAAACTAATATGCTTTGTACATTTTGTTTTACAAGTCCTAAGAAAGATTGTCTTCTGAAAATCTGAGCATTCTTGCCCATTGGATGGATGGAGATGGGAAGGGTTCTAGGCCAGAATGTTCACATTTGGAAGACTCTTTCAAATTATAACTGCTGTTACATGTTTGCAGTTTATTCAAGACTGCTGTGTACACAGTGGACAAATTAACCCCTTACTTGAAACACCTAGATGTTTAGAAGTGCCCAATGTATGTTAAATGTAGAGGTAGTAAAATACCACTTTGTAAATATTTTTTTGCTAAAATTCATAGGAAATACTGCCTTTTGGGAATTGAATTGTGAAGCCACCTTTGTAAGCAGTATAGTACTGTCTATACTTGTTCTTGTTCAATGGTTTAGAGGAGGTGGAGGGGAAGAAATTGCAAAAGGTAATAGGCTAGTGTGTTTGTACTTGGACATTTTCGACACCATTTTTCTGTACGTTTTGTGCATTTTGTTTTGTTCTGTATATAGTGTATATAATGGACAAATGAGTCCAAATTTTCAATATCTAGTCTCTAGATGTTAAAGAGGTTGCCAGTGTATATGACAAAGCATTTAGTAAAATTAGCATATTTTGTAAGCCTTGTGCTGAAATTCATAGGAAAACTTGTCTTCTGTAAATGACTTTTGCATAGGAATTTGTTCAACCATCTCTAAGCATTACACGTGCCTGTACTTGTCCACTGGATTGAAGGAAGAGAGGAGGGAATGATTCAAGGGCAAAATGGCAACATTTGGAAGATAACTCAGATGATAACCATTGTTATGTGTCTGCAATTTTATTTAATGATGCTGTGTACATGGTGGACAAGTTATATGAAATATCTAGCCTTTCTAGATATTTGGAAGTGCTTATTGTATTTAAAAGTAGTAGTAGAATAACACTTTTTGTAAATAGCTTTTAAAAACTGATGGGAAATGCTATTTGGAAGTGGAATTGTTTAACCACTTGCGAGGTGGGAGGGAAGAAACTGCAAAAGTCATTTTGCCATTGTTTATTAGAAAATTTCAGCTTAATCCGTTGCCTATATGGTACATGCATTTCATTTAACTTTGCTATACTGTATATATTGTATATATACTGGACAAATGAGGCCCGATTTTATAATATCTAGTCTAGATATTAAAGAGGTTGCCAATGCAAAAAAAAAAAAAAAAAAAAAAAAAACCTAGAGTAGAGAGTGTGTTCAAAGAAGAATCAAAGATCTTGAAAAGAGAGAGGTATTCTTGAAAGTGTTTGCCATCTATTGTCCTAGGACCCCAGGTTGACAGGTATAAATATTGAAGGAAAAAAACTAGAAAACAGAAATAGTGTCTCAATGCAATACTCTCAACTTTTATTATGTTTAATATGCTTGTTCTTGAAATCAATATAATAAAGATGGAGAAAATTTGTCCTTCATATTCTGCTTCTCAGAATCTTTGTGAAATGGAGTGAGATTCCTTAAAATAAGAAATGTTAGCATTGAGGCTTCTACAACAAAAGTTGCATAAAGGAACCAAATAATGAGAAAGTTAAATGCAAGGCACCTTTCCCTTCCTCTTTTCTCAAGCCACCCTCCATCCCAGAGAGTCGTGGTCTCACAGACATAGCGTTGGAGGCCTATGGGTCCCTCTGCTAGAAACTGGGACAGGCACGTCTCCTAAATCATTCCTAGGCAGTAGGCTCTCCCAAGCCCTTGTCCTGACAAGTCTGCGTAAGACCTTTAAAAGCAAGCTCTGATTGCAGAGTGTGTCAAAAATAACCCCATTTCAAAGACTGGATGCCTTACTTATCACTAGGGTGGGTGTCATGCTGTGGATGCTTTCTACCTCATGAAAAAATACATTAATTATCTGGCTTTTAGAATGTTCTTACTTGGATAAGAAATCTCCATATTACACATTTACCATCATTGTCTAGTGAGCACAAAATTTCTAGACACATTTCCTTGGTCCCCAGACATTCTGGCTTATGCAATATGAATCAACGGTCGGCTGGTGTCCCACTACAACTGTCCCAGGTTATTCTCACATCTAAGTGGAAAAAAATTAATTATTCCAATCAGTAAAAGACTCAAACAAGACAAAATGAGTATCAGACATGAAGAATACTTAGTAGTCTGAGCATTTTTATATGAAATATATAAATGATATGAAATATAATAGAGCAAATGCTCATGCACCTACCACGGACTTAAATAAAGCATCTAAGTACCTACCACAAACTTTAATAAAGCATAAAGCATTCCAGGGGAAGTTCCTTGGTACCACTCCCAGCAGCATCCCTTCCCCTCCTTCCTGAGTTATCTCCTTCTCTCTGAGTTTGGTGGTTCTCATTCCCATGCATTTGTTTATATTTTTAGTGCACATGCTTGCAGATTTAAATTATCCTACTATATGCATTCTTCAACAATTTTCTTTTTCTGTTCAACACTAGTTTGTAATATTCATCCATGTTCAAATATAGTCCTGGCTTATTTCTTTTCACCGCTGTGTAGCATTCCAGCATATGAATATAGTAACACAACTTATTTCTTTGTTTTATCACATACCACATTATTTACATATCTATTCTCCTATTGCTAGATGTTTAGGTTATTTCCAACAGTTTGCTATTACCACCAAAGCCACTTTAGACATTCCTCTTATGTCTCCTTGGGCACACACACAGTTTCCCTGGGGTATAAACCTAAGAGGGGAATTCCTGGATCATCATGCTATATACCTTCAGCATTGCTAGGTATTGCACAACTGTTTCAAAAGACATTAAACCTATTTCCACTTTTTTTACATGAAGCCTCACTCTGTCACTCAGGCTGGAGTGCAATGGTGCGATCTCGGCTCACTGCAACCTCTGCCTCCCAAGTTCAAGTGATCCTCCTGCCTCAGCCTCCTGAGTAGCTGGGATTACAAACACACACCACCATGCCCAGCTAATTTTTGTATTTTTACTAGAGATGGGTTTCACCATGTTGGGCAGGCTGGTCTCGAACTCCTGACCTCAAGTAATCCCCCACCTCAGTTTCCCAAAGTGCTGGGATTACTAGTGTGAGCCACAGCACCCGGCCTAGGTGAATATTTTTATCCTCTTATTTCATGACTGGTCAGTGGTTTAGAGCTGTCATTAGTTAAGTTCAATAGTCTTTGAAATTTTGTCCTTTGAGACGGAATTCTTGTTTCTTCTTTTGACTCATACGGGACTCAAAGCTTTCTGGTCTCCCCCATTTTTCTCACTTCATTCTTCACACTAAAATGCTCCCACCACTTCCCTCTCCCCTTTATAGATCTTAACAGCTCTCCACATTAAAATGCCTCCTGTTCTTTTTGCAGTAGTGAATTTCATAGATAATAAACCTAAGATACACAAAAAGGTAACTTTTTAAATTTTCCTATAACTAAGCTTAATTTCTGACAATCAGCCTACATGTTTTCCAAACCAGAAAATAAAACAAAATTAGTGTCCTGGTAAATGTGGTTAAATTAGTTATTACTAAGTTATTTCAGAAGTTGTTAGCCAAATTTAGAGTTCTGCTTTTCCCTCTCCTTCTTCCACGGAAAAAAAAATTTATGTTTGGAGGTAGAGGGTAGTTATTGGCATTACTGACAAACAACACTGAATTTACTAAAGTGGAGGCCATTTTTAACCTTGACAAGACCTATTTTGGTAGATTGATCACAAAAGTTCTGCCTGCAGAGACTGCAAGAGAGACAAGGAAATTATCTGGAGATGGTAAATATAGTCAACTATTTTAGGAGTTTACTATTACAGAGGGAAAAAATGGGCAGTATCTGAGGTAGAATGTGGCAGCAAAGTATAAAATGTGAGACATTATAGAAAAGAAAGGAAAACTGATGATGAGTGTGGGGTGGGAACAGACAGAACCCAGGAGTTCAAACAGTTCATCCCTAGTAACAGGAGGAAGGCAGGATATGCAGACACAGATGCAGATGGTCTGGCACAGGTAGCACCATTGTTAGGGTCAGAGTGCTGGAAGGAGTGCGTGGGAAAGATGGAAGATGGTGGTTAGTTGGTGAGATGCCTGTAATTGTGATTATGAAAAGTACCCGATTATTGGTAAAGACAAGTCCTAAGGCATGATCACTAAAGCAATCAACTGGGGGAGAGTGAAACACAGGAGCACTGAAGAAAAGAAGAGGTAGTCCGTGTGGTTATTAAAATCACCAAAAATTGAAAGGAGTGGCAACGAAGACTGAGGACCTAAACATGTCAAGATGTGAGGTGAAACATAAGTGACCCAGAAGCTGACAAGTGACCACAACAAGGAGGAGCAATCAATGAGTTAGTTTACCACCATACCACCACGGGTTTCCAGGGTCTGAATACATTCCACCCCTTGTGAACTGCCTTCTCTCTCTGAGTATGGCATCTCAAACACAGGCCCCCTTCTCTGAAATGGATACATTTGCAATGATGAGGTCTCCAGTCAGGCAGCCCACTTCAATTGTCTTCATTGCTATTCCCTCTTTGACATCTGAAGCAGGCCTAGGTTCTGTTGAGGCACACAGCCTCTACTCAGTCTTTCTCTCAGGAAGCCAGCTTGCCTTGCCTTCCTTGGAGTCCCTAGCTCTTGAGGCATGCAATTAAGTTAGGTAATGCACATAAATTACTTAACACAGAGCAAGCGATTTAGTCATCTCTCAGTGTTTGTTATTTTTAGTCTCCCATCTAGAAATTATCCTTCTTGAAAGATTCTTAGCATAGTGGTCAAATGAGGTCTGCAATCAGATTGCTCAGGTTCCAGACCCCACTCCAGTTTTCTCACTGTGTGAAATGTCAGCAATTTATTTAACTGCACCTCAGTTTCCTCCTCTGTAACTGGAGCTACTAATAGTAACTACTTCTCTTTTGCTTTAAGAATTATGTGAGTTAATGCATGTGAAGCACTTAGAAATGTGCTTGGGGCTGAGCGCAGTGGCCAACGCCTGTAATCCAGCATTTGGGGAGGCCGAGGTGGACAGATGACGAGGTCAGGAGATTGAGACCATCCTGGCTAACACAGTGAAACCCCGTCTCTACTAAAAATACAAAAAAAATTAGCCGGGCGTGGTGGCAGGTGCCTGTAGTCCCAGCTACTCAGGAGGCTGAGGCAGGAGAATGGGTGAACCCAGGAGGTGGAGCTTCCAGTGAGCGGAGATCGTGCCACTGCACTCCAGCCTGGGTGACAGAGCGAGGTTCCATCTCAAAAAAAAAAAAAAAGGCAAATGTGCTTGGGACATCATCTGTAACCAATGAAACCTAGCAATGATAATGGACATGATTATTATAATTACTGTAAATCTTTTCATAAAGTCTGTGTGAGGATTGATACTGCCCAAACCATGTCCTGTTCCTCAAAGCTTTGTGTTCCGTCTGCTTTTGAGTTATCTGGGCCCTCAGTGACTTGTGTGGCTTTCATGGGAGTAGAAACTTTGCTCTCAGCCTCCTCTTCTGCAGCGCTGGGATCTGGCTCCACTTCCTCTAGTGTCCATACACATCTGTGTTCTCCCCACCCCTTTCATACAGCCCCAGCTGAGTTTTTAAATCTTCAACCTACTACTTTAAAAGTTTGATTTTCCATCCTATCATTGGTGAGGCCAACAGCGTCTGTTCTATCAGTGAATACTCCTTCCCTTTTCCTTCATTCCCAGTGCTCTGGTTTTGGCACCATGAAGAGAACCTAAGTTTTTAAACTGCACCTTCCAATGTCATTCTAAGTGGCTGTGAACCATGGCAGTAGAAAGTATGCCTATACCTGAGGGCTGCTAGCTCACCTCTTCATTCTGACTGTCTTCATGGCAGGTACAATGCCGACACATGGTTGTGTGCTAGACCTCACTCATCACTAAGATGCTCAAAATCAACAAATCGCTACCATGGTCCAGTTCTTCTGTTACATACAGGTTCCCACGCTGCTGCAAATCTCACTGAATTCCGCTTGTCTACCTAATAGTTTCTAAGACTTTATCTGATACAGTTGGCCCTCCATATCCATGTGTTCCACATGCATGAATTCATCCAACCACAGATTGAAAATATTTGGGAAAAAATGGATGGTTGCTTCTGTACTGAACATGCACAAACTTTGTTTCTTGACACTATTACCTAAACGAGACAGTATAATAAGTATTTACATAGCATTTATACTGTACTAGGTATTATTTATAATTATAGAGTTGATTTAAAGTTATACAGGAGGTGGGGCTAGAAGCAGCGGTTCACACCTATAACCCTAGCGCTTTGGGAGGCTTAGGAAGGTGAATTGCTTGAGGCCAGGAGTTTGAGACCAACCTGGGCAACACAGCAAAACCTATCTCCACAAAAAAAAATTTTTAAATAAGCCCGGTGTAGTGGTACATGCCTGTAGTCTTAGCTACTTGGAAGGCTAAGGCAGGAGGATTCCTTAAGTCCAGGAGTTCAAATCTGCAGTGAGCTGTGAATGCCACTGCACTCCAGCCTGGACAACAGAGGGAGACTCTGTCTCTTAAAAAATACATAAATATAATAAAAGTATTTTTTAAAAATAAAGTATATGGGAGGATTTCAATAAGTTATATATAAATACTGCACCATTTTGTATAATGAACTTGAGCATTCATGGATTTTGGTATTCACAGGGAGTTCCTGGAACCAAACCCCCATAGATAATGGGGGACAACTATATATCTGAACATTGTAATTAAATATTTGTGCCTTGCAAACATAATGGTGATTATAAAGTAATTACTTTTCAGAGACACATATTTGGGTCTAATGTATAACATCTGATACAGCTTTATATAGTTCCTCAAATAAGTAAATTTCTAATTGGAGTTTGGTGATACTTTTTCTTCGTAAAATATATCATACTACAGCCCTAAATACAAGATAAAGATGTGAACTGAGTAGGCTATAAAGTTCCTTTCAGTTGTAACCTTTCTGTGATTCTAAACATAGGTACATTTTATGAATAATTTTTTAAATTCACCTTTTTTGCTAAAAATTATAAACAAGTCTTATTTATTTTGCAAAATAATTGAGCATCATCTAATCTATATTGGATGTGCTTTAATAATTTGGTAAAAATACAGCCAGGCATGGTGGCTCACGCCTGTAATCTCAGCACTTTGGGAGGCCGAGGCGGGCAGATCACAAGGTCAGGAGTTCGAGGTCAGGAGTTTGAGACCAGCCTGGCCAGCATGGTGAAACCCCGTCTCTACTAAAAATACAAAAAAAAATTAGCTGAGCATGGTGGCACATGCCTGTAGTCCCAGCTACTCAAGAGGCTGAGACAGGAGAATCGCTTGAACCCGGGAGGTAGAGGTTGGAGTGAGCCGAGATCACGCCACTGCACTCCAGCCTGGGTGATAGAGTGAGACTCTGTCTCAAAACAAAAATTGGTAAAAATACAATCATATGGTGACAAAATGAGCTAATTATTAATGTACACTAGTAAGTTAAGATACCATAAACAAGAAAAATAAGAGTGCTTTACTAAATTCTACATACTCTGAATTTTATGTCTAAAAATATTTAATTATTTTATTATTAATAGTGAATGCAGCTTACAAATTATTATTAAAGTAAAATTGGTGTTTGATGAGTACAACGGTAATATATCAATAGTTACTATATCCGTAATGTTCTTTTCCACCTCTGGTGCAATGTGAGCTCTTTGGAACATGGCCTTATCAGCTGCTGATTCTGGGACTCACTTGGCCCTGTGAGCATCCCTTTGGACTCTGGCCAATCAGCCTGAGGGAACTTTTGTTCTCAGTGGGCATTAGATATACGGAAAAAGAAAAAAAAAGACAGCCATCTTACCACAACTATTCTGAAAATTCAGTTGACTCACTTTTTAAAGTACAAAGACTATGATGTTGTTTTGTAATTGGGCTGAAGGGTAGAGTAAAGATGTTCTCAAAGATACCTGCAGGATATTTACAAAATTTTTTCCACAGTAAATCTTGTATGGGATGATTCATTCCTTCATGTATGCAGAAGTGGTCACTCACAAGGAAGAACTTCCCAGAGAGTAGAGTCAGGGATCATGGAAAACAGTGGATTAAAAAAGTCCTTCTCAGGCAGCAGCATTGGGTCTAATTGTGGAACTGTGCCCAATGTCAGGGCAGACAGGACTCCTCAGGCATTCCCTGCAGGGTGTCACCAAGTGCTGGATCAATGACTGCTGTGTGATTCTCATTCTTTCCTTTTCTCAGTGGAAGTACCCTATACCTACTATATCACTGTGTAATGTGTGGCTAGAATACAAAAACCTTGTCCTTTTGATTCAGAAGTTGGCCACACCCTGCCCTGTTGGAAAAATGACTGCAGTTCATCCTGAGATGCTCAACTTGAAGTGGCAGCCAGTAACAAGATGGGACTTTTGGGCTCTCGCCCATGGGGAGGGTGTCTTCTCTAAGTGGGAAGAAGGGGGAAATGGATATTTGGTATCCAGAAGGGTGAATTTGACTCAGATGGCTAGTTAACCACCACACCCATCTTCTCTCCTTCCTGGGCCCTCAGCAAGACAATATTCCTCAGTCTCAGACACAGTTGGATTTTTGCAACCCAAAAGAATATGAGTGACTCCCTTACTTGGCCCATAAAAACTTTCTCACAAAATCCTCCACCCCCTCTTCTCACATCTGCTGACTGGATGTCAACATCCAGGGCAAACAAGGAAACCAGGGGGGAGAAGATAGCAATAAACAGCTAGAAAATAGTAGCACTGAAATTCAAACTCAAATTTCACATTTGATAGATGGTCTTTAAACTAATTGCCTAATTAGCATATCTACTTGGATGCCTAATAGACAACTCGAATTTGTCCAAATATGTCCAAAACATAGGTTGTAAATATCCTACCTGATCTTCACCCCTAGCCTTCTTCCACCTTGATTAACAGTCCCACTATTCAGAAGTTACTCTGGCCTAAAACCTAAGAGTCTTCTTTAATCCCTCTCTTTCCCTCATGCCCACATAAGTGCAACAGAAAATCCAAGTTGTTCCTCAAAACTGGCACTAATTTCAAATGTTATCCTAAATCCGATCACGGTTCATCACCTCCTTTACAACCCCCTCACCCACAGCACTATCACCTCTGAACCACTACAAGGCCTCCTAAGAGCTTCCACTCCCCCACATCTGCTCCAATAGCCTCTTTACACAAAAAAGTCAGAATGACCTTCTTGATGCATAATTCAGATCATGTTTCCCCTGCTTAAAACCAACCAATGTCTTCCCATTTTGCAAACAACACAGCCCAAACTCAGCACAACCTTCAAAGCCCCCAGGGACTGGCCAAGCCCTCTTCAACTGCACCTTCTACTACATGACCTCAGTATGTTTGAGGAAAAGCAAGAAGGCGGAGGTGATTAGAGAATGGGAAGTGACTACTACCCACTAGTCATGACTCTCTAATCAACTTGGCCTTCTTGCTGTTTCTCAAACATGCCAAGATCATTGCCATCTATGTCAGTCAGGAATGCAACAGGACAATTCAACAAGGGATTGTTTACAAAGATGTGAGCAGCAAAACCAATAAGGAATGGTTAGTCTCCCAGGGCTAGCAACAGTGGAAAGCCATTTTAATTGCTAGAACTAAAAACAATTAATATTGTTCATTTATGTGCTTATAGCCTGTGTCTACAACTAATTCAACAAGTGAGAATTTCTCTGTCTTAATTACAATTGCATCTTTCCCCCTTCCCTGACCAGTGCCTAGCATAATGCTTAGTGAGTGGTAGATGCTCTGTAAATGTAGACCAGGCTGAAAGAACCGCTACACAATAGCTTCTTCTATCTTAGGCTCTTCTAGCCCAATCCAAATCTATTCAACAGTCAATTGTAGGATGTCCTTCTCAGTCCCTAAGCCAATGGGAAATATCCACTCTACTGGTGCCTTCTCTGACTGTGTCCTGGTCTTTAATTGGTGCTAATGTGCGTGTGTGTGTATATATATATATAAAATATATAATTATATATAATATATATAATTTTTATGTAAATTATATATAATTTATTATATATAATTTTATATTTATAATATTTTTATATACATATTTTATATATCTTTATAATTATATATTACATATATAATATTATATAATATATATAATATATATAATATATATTATATATTATATAATATATATTATATATATTATATATAATATATATAATATATATAATATATATAATATATATAATATATAATATATATTATATAATATATATTATATATAATATATATTATATATAATATATATTATATATAATATATAATATATATAATATATATAACATATAATAATATATTATACATAATTTATATATAATTTTTATATAATTATATATATTTATATATTTTTATATAATTATATATATTTATATATTTTTATATAATTATATATATTTATATATTTTTATATAATTATATATATAATTTTTATATAAATATATATAATTTTATATAATTTTATATAATTATAAAATATATAATTATATATAATTTTATATAATTATAAAATATATAATTTTATATAAACATATATTATAATTTATATATTTTTTTAATGTAAAGTGACAGAATAGCTTCATGAGGCCACTGTTCTTCAGATAGAGATCAGTTATTCTAAACACATAAGTCACCTTGTTTTAGACACTTCCCAAATTCACTCCTATAATAAACAATCAGGAATGAGTACACCTAAAACTCAAGCTGGACTTAAGAAATTAGACTATACCTGTGATTTCTAATATGATCCATAACTTGATAAAGATCTCAGTTTCTGGTTTAATTTTATATGAATAGAAACAAGGATTCCTAAAGGACTTTGAATAACGTGCTCTGAGAATTAAAAGATAAATTATCTAAGGGATACGATTATATCTTCTTCTGGGGTTCTAACAAAATTTTTCCGTCTTTATAGAAGGGTGTTTGGTTTACCAAGAGTAAAATTTTGATAGCAAGCAAAAGTTGTTTATCTTGAAATAGTGCACACAATGACCACATCTTTGAGAGAAGAAGATTGCCTGCTAATACCTTACCGAGTCTACTAAAAGATGTACCATATTAAATCAATAGATAGTGACTCATCTACAATGGAGTATGAATTACAGCAAATGACTGACAGGCCCACTCTTCTAATCTCCCAGTTGTGTTTATGTGATAGTCTAAATCACATCAGCCAACTATGGCCCTTTGGTCAAATTTATTTATTTACAAATAAAAAACTTTATTTGTAAATAAAGTTTTATTGGGGCCAGGCGTACTGGCTCACACCTGTAATCCCAGCACTTTGGGAGGCGGAGGCAGGCAGATCACCTGAGGTCTGGAGTTCGAGACCAGCCTGGCCAACACGGTAAAACCCCATTTCTACAAAAAATACAAAAATTATCCAGGCGTGGTGGCTCGTGCCTGTAGTCCCAGCTACTGGAGAGGTGGAGGTTGCAGTGAGCCGAGATTATGCCACTGCACTCCAGCCTGAGTGACAGAGTGAGATCCTGACTCAAAAAAACAAACAAACAAAAAAAATAAGTTTTATTGGAACACAGTTATGAGATCATTCACTTAAATATGTGTTGTCTCTGGCTGCTTTTGCACTACAACAGCAAGCAGAGTTGAGAAGTTGTGGAAGAGAACATATGGCCCAGAAAACCTAAAATATTTGTTATCTAGCCCTTTATAGAAACAGTTTAGCTTTCTAAAACAGAAAACAATTAGTCACTATTCCTAATGCTTGGGATGGGGATAAGGAGGAGCAGGGTCTGACAGCAGACGTTTCCAGGATGATATGGTATGTGGAATACGTGGTATGCAAAAATACAGCCTATATTTTTAGGCCATCTCTTGACTGTATCAAAGAAGTTCTTAAACTAATATGCAAGATTAATTGATGCTCTGTCAGACATTTTTGAAGTCCCCTACTGGTTATTTTTGTGGTCACTTAGAGGCCTGGAAATACTGATTCAAATTCCATGTTAACCATTTTGCTATCCTTACCAGGCTCACAGGTAATTGTTAGTATGTCCTTCTCAGCCCCTGAGCCAATGGCAAGTATTAGGCTGACTTGGTGTCAGCAGCACATTATCAACTCTACTGGTAAGGAGAGCGTGGTCTATTCCACCAGGTGGCATTCCAACATTCCACCTAGTGGTAGACTATCCACCCCAAGGGAGTTATGCAGTGGCCACGACTAAAGGCAGGCTGCAAACATGACAGCCACAAAAACAAGGTTGGATTTGCTTGGTGGCACCCCATGTTATGTGGCCCATGCATCTACCTATCTCTTCCTCCTTGTCTACTTCTTTCATGGGCCCTCAATGTTAAAACCAGAAAAGGCAGGTTGTTCTTGTCAAATTCTGTCATCAATAGGATCAGCTTATCTTCTTCACTGTTATGATTTTATTCAATCATAGGAGATACCGGGTGTGTTTTCTTATGAAGCTCAAAAATTAATTAAATGATGTGTGTATTCTTTCAACAAATATGCATTAACCTTCCAACTATGTAGCAAACACTTTCCCAGGCACAAGGAATAGAGTGCTAAACAAGACTAAGTCCCTGCCTTCAGGAATCCTTCATTCTAATAAGTATATTCTAGTCTTGCTCATTGAGAAAGATGTATATTGTGTTTTTAAGCAAATAAACCAGTAAATATAACTTTTAAGAAGGGATATGTGTCATGGAGAAAATAAAGCAGGGTCTAGGCTTATATAATTGTAGGGATGAGTTAATTTTAGTAAGGTTAGTCAGAGAAGGTATCTCTGAAAAGATTGACTTGAGAAACCAAGGTGAATACGGATAGAAAGAATAAGAAATGCAGCTGAAGAGGTGGACAGGGTCATGGGAAGGAGTTTGAATTTTATTTTAAAGGTGTGGAGAAGCCAGCAGAGGATTGAGGCAGGAGAATAAAATCATCTGACTTGATGTCTAAAAGTAAAACTATGGTTGCTGCATGGAAAATAGAAAGTAAGCAGTAAGAGTGAATGCAGTTAGATCTGCTTAGGAAGCTGTTCTAATTGTGGCTGGGAATGCAGGGGTGGTGATGAAGATTACTAGCAGTTGGATTCCATATATATTCTGAAGATAGTTCCAGATAAATTAGATGTGGGATAAGGAAAAGAAAGGAATCAAGGATGACTCCTAGGTTTCTGATCTGAGAGCTGTGTAAGTGGTTAAGTGGCCACATTTTAGCCACGTCTTCTCAGAAGACCTTGTCCCATATCTTTGTCCCTATTCCCACGTACTGGCTCAGTGCACAGCACTCAGTGATGACAACCACCACCCACATTGGGCTTAGGGGACGGTGCACATTCACACAGTGTGGGTGGTAGTTTGTCTAAAAACCCAAGTATCTCTCCACTCAGGGAAATTTTTTTCTTCACGGAACCAGCTTCCTCTCCTTTCTTCATTCAACTCTTATTCACCTTTCAGGCCTGATTCAATTTTTATCTTTAATTTTTTTATTCTTCATTTTTTGTTTTTTTGTTTTGTTTTGTTTTGTTTTGTTTGAGATAGAGTCTCACTCTTTCGCCCAGGCTGGAATGAAGTGGGGCAATCTCAGCTCACTGCAACCTCTGCCGCACTGGTTCAAGTGATTCTCCTGCCTCAGCCTCCCAAGTAGATGGGATTACAGGTGCCTACCACCACACCAGGCTAATTTTTGTATTTTTAGTATAGATGGGGTTTCCCCATGTTGGCCAGGCTGGTCTCAAACTCCTGACCTCGGGTGACCTGCCCACCTCGGCCTCCCAAAGTGCTGGGATTATAGACGTGAGCCACCATGCCTGGCCTCTGATTCAATTTTTAATTCATCTCTTCCCTACCACCACTACCTCGAACTAGGCTAGCCCCCATGCACACCCCAGTAAACATCCTAAAAGGCAGTCAGGTGCACTGGCTAGGAGTATCAGTTGGCAAACGTTTTTTGTAAAGTGTCAGCCAGGTAGTAAATATTTTAGACTTTATAGGACATAAACAATTTCTATCACATATTGTTTTTTACAATGCTTTATAAATGTAAAAACTATTCTTGGCTCACCAGCTATGCAAAAACAGGCCCAGATTAGGCTGGAAGGCCATAGTTTACCAACCCTTGGTTAAGAGTATGGCTTACACAGACTGTGTGGGATTGAATTCTGGCTCTGCATCTACTTAGTTGTGAGGCCTCAGACAAGCCTCAACCTCTCTATGCCTTGGCTTCCTGATGGGAGACAATTCACCATGGATTTCTCTCATTTCTGCACATCTTTGTCACGAACTATTTTTTCAAAGATATTTATATAGACAACAGCCTTGGAAGAGAGAGTGCTTCCCTCTGCAGTAAAGAGCAGCCTTGTTTACGGTCAAGTATAACAATGATAATATCTCCCTCTAAGAAAAAGAGTGGGTGTGCTTCAGCCCATCATAAAAGATTTGGGTTCCCTGATCTCAGTACTCCTCAGCTGTGATACAGACCCACTGTATGCACATCTGGAAACCTGAAGTCCATGAGGTCTATGCCACCCATTATGTCTTCGGTAATAAAGTCCTTTGTCTCTGACACAGGAGTCTCATGATTTTTGCCAGCTTCCATCTAACTTATTAGGTTATAACTAGGGTAAAATCTCAGATCCTTCAAAGTTCCTGACATTACTTCATAAATAATACATTTATAGGCAAAATAGGGAGATCCTGACTCTGCCAAAAAATTTTTCAATTTTTTTAATTTAAAATAATAATGATATATTTATAGAGTTCAAAAAAATAAATATGTGATAGAGATTGTATATGTCCTATAAAGTCTAAAATATTTACTCCCTGGCTGACATAGGATTATGGTAAAGATTAAATAAGCAAATACAGGCTGGGTGTGGTGGCTGATGCTTGTAATTCGAGCAGTTTGGGAGGACAAGGCAGGTGGATTGCTTGAGTTCAGGAGTTTGAGACCAGCCTGGGCAACATGGCAAAACCCCATCTCTACGAAAATTACAAATTTGCTGGGTGTAGTGGTACATGCCTGTAGTCCCAACTACTTGGGGAGGCTGAAGTGGAAGGATTGCTTGAGCCCAGAAGTCGAGGCTGCAGTGAGCTGAGATCACGCCACTGCACTCTAGCCTGGGTGACAAAGCAAGACCCAGTCTGAAAAACAAAAAAAATTAGGCCAGGGACGGTGGCTCACGCCTGTAATCCCAGCATTTTGGGAGGCCGAGGCAGGCAGATCACGAGGTCAAGAGATCGAGACCATCCTGGTAAACATGGTGAAACCCTGTCTCTACTAAAAATACAAAAATTAGCTGAGCATGGTGGTGTGTGCCTGTAGCCCCAGCTACTCAGGAGGCTAAGGCAGGAGAATCACTTGAACCCGGGAGGCGGAGGTTGCAGTGAGCAGAGATCGTGCCACTGCACTCCAGCTTAGTGACAGAACGAGACTCCATCTCAAAAACAAAAAATTAAATAAGCAGATAAAGTTTGCACTTTGAACTGTTCTTGGCACAGTTTCTAAATTATGTAAATTTCAGCTATTATTAATATTATGACTCTTTGTTCTTGTTCTTCATAGCAAATTATCACAATTCCAATTTATATACTCATTGTTGTAATGTTTGGTTTTATTGCCTTACTCCTCACTAAATTATAGACTCTATGAGGCCACCAAGAGGGCACCTAGTAGGTATTCAAAGTACTTATCAAATGAAATAATAAATTGTCTTCTAACTTTTCTTCCATAATTTCAACTATCTGTCTTTCTGCACTAAGTTCTGGGAAATTCATTGGCACCATATTTCAGCTTATAAAGTTATTTTTCCTCCATGTCCAGTCTACTTACAAACTTAAAGTTTATTTTTTCATACTGTTTTGGTAACTTGTTCTTTTTTTTCTTTTTTCTTTTGAGACAGTCTCATTCTGTCACCCAGCTGGAGTGCAGTGGCGTGATCTCTGCTCATTGCAGCCTCCACCTCCTGGGTTCAAGCAATTCTCCTGCCTCAGCCTCCTGAATAGCTAGGACTACAGGTGTGCAACACCCAGCTAATGTTTGTGTTTTTAGTAGAGATGGGGTTTCATCATATTGGCCAGGCTGGTCTCGAACTCCTGACCTTAAGTGATCCTTAAGTCATCCGCCTGCCCTGGCCTCCCAAAATGCTGGGATTAAAGTATGAGCCACCAGCGCTTGGCCCAGAGTAGCCTAGAAATGTTTTGTGAGTGCAACATAATCTCAATCATTTCTAGAAATACTGAAAATTTAAGTTATCTAATTTTCTAAACTATCTGTTTTCTCAGTAACTATTTACTAATTATTCTTCATTCTTCTTCTTCATGCTAATGTCTGATGATTTTTAATTATCTATTCAAGTTTATAAATAAGAAGTGTTTTTAGCTAGTGTTCTAAAGTCACTGTGTCCTTTGCAGTGTGAATACCTAGCTGAGAGCAGAGCACTGGCCATGGTGAGGGACAGCAAAGTGCAGCCAGGAAAATCACCTTTCATGCTTCTTGGGGAACTTGCTTTCAGAATGTGAGAGACTGTGTCCATTTTGGTGGCTAGAACCTGAACTATCTCTCTTCGAGATTATACTATGACATTCCGTCTCCCAAGGGAGGCACTCCCCACTTTCTGGTCTTTAAGAACAAGGCTGTCTCTAGCTATAGCCTAGAAGAGGAATACCCATTTGGGCACTCTCTGGGCCTGACCTTATTCCAGCCATTTTGGAACTAATGACCCCACCCTCTGCCCCATAATCTACTCTTCTCCACTGCTTCTTCCCCCCACAGCTACTAACGACTCTAGTCTTGAGGATTTTTTCAAGGTTCTTTCAAAAAAACTCAATTTTCCAATAGTCTCTTCCTCTACTATATTGCTTTTTAGGATCTTTACCTTTGCCAAAGATAGAATCCCATGCTTTATGTCTCCCAGAAATCCCTCATTGTTTCTGGTTTGCGGATGGCAATGTGAATGTTTTCCAGTGCTGCTACAGATCTTGCTCTTTAACTGCATGGCATTTTGAAAGGAGCAGAGATAAAAGTGTGTACTGAGTAGACACCCATCTTGAAACAGAATGGCTGTTTAGCATTTAAACATGCTAAAGTCTCTCCTGGTTTGTTTTTTTTTTTAATTATTTTTGCCTTTCAAAATAGGTGATTACACACACCTTCTCCATTTTCTCATTTTCCATCTTACTCCAGCACAGTCAGGCTCTGTCTCCAGAAGTCCATCAAAAGTGTTATTGCCAAGGTCTTAAGAACCTTCTTGCCACTAAAGCCAATGGATACTTTTAAGTCCACGTATTTCTTGTAGCATTTGACAACGTAACCATCATTACTTTCATGAAATGCTCTCATCCCTCAGTTTCTCTGATAACGAACATTCCAGATTTTTCCTCCCACCTTTCCCACAGTACTTTCTCACCTACTCTCATCTTCTTTCTCAGGGGTTCCAAAATTCTTCTTGTTTTGTTTTACTGTTTGTTTGTTTTTGTTTCATTCTCTTCACTCCCTGAGTCATCCACTCAATGGCTTCAATTCTCTCTATATGCTGATGCCTCTTGGACTCTCAGACATACCTTCAGGCTAAAGCTTGTTCTTGAGAACATCAAACTACCATTTGGATATCCCATTGGCATCTCAGATTCAGCTCATCCAAAACTGAATTTATCACCTCCCTGGCATTACATCTATTTTGTCTGGTTTCTTATTTCATCAAATACCCCACCAGTTGCCAAGTCCGAATCTCTTCCCATATTCCCCACAACACTTCCCCACACATTTATCCCCTTAATATTTTTCAAGCCTTCCTGCCTCCTTCCATTCTTTCTGAATTGGACATTGTTGATTCCACACCCAGCATCTATCTCCTCTTCATTCTTCCTAATAGAACCCAGTTCTGGTGTCTGCCTCTTCCCCATGCAGCCCACATGCCTCCAAGGACATTGATCTCAACCTCAGCTTCAGGAATTAGCGTGATTGGCTAAGAATAAGCCATTCTCCTGGGCAGTGGTCAGTTTAGGAACTGGCTTGGAATGTACTTTGGCCAATAAGAGTCAGGGAGAGGCTGGAAGAGAATTCTGACTTGTAGAATATTTCTCATTCTTCTGGGAATGCTTCAAGAATGGACCTCTCAATTCCTCTAGACATTTCATGTGTAGAATATAGAGTTTGGACTTGATGTAATAATTTTGCAGCCAAATCCTAAGAAAAAAGCAATGAATAAAAGAAAAACTAGGGTCTGGGAGCAGCAATGTCTGTGATGTGCTCTAGGAGAGGCAGGGAGAGCAGGCCAGACCAAAGAGTGCGGTCTGGGCCACAGATGTCACATGGCCTGTACTTTGGACTGTGATGCATACCTATGCTCGCTATGTCACATTCCCTGTGGACTTCATGACTGGGGCTATGGGATACCACCTGGAATAGTTCATCAGGGAAAAGGATCCAAGGCCTGTGGAGGAGGAGAAGAGCATCTCAGAGCAACGGGAGGATCACAAGCTCGGTGAGCTGCTTAGCAAGGAGCACACCCAGGTGATGAGCCTTAAGGGCCAGCTGGAATTTTCCCTGAAGCTGTCCTTAGCAGAAACTGCCCAGAAAAGAATTAATGGAGGACACAAGACCCTTTGGTCTTACTGTGGGCCATGACTGGTCCTGCCACTGTGTCCACCCAGCCCCAGAATTCACCTCTGATCTGCTTTGTTGCTTACCCTGGCCCCTCCCACACCTCACAGCCACACACACACTGGCTGCTCCTTGATGGCAGGCAGACCCAGCAGCCGCTGAGGGCCAGTGAAAAGGAAGGCCCTAGAGGGTTCTGGCTGAAAACTGCATCTGTTGTATAGTGGCCACAAATGTTCAGGCTTCCAAGCCTATGGGTGCACTGCGGGGAAGAGTGTTATGAAATGCACACTGGCTGTCAGTCTCTGTGGGAAAGCAGTTTGGCCTCGAGCGAGAATGGATGGGATGTGGGTGTTGCCTTGAGAAGGGATCGTTACTTGTCTATTTTCAGTTTGCAATGGGAAGAATTCAAAAATCTATCTGGCCAGGCATGGTGGCTCATGCCTGTAACCCTAACACTTGGGACAGTTGAGGAGAGAGGATTGCTTGAGCCCAGGAGTTTGAGGCCAGCCTGGGCAACATAGCGAGACAGACCTCATCTCTAGAAAAAATTCAAGAATAGGCCAGGCACAGTGGCTCACGCCTGTAATCCCAGCACTTTGGGAGGTCGAGGTGGACAGATTACCTGAGATCAGGAGTTCGAGACCAGCTTGGCCAACATGGTGAAACCCCGTCTCCACTAAAAATACAAAAATTAGCCGGGTGTGGTGGCAGGCACCTGTAATCTCAGCTACTCGGGAGGCTGAGGCAGGAGAATCGCTTGAACCCAGGAGGCAGAGGTTGCAGTGAGCCAAGATCGCCCCATTGTACTCCAGCCTGGGTGACAAAAGCGAAACTCCGTTTCCAAAAAACAAAACAAAAAAAAAAAAACAGACAGGGTCCTTGCCTTCATGGCCCAAGTGCCACCTTCCTGGGGAAGTTCTTGATCTTATTAGGAACTATAATTAGGAAATGAAATCAAGATTTTAAAAATATATAGGAACTTCATGCATTTATTTTGTACTGAAATTATATGTGCAGAATCAAGACAATAAATTTTCTTGCCCTAATAAATAAAAAATGTGGTAAAACAGGCCAATAAGATTTTAAAGATTTGAAGTTGATGCTCCTAACATTAGAAGTTACAAAGTATTAGAGGTTGAAGTTCATGTTTTTTTCCTTTATTTCCAGCCAGTGTCCATCAATGTGCTTGATCATAGCTAAAATGCTCCACGTGTAACTCTTGCTTTTCTACGTCACCCCAGCCAGAGAAATCAAGAATGACAGATGGAGATACAGATGGTAACTGAACCAACTTTGTCTCTGAACCGCTTTATTATTCTGTGGCTTTGGGCAACTTACTTAATCATCTCTGTGCCTGTTTCCTCATCCACAAAATATGAACAACAAGAATGATTAAGAGTAAAGCCCCTGACCAGGTATAGTGGCTAACACCTGTAATCCCAACACTTTCGGAGGCCAAGGCGGGTGGATCACCTGAGGTCAGGAGTTCAAGACCAGCCTGACCAACATGGAGAAACCCCATCTCTACTAAAAAACACAAAATTAGCCGGGCGTGGTGGCACACATCTGTAGTCCCAGCTACTCGGGAGGATGAGGCAGGAGAATCACTTGAACCCAGGAGGCGGAGGTTGCAGTGAGCCGAGATCGCACCATTGCACTCTAGCCTGGGCAACAAGAGTGAAACTCCGTCTCACAAAAAAAAAAAGAGTAAAGCACCTAATCAAAACTACAATTAGACACCCTCTCATGCCAGTCAGAATGGCAATTATTAGAAAGTAAAGAAACAACAGGTGCTGGTGAAGTTGCAGAGAAAAAGGAATGCTTTTACACTGCTGGTGGGAGTATAAATTAGTTCAACCATTGGAAAAGATAGTACAGCAATTACTTAAGAGATCTAGAAGCAGAAATACCATTTGACCCAGCAATGCCATTACTGGGTATATACCCAAAGGAATACAGATCATTCCATTATTACATAAAGATACATGCATGAGTATGTTCATTGCTGCACTATTCACAATAGCAAAGATATGAAACCAACCCAAATGCCCATCAATGATAAGCTGGAGAAAGAAAATGTGGTACATATACACTATGGAATACTATGCAGCCATACAAAGGAATGAGATCAAGTCCTTTGCAGGGAGATGGATGGAGCAGGGAGCCATTATCCTCAGCAAATTAACACAGGAACAGAAAACCAAACACTGCATGTTTTCACTTATAAGTGGGAGCTGAACAATGAGAACACATGGGCACATTGGGGGAACAACACACACTGGGGCCTGTCAGTGGGGCAGGGGGAGGGAGAGCATCAGGAAGAATAGCTAGTGGATGCTCAGCTTAATTCCTGGGTGATGGGTTGATTTGTGCAGCAAACCACTATGGCACATGTATACCTATGTAACAAACCTGCACATCCTGCACATGTACCTTGGAACTTAAAAGTTGAAGAAAAAAAAGAAAAAGAAAAAGAAATGAGTAAAGTCCCTGACACATGCTGAAGTACTCAAGAGGGAAATAATCATCATTATCTAGAATTTGCTCTAAACTATTAAAGAAAAAAAGGCACTTGGAGGTAGAGGAGTAGCAACAGATGAAACAAGAATAGACATCAATTGGTAATTGTTAAAGCTGGGTGATTAGGAACATGGGCGTTCAAGTTTTGAATGTATTTGAAATTTTCCATAATAAAAAGTTAAAATAAATATATACACTTAAAATAGCACATAAAATTACTATAACAACAAGCCTGACAATCTGGACCACACCATCTTCACTCATTATAGAACTGCTTTCATTGAGAATCATAAGAAACCAAGTCTACTTGTTTGAGCAATGTTGTCAGGGATGCTGTGTATCCTATCACACTGGCTTCCATGGGGATCCACAGAAAAATACTTTTTAGGTCTTTATGCCAGGACAAGCTGGTGTAGTTACTCATTTCTGAGTTAGGCACTCCGTGAATCTTACGTTTCTCTTTACAATCCACTTTAGCAACTACTCCAGACCCTAGTTCTAGAGATCACCAATGCCCATTCAATCCACAATTTTACTGCAGTTTGATTGTGACCTTGCCCTATGTATCTCCATCTGGCTGTTTATTTGTATCCTCTAAAATATCCTTTGTGTCCAGGGGCAGTGGCTCATGCCTGTAAATCTGCACTTTGAGAGGCCAAGGCAGGTGGATCACTTGATGCGAGGAGTTCCAGACCAGCCTGGCCAACATAACAAAACCCTGTCTCTACTAAAAATACAAAAATTAGCCAGGCACAGTGGTGCGTGTCTGTCATCCCAGCTACCAGGGAGGCTGAGGCACAAGGATCGCCTGAACCCAGGAGGCAGAGGTTGCAGTGAGCCGAGATCGCACCACTGCACTCCAGCTGGGGTAACAGAGTGAGACTCTGTCAAAAAAAAAAAAAAAAAAAATCCTTCTTTATAATGAACTGGTAAATGAGTTTCCCTGAGTTCTGTGAACAGCTCCTGCAAATTAAGCATACCTAAAAACAGGGCCAGGGGAACTTCAACTTGGAGTGGATCAGCCAGAAGTTCCAGAGCCTGGACTTGCGACTGGTATCTGAAGGAGGGGGCAGTTTGGGCACAGAGCCCCCAACGTATGGAAGCTAAAGCAACCTCCAGGCAGATACTGTCAGATTTCAATTGAATTACAGGACACCTAGAGCTAGTGTCTGCTACTTGGCATGTGGGGAAAAAACCCCACTCATTTGGTCACGAACTTGATGGCTACTGTGGAGTGAAAGAATAGAAAAAAAAACTCAGTATTTTTTTTTCGTCTCACAAAGGGGAAGTTGGAATAATCCTTGTGGTGTTGAAATGGAATTTTAGGTATCAATAGAAACTCATAGTTTTTACTGGATAAATAGATACCAGTGGGTGTGGGTGTGAGTGTGTGTATTATATAAATATCTATATATTATATAGGTAGAGATACACACATATATACATACATATACATATATCTCCTACTTCAGAATTAGTTTCCTATTGGTACTGTAACAAATTACCACAAACTTAGTAGTTTAAAACAAAACAAATTTATTATTTTACAGTTCTGGAGGACAGAAGTCTAAAATCAAGGACCTCAGAAGAGAATCTGTTCTCCTCCTCTTTGATTCTTCCCTCTCTCTCATAAGAACCCTGTGATTATACCAGGCCCACCCAGATAAACCAGGGTAATTATCTCAGGACCCTTAACTTCATCCACAAAGTTCCTTTTGAATGTAAGGTAATATATTCACAGGTTCCAGGATTAAGACATGGGCAGCCACTTTTCTATGCACCACAAATATATATATATATTGCATATAATATATATATTTATATGTATATACACACACATACCTGTATATACACACATACATATATTCCCTAGTCCTCACTCTTCTAGGCTGAGAAGGCCTAGAAGCCATGGTACTCACTGGCAATGAGCACACTACTTCCCCAGCTCCTTATTTCTAAATACCATACTCCATCAACAGGAACCAGAGCTCCTCAGAGACATGGTTGATTTTAGAACGGGGGCACGGAAAACATAAGGTTAGCCAGAATATCTTTTTCTGACAGGAAATGAGAAAAGGCTAACCACCATGGAGACATGGAAAAAGAACACAGGAACCAGCTTGAAAGTTCTTCCCCTGGTCAAATCTTGTACAATTTAAACATCAAAATAAACAGCATTCATAACAGACTATAACCCATAGGATAAAATAAGAATCCATGAATTCATAGTATTATAAATAAATAAATAAATGGGAGAGAAAGGGAAAGCTCTTTCTTACAGTAAAATGACTAATAAATGTAGGAGGAATGATGGTATCAGAAACTCACCACAAAAGTAGTAAGTTACAAGCAAGAATTGTCAGGGGATGCTTAAACTAGTAGATGAAAGTTTAATGAGACAATGGATATTTATATAGTGTCAAGGCATCTCCCACAAGATACTTATTCATGACAATGGAAAAAAATCATAACTTTATGGTGAGGAACCTGGCAGACACCACCCTAATGAAATGGTCACTGTTAACATCACCAATAGCAGGATATATCAACATCATATGCCTCATGATATGACACAACATGGCTTCATTGGTAATGCTGGCAAAACCGCAGAACCTGCACACCCAAACTAAGGGAGACCCTATAAAATTACAGGCCTGTTGTCTTAAAAAATGTCAAGGTCATGAAAGATAAGTTTTTTGGATTTAAAGAGATTAAAGAGGTGGCTGGCAAGATGGCTGAATAGGAATAGCTCCAGTTTGCAGCTCCCAGCAAGATCAGTGCAGAAGGTGGGTGATTTCTGCATTTCCAACTGAGGTACCCAGCTCATCTCATTGGGACTGGTTAGACAGTGGATGCAGCCCAGAGAGGGCTAGCCAAATCAGGGTGGGGCATCACCTCACCTGAGAAGCACAAGGGGTCAGGGAACTCCCTCCCATAGCCAAGGGAAGCCTTGAGGGACTGTGCCATGAGGAATGGTGCATTCCAGCCCAGATACTACACTTTTCCTATGATCTTTGCAACCCGCAGACCAGGAGATTCCCTCAGGTGCCTACACCACCAGGGCCCTGGGTTTCAAGCACAAAACTCAGCAGCCATCTGGGGAGATACCCAGCTAGCTGCAGGAGTTTTTTTTCATACCCAGTGACACCTGGAACCCCAGCAAGACAGAACCGTTCACTCCCCTGGAAAAAGGGTTGAAGCCAGAGAGCCGAGTGGTCTAGCTCAGCAGATCCTACCCCCACAGAGCCCAGCAAGCTAAGATCCACTGGCTTGAAATTCTCACTGCCAGTACATCAGTCTGAAGTCAATCCGGGATGCTCAAGGTTGGTGGGGGGAGGGGCATCCGCCATTACTGAGGCTTCAGTAGGTGGTTTACCCCTCACACTGTGAACAAAGCTACAGGGAAGTTCAAACTGGGCGAAGCCCACTGCAGCTTGGCAAAGCTGCTGTAGCCAGAATGCCTCTCTAGATTCCTCCTCCCTGCACAGGGCATCTCTGAAAGAAAGGCAGCAGCCCCAGTCAGGGGCTCATAGATAAAAGTCCCATCTTCCTGGGACAGAGCACCTGGGGGAAGGGGTGGCTGTGGGTGCAGCTTCAGCAGACTGGAAAGTTCCTGCCTGCTGGCTCTGAAGAGAGCAGGGATCTCCCAGAACAGTGCTCAAGCTCTGCTAAGGGACAGACTACCTCCTCAAGTGGATCCCTGACCCCTGTGCCTCTTGACTGGAAGATACCTCCCAGCAGGGGTCAACAGACACCTGATACAGGAGAGCTCCAGCTGGCATCTGGTGGGTGCCCCTCTGGGACAAAGCTTCCACAGGAAGGAACAGGGAGCAATCTTTGCTGTTCTGCAGCCTCCGCTGAAGATACGCAGGCAAACAGGGTCTGGAGTGGACCTCCAGAAAACTCGAACAGACCTGCAGTAGATGGGCATGACTGTTAGAAGGAAAACTAACAAACAGAAAGGAATAGGATCAATATCAAGAAAAAGGATGTCCACACCAAAACCCCATCTGAAGGTCATCAACATCAAAGATGAAACATAGATAAATCCACGAAGATGAGGAAAAACCAGAGCAAAAAGGCTGAAAATTCCAAAAACCAGAATGCCTCTTCTCCTCCAAAGGATAACAACTCCTCACCAGCAAGGGAACAAAACTGGAGAATGAGTTTGATGAACTGAGAGAAGTAGCCTTCAGAAAGTGGGTAATAACAAACTCCTCTGAGCTAAAAGAGCATATTCTAACCCAATGCAAGGAAATTAAGAAACTTGAAGGGTACAGGAATTGCTAATTAGAATAACCAGTTTAAAGAAAAACATACATTACCTGATGGAGCTGAAAAACACAGCATGAGAACTTAGTGAAGCATACACAAGTATCAACAGCCAAGTCAATCAAGCAGAAGAAAGGATATCAGAGATTCAAGATCAACTTAATGAAATAAAGAGTGAAGACAAGATTAGAGAAAAAATGAAAAGGAACGAACAAAGCCTCCAAGAAATATGAGATTATATGAAAAGACCAAACCTACGTTTGATTGGTGTACTTTAAAGTGACGGGGAGAATGGAATCAAGCTGGAAAACAGTCTTCAGGGTATAATCCAGGAGAACTTCCCCAACCTAGCAAGACAGGCGAACATTCAAATTCAGGAAATACAGAGAACACCACTAAGAAACTCCTCGAGAAGAGAAACCCCAAGACACATAATCGTCAGATTTACCAAGGTTGAAATGAAGAAAAAAAATGAGAAACCCTAAAAGCCAGAAGAGAGTGGGGGCCAATATTCAACATTCTTAAAATAATTTTCAACCCAGAATTTCATATCCAGCCAAACCAAGATTCAGAAGTGAAGGAGAAATAAAATCCTTTGCAGACAAGGAAATGCTGAGAGATTTTGTCACCACCAGGCCTGCCTTACAAGAACTCCTGAAGGAAGCACTAAACATGGAAAGGAACAACCGGTACCAGTCACTGCAAAAACATGTAAAATTGTAAAGACCATCCACACTATGAAGAAACTGCATCAACTAACAGGCAAAATAACCAGCAAGCATCATAATGGCAGGATGAAATTCACACATAACAATATTAACCTTAAATGTAAATGGGCTAAATGCCCCAATTTAAAAGACACAGACTGGCAAATTGGATGAAAAGTCAAGACCCATCGGTATGCTGTATACAGGAGACCCATCTCACATGCAAAGACACACATAGGCTCAAAATAAAGAGATGGAGGAGTATTTACTAAGCAAATGGAAAGCAAAAAAAAAGCAGAGGTTGCAATCCTAGTTTCTGATAAAACAGACTTTAAACCAACAAAGATCAAAAGAGACAAAGAAGGGCATTACATAATGGTAAAGGGATTCATGCAACAAAAAGAGCTAACTATCCTAAATATATATGCACCCAATAGAAGAGCACCCAGATTCATAAAGCAAGTCCTTAGAGACCTACAAAGAGACTTACACTCCCACACAATAATAGTGGGAGACTTTAACACCCCACGGTCAATATTAGACAGATCAATGAGATAGAAAATTAACAAGCATATCCAGGACTTGAACTCAGCTCTGGACCAAGCAGACCTAATAGACATCTACAGCTCTCCACCACAAACCAAGAGAATATACATTCTTCTCAGCACCACATAGCACTTATTCTAAAATTGACCACACAATTGGAAGTAAAACACTCCTCAGCAAATGCAAAAGAACTAAAATCATAACAAACAGTCTTTCAGACCACAGCGCAACCAAAGTAGAACTCAGGATTAAGAAACTCACTCAAAACCACTCAACTACATGGAAACTGAACAACCTGCTACTGAATGACTACTGGGTAAATAATGAAATTAAGGCAGAAATAAATAAGTTATTTGAAACCAATGAGAACAAAAACACAACATACCAGAATCTCTGGAACACAGCTAAAACAGTGTTTAGAGGGAAATTTATAGCACTAAATGCCCACAGGAGAAAGTAGAAAAGATCTAAAATCAACACATTAACATCAAAATTAAAAGAACTGGAGAAGCAAGAGCAAACAAATTCAAAAGCTAGCAGAAGACAAGAAATAACTAAGATCAGAGCAGAACTGAAGGAGATAGAGACATAAAAAACCCTTCAAAAAATCAATAAATCAAGAAGCTAATTTTCTGAAAAGATTAACGAAATAGAATGCTAGCCAGACTAATAAAGAAGAAAAGAGAGAAGAATCAAATAGACACAATAAAAAATAATAATGGGGATATCACCACTGATCCCACAGAAATACAAAGAATACTATAAACACCTCTACGCAAATAAACTAGAAAATCTAGAAGAAATTGATAAATTCCTGGACATATACACTCTCCCAAGACTAAACCAGGAAGAAGTTGAATCCCTAAATGCATCAATAACAAGTTCTTAAATTGAGGCAGTTAATTAGTAGCCTGCCAAACAAAAAAGCCCAGGACAAGACAGATTCACAGCAGAATTCTACCTGAGGTAAAAAGAGTAGCTGGTACCATTCCTTCTGAAACTCTTTCAAACAATAGAAAAAGAGGGACACCACCCTAACTAATTTTATGAGGCCAGCACCATCCTGGTAACAAAACCTGGCAGAGACACAACAAAAAAAGAAAATTCCAGGTCAATATCCCTGATGAACATAGATGTAAAAATCCTCAATAAAATACTGGCAAACCAAATCCAGCAGCATATCAAAAACCTTATTCACCACGATCAAGTTGGCTTCATCCCTGGGATGCAATGTTGCTTCAACACGTGCAATTCAATAAATGTAATCTATCACATAAACAGAACCAATGACAAAAACCACGATTACCTCAACAGATGCAGAAAAGGCCTTTGGTAAAATTCAACACCACTTCATGCTAAAAACTCTCAATAAACTAGATATTGATGGAACATGTCTCAAAATAATAAGAGCTATTTATGACAAACCCACAGCCAAGATCATACTGACCACGCAAAAGCTGGAAGCATTCTCTTTGAAAACCGGCACAAGACAAGGATGCCCTCTCCCATGCCTCCTATTCAACATACTATTGGAAGTTCTGGCCAGGGCAATCAGGCAAGAGAAAGAAATGAAGTGTATTCAAATAGAAAAAGAGCAAGTCAAATTGTGTCTGTTTGCAGATGACATGATTGTGTATTTAAAAAACCCCATCATCTCAGCACAAAATCTCCTTAAGCTAATAAGAAAGTTCAGCAAAGTCTCAGGATATGAAATCAATGTGCAAAAATCACAAGCATTCCTATACACCAATAATAGACAGAGAGCCAAATCATAAGTGAACTCCCATTCACAATTGCTACAAACAGAATAAAATACCTAGGAATCCAACTTACAAGGAATGTGAAGGACCTCTTCAAGGAGAACTACAAACCACTGCTCAAGGAAATAAGAAAGGACACAAACAAATGAGAAAACATTCCATGCTCATGGATAGGAAGAATCAATATCATGAAAATCGCCATACTGCCCAAAGTAATTTATGGATTCAATGCTATCCCCGTCAAGCTACCATTGACTTTCTTCACAGAATTGGAAAAAACTACTTTAAATTTCATATGGAACCAAAAGAGAGCCCACATAGCTAAGACAATCCTAAGCAAAAAGAGCAAAGCTAGAGGCATCAAGCTACCTGACCTCAAACTATACTACAAGGCTACAGTAACCAAAACAGCATGGTACTTGTGCCAAATCAGATATATAGACCAATGCAACAGAACAAAGGCCTCAGAAATGACACCACACATCTACAACAATCTGAACTTTGACAAACCTGACACAAACAAACAATGGGAAAAGGATTCCCTATTTAATAAATGGTGTTGAGAAAACTGGCTAGCCACATGCAGAAAACTGAAACTGGACCCCTTCCTTACACCTTATAAAAAAATCAACTCAAGATGGATTAAAGACTTAAACATGGCTGGATGCAGTAGCTCACGCCTGTAATCCCAGCACTTTGAGAGGCCGAGGCAGGCGGATCATGAGGTCAGGAGATCGAGACCATCCTGGCGGACATGGTGAAACCCTGTCTCAACTAAAAATACAAAAAATTAGCCAGGCGTAGTGGCAGGCACCTGTAGTCCCAGCTACTTGGAAGGTTGAGGCAGGAGAATGGCATGAACCTGGGAGGTGGAGCTTGCAGAGAGATGAGATCGTGCCACTGCACTCCAGCCTGGGCGACAGAGCAAGACTCCATCTCAAAAAAAAAAAAGACTTTAACATAAGACCTAAAACCATAAAAACCCTAGAAGGAAACCTAGGCAATATCATTCAGGACATAGGCATGGGCAAAGACTTCATGACTAAAACACCAAAAGTGATGGCAACAAAAGCCAAAACTGAAAAATGGGATCTAAGTAAACTAAAGAGCATCTGCACACCAAAAGAAACTATCATCAGAGTGAACAGGCAACCTACAGAATGGGAGAAAAATTTTGCAGTCTATCCATCTGACAAATGGCTAATATCCAGAATCTACAAAGAACTTAAACAAATTTACAAGAAAAAAACAAACAACCCCATCAAAAAGTGGGCAAAGTAGTCTGTTTGAACAGACACTTCCCCCAAAAAAAGACATTTATGCAGCCAACAAGCATATGAAAAAATGCTCATCATCGCTGGTCATTAGAGAAATGCAAATCAAAACCACAATGAGATAGCATCTCACGCCAGTTACAATGGTGATCATTAAAAAGTCAGGAAATGGCCGGGTGCGGTGGCTCATGCCTGTAATCCCAGCACTTTGGGAGGCTGATGCAGGCAGATCACGAGGTCAGGAGATTGAGACCATCCTGCCTAACACGGTGAAACCCCGTCTCTACTAAAAATACAAAAAATTAGCCAGGCGTGGTGGCAGGTGCCTGTAGTCCCAGCTACTCGGGAGGCTGAGGCAGGAGAATGGCATGAACCTGGTAGCCAGAGCTTGCAGTGAGCGCAGATCATGCCACTGCACTCCAGCCTGGGTCACAGAGCGAGACTCTATCTCAAAAAAAATGAAATAAAATAAAATCAGGAAACAACAGATAATGGAGAGGATGTGGAGAAATAGGAACACTTTTACACTGTTGGTGAAAGTGTAAATTAGTTCAACCATTGTGGAAGACAGTGTGACAATTCCTCAAGGATCTACAACCAGAAATACCATTTGACCCAGCAATCCCATTACTGGGTATATGCCCAAAAAATTATAAATTATCCTACTATAAACACAGATACACAGTATGTTTATTACAGCACTATTCACAATAGCAAAGTCTTGGAACCAATCCAAATGCCCATCAATGATAGTCTGGATAAAGAAAATGTGGCACAGATACACCATGGAATACTATGCAGCCATAAAAAAGGATGAGTTCATGTCCTTTGCAGGGACATGGATGAAGCTGGAAACCATCATTCTCAGCAAACTAACACAGGAACAGAAAACCAAACACCGCATGTTCTCACTCATAAGTGGGAGCTGAACACTGAGAACACATGGACACAGGGAGGGGAACATCACACACTGGGGCCTGTCAGGGAGTGGGGGGCTAGGCGAGGGATAGCATGAGGAGAAATACTTAATGTAGATGACAGGTTGATGGGTGCAGCAAACCACCATGGCAAGTGTATACAACAAACCTGCATTTTCTGTACATGTATCCCAGAACTTAAAGTGTAATAAAAAAAAAAAAAAAAAAAAAGGGCCAGGCGCTGTGGCTCACCCCTGTAATCGCAGCACTTTGGGAGGCCGAGGTGGATGGATCACAAGGTCAGGAGATCGAGACCATCCTGGCTAACACAGTGAAACCCCCTCTCTACTAAAAATACAAAAAATTAGTGAGGCGTGGTGGCGGGTGCCTGTAGTCCCAGCTACTCGGAAGGCTGAGGCAGGAGAATGGCGTGAACCCAGGAGGCGGAGCTTGCAGTGAGCTGAGATTGCACCACTGCACTCCAGCCTGGGCAACAGACAGAGTGAGACTCCATCAAAAAAAAAAAAAAAAGGGATTAAAGAGATGATAACTAAATGCATTGAACCCTGGAGCAGAAAGATATTTTTCCCTTTATTATAATGGACATTGGTGGGACAATAAGTGGAATTTCAGATTTGTAGATTAGATAACAGTATCCATGTTGATTTTCTGATTTTGATTGCTGTATGATTACATTGAATAATGTTTTGAGGAAACACACTGAAGTGTTTAGGGATAAATAAGCATGATGTCTGCAATTTACTCTCAATGGCTTAGAAAAAATAATTATGTATATACATAGAGAAAGAATGATAAAGCAAATTCAGTAAATTATTAATCTGGAAAAAGGATATACATTTTTGTAACTTCTCTTTTAAATCTGAAGGACCAAGTAAAATGGTGGATTACAGAGTGGAAAGAAAGCCCTTCCATTTGTGAGTGCCTAACAGCAGGTTGTGCCTGGGCCCACCTCTGTCGGCCCCTTAATCTGCCCCAAACATTCAGACATTAGTG
The DNA here is from genome assembly GCF_000001405.40 of Homo sapiens. NCBI lineage: Eukaryota > Metazoa > Chordata > Mammalia > Primates > Hominidae > Homo > Homo sapiens. The sequence goes on from NC_000002.12 coordinate 108,436,916, forward strand.
TTACCAAAACACCAGGGATTTGGTCTAAGTCCTGCTGCTCTCCACACAGAAAGCCAATCACTGAGACAATGAGTATTGCCAAGGAAGAAAACTTTAACTGGGTGCTGCAGCCAAGGAGATGGAAGCTCAATCACAAATCCATTTTTCTGATTGACTAAAATTAGGGATTTATATAGCAGGGAAGAAATGTAACAATGTGTAAGAAAACAGGAACTAGTGAGGGGCAAGGAAGCAATCATGATGATTGAGGGGTCCAAATGTCATTGTCAGGATGTGGTGATCTGGTAAGTTTCACTTTTGATACTTTTTTTGAGAGGCCTGAAGGTCATTTCCTGAGGAAGGGTCTCAGATAAAACAAAGTAAGTTTCAAGCTTTAAGACCAGAAGGTCAATTTCTATGTTTATCCAAAAAACTGTCTTTGGCACTATTAAGTTGATGTCAGTCCACGCCCCCTTTTTATTTATCAATTCCTCAGTCATGGGGAATCTGGTCGTTAATCTTTCTGACTGTTTCGTGCTGAGGAGGGGTGTCCTGGGCACCTCTATACCACAGGTGACCTCATGGCCACCCAGGAATCAAAGGTTAATCTAATACTATAGTTTTCTTCTGAAACACAATCTTTCTCTCTCCAGACCCCCTGACAATTCCACCAAAGGCAAATCACAGCAGGACCAATCTACCTGCAAAATAAGCTTCAGTCCCATAGACTTGGCCTGATTACCCACACAAAGTGCAGCAAGAATCATTGTCTACATAGGCGCTCCTAAACTGGCTTTGTTGGAACATCTCACAAGGCCATTTCAAACAAGGCCCACAGAAAGTAACCAGTTCCTCCAACTGTGTCCCATTATAAAAGAAAACACGTTGTTATTAACCATATTCCCAATTAATATTCACAAATAGTTTACAAATTCAGGAGAAATTAAACAATGCCTCAAATTCTGTTTATAAAAGTATACTCTACTCAATATACTTAAAGTATACTTACAGGCTATAAATAGCTCAAAAGAAAAAAATTTTCCAGACTCTGAAAAACAAAACAAAAAGAATAAGCAATATTTCAAAGGAAAATAGCCATACAAAATTATTTCTGTCATCCATTAATTCAGTCCACGCAATTAACTCCTGCTCTGCTTCATATTGGGTTAGCAATCTTTACGAACACAGCCTTTCAATTAATGCCCTGAAAGTTTTCTCTCAAATCCAATGGCACACCCAAAGTTATCAGAAACCTCCATTCAAGAGTCCTTTTTGTGAACTACTCCAAAGAAACAAGCCCTGGACTGTAGCTGATATATCAATTTTTTGAAAAGGATCAAAGCAAACATCAATTGTGGATGACAAAGTCTTAAGATAGCCATAATCAAAGACACAGTTGACAAGGAAATTTGGTTATTTCTGTGGCATACAATTTGACATAATAACCATAATTATTACTGACAAAATATGTTAAGACATATCAGAATTTCAGGAACGTGATACAATCCTGGAACACATATTAACAACATATCTGTATAAATATAACCCAAAGAAAGTTAAATACCACCTCACATTTGACAATGCTTCCTATATAATTCTAATATAACAAGTACGCCTACTGTCTCTCTTGGACTTCAGGGAACATGAATATCCGAACAGGTAGTGTAAGTTCAAAAAGTCTGAATTTAGAACTTGAAATTTTGCTATTGGAAAATCTGTCAAATATCAAAGGTTTAACACACGTGATATCTCAAAATAGGATCACAAGTTACTATAAAATAGTCATTCATTTAGCCAAAATTATAATACAAAAACATCTTCTATTTGATAAAAAGGAGATTCAGTTTCCCAAACAATAAGCCCTAATAAAGACAGCATGAGACCAACTAAACCTGTCTCTCCCGACTCCATTTTCTTCCTGCAGTTCACTCAAAAGGTAAATGAAATCTGTTATCTCTTATTAATATTACACAAACATTTTGTTCAAAAGAGAAAACCAAAATTTTACCCTTGTATGGTATATAATTAACACTAAAGCTAAGTTTAATAAAACTTTATAAACAAATGTATCTGATTTTAATCAGTTTGACTATAAGGTAAGATTTCCCTAAACCTTTTATAATGTTTTACAACTTTCTATTAAAGAGCAGATCAATGTTCCAGGAAAACCCTGTTATTCTGACACACGGTCCCAGACACTGGCTTTGCATCACTGGCTTTTGATATTAATGTTTAATTTATAGAAACACCTTAAACTAATCTTATCCCTCAAAATCTGCCCTTACGATCTAACGGGTCCAACTCTTCCACAATACTCCCCGGGCTTAGAGGGATTGAATCATTTTAATTTCTGGCCCCGTGTCTCACGAAAACTGGTTATTTGGTCAATCACCTTCTCCTGGTACTTAAGATGAGGCTTCAATTTGTGTTAATGCTCAAGATTTAGCAGAGGTCAATGATTTTTTCAGACCCAGGAGTCAAAGCTCTGTAACTTAACAGCACACAGATTAGTTAACAGGAAATTTACACAACAGAAAGTCATATCATTCTTTCTAACTTGTTACAAATTAAAACAATGTGATTTGTTGTTTAGGAGTTACTGCCTGCAGCACTTCAAACCACTGTATTAAAGCAGTTAGGTTACACATTGCATAGGCCTAATTGCTAGTATTCTAGTGACAAAACTGTGACCAAAAGCATCATAAAGTGATAGGTTCTATACCAAACTTACCAAAGTAAGACAGCTAACTTTTCTATTTTAAAAAAATGGTAAGCACAAATATCAGTTTTGAAAATTCAGTAAGAATAAATACTCTTCCTTCACTTAAATATTATACAACAAAACAGGGACAAAGTAAGAACGAGCACACAATAATTTCTTCTCAGCTATTTTAAAAGAGCATCATCACACGTTTCCCAAGATTGGTTTCTAGATACAGTACTGATAACTGATTAGGTAATTTTCATAACCAAAAATCTTCAGATCAGTGCAGCCCTTATATACATTGTGTTTCCAAGTACACACAGGAAGGCCCATCAGTGATAAATGGCTTGGGATCACAAATCAGTAGAAAGTCTCACATCTTTTATTACTACTTAATCCAAGTGAATGTTACTTAATTTTAATAATGTTCAACACAACTAAAGTAGTTTGAGAGAAATCCCAATCAACATAATTTCCTTAAAGATAAGGCCAATTTTTCCTGAACCTTAAAACTTTGTATCCATATCGGTTTTTCCTCATTAAAGGGTAAGATCGGAAACCAACTCAAGTTATTGATTGAAGAGAATTACCTTGGAAATAAACACCATTTAAATATTTCTGCTCTCATCTACTTTCCAATTAACGAAATGTATAATGTACTATTTCTGTTCAGAACATAAGTCTTTTGTTTTACTTTTTCCAGGAACCTTAAAGCTCTTGTAGCTCTCTAGATCATTAGTGGTAAGAAAAAACAAGAAAATTTTAAATGGCTGGTGTGCTCTACCGATTTTTCCAGGCTTGACAACTGCAGCTTAGGAATTCTAGATAAACAGAACAAATAATGAATTGTTACAAATGCATAGGAAACAAAATGGCTATTCATAAAGCCAAATAAAAGCATTCCATTAGAAACTAAAAAAATCAATGGTTTTATACATGTATATATAAGTAAAACCCAAAAAAAAAAAGAGCAAATAAATGAAAATCAGAAGCGAAGACAAACAAGAAACCAACCCCAAGTTTTTCTCCTACTCAGTTTACCTTGGAAGCTAAAGTGTTACCTAGAGCCAAATAAACCCCCCCACACACACATACACACACACAAGGTAGATATTTTGTTCCAGGTATGTAAATTAATGTCTTTAAGTCCACCAATACCACTGTACATTTTGTACATTAAGAAATTCACTTTAGGCACATGACCAGTAAGTATTTTAGTGCTAGTACTATCTATACAGTGTAAAACAAAGCAATGCAAACATATATGTGAAATTCGGCTCCATGTTAAACCTGGCTCCATGTTAAATCTTGCTTCATGCTTAACTATATTAAAAAAGAATTGCCAAACTGCAAATGTATTTCTTCATAATATTTATTTTATTTTCATCAAAACTAAGTGCTTTAAACAACAGCATTTAACTGAGCTTTAAACTAAGAGCATTTAAACAAATGTTTAAATGCTATGTTAATTAGCCAAATTTCTCCAATTTTCTATCAGGTTTTAAAGAATATTATCTAAACTTTTTCAACTTTCTATCTTCTCTGTATGTGCACAAATATAGACATACAGAGAAGTAGTAAGAAAACCGTGTATGACTTACACAGACAACCTATATGACATGTTTGGACTTTCTGTTTTGTCTTAAATTTTTTTTTTTTTCTTTTTTTTTGAGACGGAGTCTTGCTCTGTCGCCCAGGCTGGAGTGCAATGGTGCGATCTTAGCTCACTGCAAGCTCCACCTCCCGGGTTCATGCCTTCTCCCGCCTCAGCCTCCCAGCTAGCTGAGACTACAGGCACACGCCACAACACCTGGCTAATTTTGTTATTGTATTTTTAGTACAGACAGGGTTTCACTGTGTTAGCCTGGATGGTCTCGATCTCCTGATGTTGTAATCCACCCGCCTTGGCCTCCCAAAGTGCTGGGATTACAGGCATAAGCCACTGCACCCGGCCAATTATTTTTTTTAATAACCAGTCATTTTATTTTAGGACAAAAATTCACCATACAAGATCCTTTCTCATACAAAATTCTTCTCTTTTCTTTATAACTTTCCTTACCAAACGTACATCTTCATATCTGTAACTTTCTTCACATCTCTCTCCCCCATTTCTTTACTACCTTATTTTATAAATAACTTTTTGCAAGTCCATAATTTGAATTAACCTTTAGATAACTTTCGAATTAGACAAAATTATTCTTTTTCTAACAACACATCTTTATGGCATATCTTATATAAAGAATTATATATTAACTATAATTGTGATCATTAGTAACCTTAAATTTTATTGAAAATGTCCTTGAAATATCCGATATCAGCACTTTATAGAGGAGAACAATTACACAATTTTTAGAAATGTATTTTCCCATATCATAATCTTTTCTTAATTCCAAATGACCCAAGTATCCAATAAGCATCCAATAAGCATAAAAAATAAAGATTTTAAATTACACAAAAAGTTTACCTAAAACAAGTTTCCCACTTATATGTACTCAATTCTTTCATTTTTAAGTTTATTTAGATTACTTCTGAAAACTAAAATATTAGACACCGTCATGTAAAGTTATTTCCTTGTTAACCATTTTTTAATAGTCAGTGAACATCAGGTGCTCACCTAAGTAAGAGTCTCAAAGTTAAAAACATAGGTATTTTTGTCAATAACTCAGAAGATTCAGCTAACAACATTAGTCTCATTTGTCAAAGCAGGCACACCAACCAAGATCATTTTGCTTTGGCTGGGTTTATAGTTTTACAGCCTTCTATGCAAAACCCTGATATCTCAAAATATCTAGCAGAGACAAATATAAAACTCAGACAAAAACATATGCTGACAATTCTGAAGACATTTCTATTTTTATTGTACCAATAATTTGAAAGCCATCTAGCTAGTTTAGTAAAGATTTATTTAGGTCATGTGAATTTGAAAAATACTTTGGACTTATTTATTTATGACTACTCTTATTTATAAGACAATTTGATAAACACAACATATAACTTAATAAATGTACATTCAGGCCAGGCACAGTGGCTCATGCCTGTAATCCCAACACTTTGGGAGGCCAAGACAGGCAGATCACGTGAGGTCAGGAGTTTGAGGCCAGCCTGGCCAATATGGTGAAACCCTATCTCTACTAAAAATACAAAAATTAGTTTGCGTGGTGGCGGGCACCTGTAATTCCAGCTACTCAGGAGGCTGAGGAAGGGGAATCACTTGAACCCAGGAGGTGGAGGTTGCAGTGAACCGAGATTGTGCCACTGCACTCCAGTCTGGGTAACAGAGAGACTCCATCTCAAATAAATGAATAAACATTCACATAAACACATCTAGACATGGATACACACATAAAGATCCAGTGGCTTTTATTTGGAAACTCTAGCCATGAGATAGCAATACAAACTCAACGGTCTACAAACATGTTCACATGGCTGAACTCTGTTAGCCCCAGTAGGTAATCCAATGAGGCCTGTAAACCAAAATTTTGGGTAAAGCAGTCTCCATGGAAATTGGATTTTTAAAGGCCATACATCCCAGACTCCAAAGAACACTAGGGCCAAACAGTACTACAGAAGAACATCACCTGGAATCTACCAATTAGGCCCAACCCTGTTTAGAATAGCAAAATCAAAGCCGGAATACATGGTACACTTTCCCATTCAACTCTAGATTCCCAAGAATATTGGGGCCAAACAGTATTACAAAAGAATGTCAGTTTACTGAATTCTAGTTTCCCATGATGATACCAAACACACAAACAATAACCAAAACACAATTCAATGCAACAGGAACAAACAAGTCCCAAAAGTGTCCAAACTGAAACAGGCAGGGTGTTTCCTCTCTCCATGAGATGGGCGTGGTCAACCTGCAAACAAAAATTCCTTCATAATTTCCCAAATTGGCCAGGCGCAGTGGATCATGCCTGTAATCCCAGCACTTTGGGAGGCCAAGGCAGGCGGATCACGAGGTCAGGAGATCGAGACCATCCTGGCTAACATGGTGAAACCCTGTCTCTACCAAAAATACAAAAAATTAGCCGGGTGTTGTGGCTGGCGCCTGTAGCCCCAGCTACTCAGGAGGCTGAGGCAGGAGAATGGCATGAACTCGGGAGAGGCGGAGCTTGCAGTGAGCCGAGATCATGCCACTGAACTCCAGCCTAGGCAACACAGCAAGACTCTGTCTTAAAAAAAAAAAAAATTCTCAAATTAAGAGGAACTGATCCCATTGTCTGGTATCCACAAAAGACACTCACTTGCCCAGACACAAAACACACAATTACAAAGAAGCCCCAAAAATGTCCAAACTGAAACAGTCAGAATGCTTCTCCCTCTCAGTCAGTTGGCCTTGTTCAACCTACAAAATGGAAATTCAGCTTAAAATTTCCCAAATTAGGAGGAGCAGATCCTGCTTTCTGGGCCCACAAAGGACACTCACCTATCTAGATGTAGATGTGAAATTTCAAAGGCAGTTCGTCCCAGGAAGTCAGGAACGCAGTTGGGGCTGGCAGTATCAGGGCCAGAGAGAGATGGAAACTCACCTCTAGTCAAAATTGGATGGGCAGCCATTTAGGTGGTCTTCTGAGACTCCTGGCCCTAGCAGCCAAGCCAAGAGCAACACATTCCCAATCAGGGAACCACAATCTGTTACAGAAACACCAGGGGAAAGTCTATGTCCTGCCGCTCACCACACGGAAAGCCAATCACTGAGATGATGAGTATTGCCAAGGAAGAAGATTTTAATTGGGTGCTGCAGCTGAGGAGATGGGAGCTCATTCTCAAATCCATTTCTCTGACTGACTAAAATTAGGAGTGTATACAACAGGGAAGAAATGTAACAATGTGTAAGGAAATAGGAACTAGGGAGGGGCAAGGAAGCAATCATAATGAATGAGGGGTCCACCATCTCATTGTCAGGATGTGGTGATCTGTAACTTTCAGTTTTTTGATACTTTTTTGAGAGGCCTAAAGGTAGTTTCCTGAGGAAGGAACTCAGATAAAACAAATGTAAGTTTCAAGCTTTAAGACCAGAAGGTCCATTTCTATGTTTATCAACAATACTATCTATGGGACTATTGGGTCGGTTCCATTATCACCACTGCTCTTCGGCTTCATTATCTCTGTTTCCTCCCTTGTTTCCTTAGAGACATGATTTTCCTGAATCTCACAGGCTGAAAATCAGTTATATGTGCCTTTTTAAAATAACTGCTATGGGCTGAATTGTGCCCCATCCACCAAATTCATATTTTAAAGTCCTAAATCGCAGTCCCACAAAATGTGACCTTTTGGAAATAGGGTCTTTACAAAGGTAATCAACTTAAAATGAGGTCATTAACGTATACCCTGATCCAATGTAACTGCAGTCCTTACAAAATGTGAAATTTGGCCACAAAAACATGCATAGAAGGAAAATGATGATAAGAGAAACAAAGGGAAGACAGCCATCTGTGAGCCAAGGAGTGAGGCCAGAAACAGATCCTTTCCTCACAGCTCTGAGGAACCAGCACTGCCAACACCTCTGAACTTCCAGCCTCCAGGACTGTGAGACAATACATTTCTGTTGTGTAAGCCAACTAGTCTGTGATACTGTTACAGAAGCCCTGGCAAACAAATAAAATAATTATATAATCTAATAAACTAAAGGCACAGAAGTTTACCCTGACTTAAAGCAGAAACCAAATTCACCAGTGATAGAAGCAGGAGATAGCCAAATGCCTAAGCAGATAGGGAAGGGTCCCCAGAGAATCTCTGACCAGCCACACAAGGGTTTACACCAGATGTTTTGTGCAGATAAGGGAACCTGCACAGGGGTCTTGCCTGGGCATGCCCACAGTGGACTGGAGGCCCACATGCACTGGGGGAATAGGGTGGAGCCACCAGGAATTTGCGCCTTATGCAGGGGAGGAGCCTGGCCTCTTCAACTCATGTGTGGTGGCCCTGGTATTCAATTTGGGAGGTGACAACCTGCTCTCAGGACCCCTCTCTTTGCTGAGAGCTTTCTTTTCACTTAATAAATTCCACTCTCCTCATCCTTCAATGTGGCTGCATGCCTAATTCTTCCTGGTCATGAGAAAAGAACCCAGATTAGCTGAGCTAAGGAGCAAAAAAATCCTGCATCACCAGTATGAACATCTAAGACTCATGAACATTTGTTTTCAATATTGTTATAAAAATTTACTTTATAAATTAAAAAGTAATGCTGGCTAGCTACAGCATGTTGATGTGGCTTTACAGTATAATACCAAATAGATAATATTTTTGTGTCATGGAGGAGAAAGCATTGCACTGAGGGTCAAGAATCCTCTGTTCTGGCCGGGCGTGGTGGCTCACACCTGTAATCCCAGCATTTTGGGAGGCCGAGGGAGGCGGATCACCTAAGGTCGGGAGTTCGAGACCAGCCTGACCAACATGGTGAAACCCCGTCTCTACTAAAAATACAAAAATTAGCTGGGCATGGTGATGCATGCCTGTAATCCCAGCTACTCAGGAGGGTGAGGCAGGAGAATCACTAGAACTTGGGAGGCGGAGGTTGTGGTGACCCGAGATTGTGCCATTGCACTCCAGCCTGGGCAACAAGAGCGAAACTCCGTCTCAAAAAAAAAAAAACAATCCTCAGTTCTGGTACTGGCTCTACCCCTAATCATACTATGAACCTTAGAAAGTAACTTACATTCTGGCTCACTATCTTATCCTGTATAATAAGAGGCAATAGGTTAGGTCAGAACTACATTCACTTGTAAGTATATTAAAAGTAAATTAAAACATATGACTTATCTTTTAGCTACATCAATACAATATAAATGGGCCGGGTGTGGTGGCTCATGCCTATAATCCTAGCACTTTGGGAGGCTGAGGCAGGTGGATCACTTGAGGTCAGGAGTTCAAGACCAGCCTGGCCAAGATGGTGAAACCTTGTCTCTACTAAAAATACAAAAATTATCCAGATGTGGTGGCACTTGCCTGTAGTCCCCGCTACTCGGGAGGCTGAGGCGGGAGAATCACTTGAACCCAAGAGGCAGAGGTTGCAGTGAGCCAAGATCATGCCACTGCACTCCAGCCTGGATGACAAAGCAAGACCTGTCTGAAAAAAAAAAAAAAAAAAAAAGGAGAAGAAAGAAAAAAAAATACAATGTAAATGTAGTTTTTCCATGCTTACCTTAAGAGTTATAATCAAAGCACTGAAGAGCCAAGGATTGATTTTTCTGAAATAAAACTTGCTAGCGAACTAACAAAAAAAGATCAGGTGTCTCTCCGGACCATCCCTAAGCAACAGGTGCCTTTTAATGTGGCTCTTCAGGAGATAATGGCATGTTGGCACCATTCCAAACTGGTAAAGAAGCTATTTTTACTTAGGCAAGACCCTGCAACTTGCTCAAATTATATTATGTTTCAGTAGTGCTGGTTAACATACAGCAGTCTCCATCTACTATACAATGTGACCAGCACAGCACATATTATTGACATTGTTATTAACATTGTTCCTATTTTCTATTTCCATAAATGATTCAAGGTGATTTTTATTTTCTTTTCGGAATTTTCCTATATTTTCCAGGTGTTCTACAATGAACCTGTGTTACTTTTACAATTGGAAAGAAACATATTCGTTAAACAGGTCATAGTTCTGCTCATTAAGGTAATATACATCTTTAAAATGTGAACTTATCTGCAGTCCAGAGAATGTGAAATATAAAGCAGATCTTTCCTATAGGTTTATGAATATCAGAAGATCTCAGAGTACTCACAATCAATTCATAAATATTCATTCTTTAAAGTATGAAAGATGATAAATATATTTAGAAGATTTCAGCACTTACTATAACTAGTGAAGGAAGAAATAAATGATTTCTTCCTTAAGAGGAACAACAACAGAAGGTATCCGATGGTCAAGAACATTATACCTGCCTCCATCATCTCAGAAAATAAAATTCCTGTCCAATGACAACCAGGAAGGCAGATGGGGGTGAGCTCGAGCTGTGTGAGGAGGCCGCTGATGACCTGGAGCTTAGGGGTGTGCTGACCCTCATCTCCCTGGGGATTCCCAGGAGACGCTGCCCTACCTGTAGCTGCAACTCATGGACCCTGTTACCCAGCCAAGTGCAATGGAGGGCTGGCGAGGGAAGAAAGATCAAAGGAAGAAAAGAAAGGTTCTTTTTTATTTCAAGTATGAGAAAAAGAGAGTTCTACTGTGAGAACATCAACTCTTCTGTAGCTATTGATGTAGCCAAACTCCTGGAATGTAACTATATCTAACAGTGTTTCTCTGAGAAACTTTTACAGGATTGGAATGTGTGTAGTATCTAGTTAACCTGCTATTTTATTGCAAGTGATTTTTTCAAGTTATTAATTGAAATAGGAGTCTACCGTAAGTTGCTCTTAACTTGGGGAACTACTTTGAATGGCATTAATCTGGACCATTAATAACAATGTATACTTGGGGATTGTGTGTGTGTGTGTGTATACATGTGTGTGCATATATGTGTGTACACACACGTGCACACACACGTGCGCGCACACGTGCACACACACACGTGCACACACACACGTGTACACACACACGTGTACACACACACGTGTGTTACTGTACGTGGAGACTGTACATCTTAGGTCACACACCACCCCTGAACCAATCCTACAAACACCATAGGTGATACACACTGTCAAAGACAAAGAGTAGATGTCCACAATAGCTGTTCTTTCTCGTTTATAACACTTCTTTTACCTAGTAATAATCAGCTACCATTTACTCGATACATACTGTGTGCTGCCTCTTCAACCTTTTGACCATTTAAACTACAGGAAACTAGGTTATCTTCAGGTTACCTTAGTTATGGGAGTGTATGGAAAACATTAATGGGAAGGTGAAAGCGCAGCAAACCACTTCAGCAGTTAACAGAAAGGCTCTCAGAGCACTGGACCGCCAATCAGGACACAGCAGCAGCTCTGGGATTCGACCACAGATTCTCTGGCGTGCCCTTCGGGAAAGGGTGGCCTCGGGCCCCCTACTCTACAGAGTCTCCTCCCACGGCTGCCCAGTTCCCTGGCCGACTATCTTGCCTCCACCACATCACCATCAGTACCGGGCGGCTGCAGGGCAGAGCTGTCCAGGGACCTCCTCACAGCCTCCAGAGTCAAGAAATGCCTCCTCAGGGAAGCCCTCTACCGCATCCCTGACCTGTGAGTCACGGAGCTCCCGGGCACCATGCTGGCCACAAATGCCTAAGGAGCCCCCCGGAACCAGCTGTGGGTCCCGCAGGCACTCGCAGGCTAGCGGACACCTTTGGAGGACTGAGAGACCTGTCCTGCAATCCAATGTTCCTCACTCTCACAAGATTTTACAGACGTGGAAACCGAGGCCCGAGGCCCCAAGGGGTAATCGGCCCGCCTTCCCATGCCAATAACCGGCAGTGGCGGGACCCACACCTACTCCGTGACCTGCAGGCCCAGGGGTCGAGCCCCAGGTAGAACGTCTAGACGGACTCCGCCCTTAGCGCCGTACGGGGAACCTTCTCCCGGACGCAGACACGGAAGCGGAAGTGCTGCCGAGCTGTAGCTATGGAGACGTGGGGGGCGGGCCGCCCGGAGAGCGCGACCTTTGACCTGCAGTAGAGCCTACGTCAGAGGCTGGCGCAAACAGAAGTGCAGCGGTGGCGGCGGCTGGTTGCGGGCCGGCGGCGGGCTGGCGGAGATGGAGGTAACTCAGGTCGGGCCCACTGCCTCCCATCAAGCCTTCCGCGCCGCGATTTGGGATGTGGGAGTGGGCCCGATGGGAGGGCGCGGTAGTCTCCCTCTTGGTGTCCCGAAGCCCGCGCTGCTGTCGCCTCCCCATCTTTCGTAAACTCTATCCCTGGGGGTTACCTGCCCCGTAGAGCCCGTTTGTGTACGAATTGCCACAGCGACCGCCTCCGTCCGCCCTCATTCTCTGTCTCACGAGGCTTTCCACCACTTGATTCCATAGAAGGTTTTTCCCTGTAAGGGTTCTACGCGTTCCGTGTGGAATTAGGAAAAGAGTTCTTCTGACACCTGGGTTTGATTTTGTTTTGCAGGATCTTGTTCAAGATGGGGTGGCTTCACCAGCTACCCCTGGGACCGGGAAATCTAAGGTGAAGAGAATACTTGAATAGCGGGCTTCCTGAAGAGTGGAAGGGTGATGAATTGGAAAACTTTGGCATGGGGAAGGGGGGGGCGCTGATTTTTTTTTTTTTAATAGCCTTGCTCCAAGGGATCTCAATTTTAGTGTGCGCAATCGCCCATTTCCTGTTTCTCCCCCGCCCACCCCGATATAGAAAGACTTTTTGTTTGCTTCCTGCTCCTGGTTAGCACTGCTGGGAGATCCTGCTATTTTTCGAACATAAAGCAGTCTAAGAAGGTTTATATAGTGGTGTAGTGGAAGGAGCAGTGACATAGGGTAGGAATCAAGGGATTCTGATCTGTGGGCTCCAGTTTCTACATTGCCAAAGAGTTTAATTAGTCCAGTTTTATGGCCCTGTACAATGTTTAACATTCAATCATTCTAAATGATAGTGGTTTATTGCTAAGGTTTATTGTGTGCATGCTAAATTTCTGGCGCTTGCCTAACCACTCAGTTCCTTCGTTTAAGCTTCATGATAACCATGAGATAGGTACTGTTGTTACCCTCCTTTTACAGATGAGAAACCTGAGACCACAGGCTTAAGCAATTTTCTCAAGTGGTAAAGCTCAATTTTTTAATTAAAGCCTGAATGTTACCCGGTTCATCTTGCTGCTGTAATTATGCGTAAATTTTCTTGTGACCAAAGACTTGCAGCCTTGAATAGAATGAAATAATTTTACAGCTCCAAGGAATTTTAAGTAGCATTAGCTCCAACCTACTGATTTTACAATTAAATCAAAAGCTAGCAATGTCAACCTGTAACATTAGCTATAAGAGGATATGGCCTGGTTTTTACGTTTCATAGTAGTTGCATAACTAATTTTTAGTAGTTGCATAGCAATTACAGAATTGACGTTGCATTTGCTGATTTTAAAAAATGTGGCCGGGCGCGGTGGGTCACGCCTGTAATCCCAACACTTTGGGAGGCCGAGGCGGGCAGATCACCTGCGGTCAGGAGTTTGAGACCAGCCTGGCCAACATGGTGAAACCCCGTCTCTACTAAAAATACAAAAATTAGCCGGACGTGGTAGCGGGCGCCTATGATCCCAGCTATTTGGGAGGCTGAGACAGGAGAATTGCTTGAACTTGGGAGGCAGAGGTTACAAGTGAGCCAAGATCGTGTCATGCACTCCGGCCTGGGCAATAGAGCGAGACTCTGTCTCAAAAAAAAAATGTGGAACAAAGTATGCGGTTGGCATAAAGATTTATTCTGTAGAATGTTTTTGTTTTCTAGCAGACATTGTTTCTTTTTTGTGGTATACTAGAAACATGAGTTATAACAAGTTGGTAACATGACCACATCTTTCAGCTGGAAACATTGCCCAAAGAAGACCTCATCAAGTTTGCCAAGAAACAGATGATGCTAATACAGAAAGCTAAATCAAGGTGTACAGGTATTGGGTTGAAAATACTCATCTTGATCACAGTCTCTTTAATCGTGGTTTAAAATGGTAGTTTTTAAAATAATGCATTGGCTTGTTTTTGTTTGTTTTCCAGTGATTCCAAGTACACCTTAGTGTAGTAGAATCTGTTATTTAACATTCTAAAAATTTACCTCTGATTTCTAAATTATTCCCACATCTCTAAACCACAGTGACTTTTGAGTTGTTAAAGTCAGGGAGGAGGATTTTTAAAGTTTGTGTAAGTTAAGTGTGTTTTTCCTTCATGTAGACTTTAGATTCTTCTGAGTTCTGAGTAAAGTGTTTTTTCAAGAGAAGTCAGTTGAAATGTTAGAGACAGAAGATAAGCCCAAAGAGATGGAAAGCTTCCTCAATTAAAATAATAAAAGACTTCCATTTACAGATATTGAAGTATGTTTACCTGCTGAAGTTGATTGATTCCCTATTCAGTTTTCTTTTTATTCCAGAAGGAAAAAGATCTTAGCACCTTTTTTTTTTAGTATATGTACATGAGCTCTTGAATTTCCAGTGACTTATAAATATTAACTGCTTAGCCTAAAAGCTAAGACTTATTTTCTATTAGAAAAGATAAAAGTATGTCTTGGGAGTTTGGATCACCTTGCAATGAAGAGAATAATTTATTTGGAAAGAAGTTCTAGGCCTGAGATCTAGGCATTTGCTAATTAAACACTTAGATTAACGTTTCTTTTCTCTCTCTCTCTCTTTTTTTTTTTTTTTTTTCAAGACGGAGTCTCGCTCTTCTTGGCCAGGCTGGAGTGCAGTGGCGCAATCTCGGCTTACTGCAACCTCCCCTTCCCGGGTTCAAGCGATTCTCCTGCCTCAGCCTCCCGAGTAACTGGGACTGCAGGCACCCACCACCATGCCTGGCTAATTTTTGTATTTTTAGTAGAGACGAGGTTTCACCATGTTGGCCAGGCTGTTCTCGATAACGTTTATTCTTAATATGTGATTGTTGCTTTAAGGTTATACAGTAAGATGTACTTACAGGTGAAATAATATGATGTCTGGGGTATGCTTGAAAATTATCAGATGGATAAGAAAAGCAGTGAAGGAGGAAGTGAGTACAGGTTGGGAGGAAACAAAATTGGCCATGTAATGCTGAAGTATAGTGATGAGTGCAGAGATTAATCATACTATTCTGCTTAAATATATTCTAATTTGCAGATTTATGGGGGGTTTTGTGAGAATGTACTTATCAGTTTCCCAGTAATTATGTTCTTTATTTCTGAACCGGAGTCCTTTATTTTTTAATTGTTTAGAATTGGAGAAAGAAATTGAAGAACTCAGATCAAAACCTGTTACTGAAGGAACTGGTGATATTATTAAGGTAATTATTACGTTGGGAAATGTCTAAAGAGAAATAAAATTTCCCTGAGGATTGTCAGTCTGCTAGAGGCTATCTGGCTTTCTGTTTCTGTTCTACTTCCTCTCTGCCTTGGTTGTTTTTACCTATCTGATTCACTGTAAAAAGAGGGGGTTAATGACCTCTGGGTCTCTTTCTGTTCTGAAATTATTATTCTACTCTCTTCCCACGTATTTTCTTTTTTCTTTCTTTTTTTTTTTTTTTTTTTTTGAGATGGAGTCTCACTCTGTCACCAGGCTGAAGTGCAGTGGTGTGATCTTGGCTCACTGTAACCTCTGCCTCCCGAGTTCAAGCAGTTCTCCTGCCTCAGCCTTCCAAATAGCTGGGACTACAGGCGCCCGCCACCACACCCAGTTAATTTTTGTATTTTAAGTAGAGACGGGATTTCACCATGTTGGCCAAGATGGTCTTGCTCTCTTGACCTCACGATCCGCCCGCCTCAGCCTCCCAAAGTGCTGGGATTACAGGCGTGAGCCACCACGCCCAGCCCATATTTTCTAATTATGGTTGTTACTTCATTCTCTGCTCTTCCCCAGCCCCCTGAAAACCTGGCCATGCTCAGGACTTAAGTGATTTTAGGTGTACAGTATATAATCTATAGATAGATCCATATCCCTGGACATGTCTACTGACCCAGATCTCACAGTTGTGTTTCCCTCTCACACATTTCACTTATCTCATCAAACTCAACCAAATTGCTTCCCTTGGTTAGACCAGTGGCACCACAGTTTTTTATACCTTTTGACTTTAGAGACACTTTAACTTCTCTGTTTCCTTTATTCTCTATATGTGTCAGTCACCAGAGACCTATTATAGCTTTAAGATATTGTTCCAGTTTATCTTTTTTCTCTCTATTTCTATGGCTTTATGTTAAACACATCAAATACTTAACCTATTTCAATAAAAACCTCACTGGGTTCTCTTTCTCTTTTTAGTCTTATATAATACTGCCAGATAACAAAATATTGTTTTTATTCCCCGTTTAAAAACCTGAGTTGCAGGCCAAATGCAGTGGCTCACACCTGTAATCCCAGCACTTTGGGAGGCCAAGGTGGGAGGATCACTTGAGGTCAGGAGTTTGAGATCAGCCTGGCCAGCATGGTGAAACCCTGTCTGTACTAAAAATACAACATTTAGCTGGGCGTGATTGCCCACACCTGAAATCCCAACTACTCAGGAGGCTGAGGCACGAGGATTGCTTGAACCCAGGAGGCAGAAGTTGCAATGAGTTGAGATTGAGCCACTGTACTCCAGCCTGGGCAACACAGCAAGACTCCGTTTTTAAAAAAAAAAAAAAAAACACAAAAAATCTGAGTTGCTTATTCTTATTTCCACTCCCTTAATGCTAACAAATGCTTTTTCATTCCCTCACTTTCATTGCCCGCCTTAGGCCAAGCTTCTGTAAAGTTTCTTTTACATCTCAGAGCTCTGAAATACTGTTTTCACTGCTTTTGCATAATATCCGTTGGTTATATATTTATTTATTTTTATTTATTTATTTATTTTGAGACAGAGTCTCGCCTTGTCGCCCAGGCTGGAGTGCAGTGGCACAATCTCGGCTCACCGCAAGCTCCGCCTCCTGGGTTGACGCCATTCTCCTGCCTCAGCCTCCCAAGTAGCTGGGACTACAGGCACCCGCCACCATGCCTGGCTAATTTTTTGTATTTTTAGTAGAAACAGGGTTTCACCACGTTAGCCAGGATGGTCTCGATCTCCTGACCTCGTGATCCACCTGCCTCGTCCTCCCGAAGTGCTGGGTTTACGGGCGTGAGCCACTGCGCCCAGCCTGGTTATATATTATCTTATTTTCTCATCAGTGGCTCCCCACTTGTGAGCAGTGAACTACTGAGGGACTCCCAGAGAGTTATTACAAGGGGTCTTTAAATCCATATGCATGTCACACAGTATCATTTTGTTCTTTATTTAGTTACAGTGTATGAAGCTAGAATGATGTGCACAAATGTCATTTCATTTTATAATGTACTGTTTCATTTAAGTATTACTGAGTTCACAGTAGTCTTCTTTGTATATTTAGTCATTATATGTTTTCTTAATCCATGATAGCCACAGTACAACTATATGTTAATTAAGGAAGAAGGTCGATAACACCCAGACTGCCTGAGTCAGGCTTTCAAATCCTTGTTCATCTACTGATCAGCTGTGTGACCTTGACTAAGTTTCTTAAATTCTTTCTCTATGATTCAGTTTTGTCATCTGTAGAACAGCGATAATAATACTTTCTGTTTGTAGGATTGAGGTACAAACAGGATTGATGTAGAAATGTAGGATTGATAAGGTAATATATCTACTGCACATAGAACTGGGTTGGTCACATAAGTACCCAATAATTGTTAGTTATCATTGTTATTACTACCATTTATTATTTCTGGGGGATTTTTTTTTTTCTTGAGATAGGATTTCTCCCTATCGCCCAGGCTGGAGTGCAGTGGCGTGATCTCCGCTCACTGCAACCTCTATAGAGTG
This sequence comes from Homo sapiens, assembly GCF_000001405.40. Classification (NCBI taxonomy): domain Eukaryota; kingdom Metazoa; phylum Chordata; class Mammalia; order Primates; family Hominidae; genus Homo; species Homo sapiens. The sequence continues at coordinate 108,454,987 of NC_000002.12, forward strand.
TTAGAAAACACTCTAGAAAGTTTTTTATCCATTAACTCTTATAATACTTTTTACAGAATTGCATTTCAGAATAAGAACATTTAAATATCTACCTGCTGTTTCCTCCTTATCACTCATCAATGTATTCTCCCACTGTCAAAACTACTCCTAAAGACAAGATTAGAAAATTTCAGCCAGGCTCGGTGGCTCACATCTGTAATCCCAGCACTTTGGGAGGCTGAGGCGGACAGATCACCTGAGGTCAGGAATTGGAGACCAGCCTGGCCAACTTGGTGAAACCCCATCTCTACTCAAAATACAAAAATTAACCAGGCATGGTGGCACGCGCCTATAGCCCAAGCTACTTGGTAGCTGAGGCAGAAGAATCGCTTGAACCGAGGAGGCAGAGGTTGCAGTGAGCTGAGATAGTGCCACTGCACTACAGCCTGAGCAACAGAGTGAGACTCCGTCTCAAGAAAAAAAAAAAATTCTCCAAGTTAGCCAACTTTACCTTTAAGGTTTTTTTTCTTTTCCTTCTTTTTTTTTCCTGATCCATTATATTTATACGTATTCATGGGGTACATGTGAAATTTTGTTAAATGCACAGAATATATAATCATTAAATCAGAGTATTTACTATCCACAGCCAGGTATTTATCATATATATGTGTTGTGTACATTTCAAGTCTTCTGGCTATTTTGAAAAATATTTATCTTTCCCTGTCTTAGATTTTACTTAACATAATGACCTCCAGCTCCATCCATATTCCTGGAAATGGCGTGATCTTATTCTTTTTTATGGGCATATAGTATTCCATTGTGTATATATACCACATTTATCCATTCATCCTTTGATGGGCACTTAAGTTGATTTCATGTATTTGCTATTGTGAGTAGTGCTGCAATAAACACAGGAGTGTATATATCCCTTTGTTATATTGATTTGTTTTCAATGACTACCAATATTGGGGTTTTTGGATTGTATGGTAGCTCTATTTTTAGTTTTTTGAGAAATCCCCAACTGTTTTCTTTTTTTTGAGACGGAGTCTTGCTCTGTCGCCCAGGCTGTAGTGCAGTGGCATGATCTTGGCTCACTGCAAGCTCTGCCTTCCAGGTTCACACCATTCTTCTGCCTCAGCGTCCTGAGTAGCTGGGACTACAGGCGCCGGCCACCAAGCCTGGCTAATTTTTTGTATTTTTTAGTAGAGATGGGGTTTCACCATATTAGCCAGGATGGTCTCGATCCCCTGACCACTTTGGGAGCCAGCCTCGGCCTCCCAAAGTGTTGGGATTACAGGCGTGAGCCACCGCTCCTGGCCTGAGAAATCCCCAACTGTTTTGTATAGTGACTATGCTTACCTACACTTCCACCAACAGTGTAGAAGAGTTCTTTCTCCACATTGTCATCAATATCTGTTACTTTTTTTCTTCTTAATAGCCATTCCTTATTGTGGTTTTGATTTGCATATCCCTGATGATTAGTGATATTGAGTATTTTATCATATACTTCTTGGCCATTTCTTTGTCTTTTAAGAAATGTCTATTCATGTCCCTTGCCTATTTTTTAATGGGGTTATTTTTTAATGTTGTGTTGTTTGAGTTCCTTGTATACTCTGGGTATTAGTCCCATATTGGATGAGTAGATTGCAAATATTTTGTCCCATTTAAGAGGTTGTCTTCTTCATGCTGTTGATTGTTTCTTTTGCTATGCAGAAGCTTTTTAGCCTATAATCTCAGCATTAAGGGAAGCCATGGCAGGAGGATCACTTGAGCCGAGCAGTTTGAGACCAGCCTGAGAAACATAGCAAGATCCGTTTCTACAAAAAAATATAAATTAGCCAGACATGGTGGAACATGCCTGTAGTCCCATCTTCTTGGGATGCTGAGATAGGAAGATCACTTGATCCCAGGAGGTTGAGGCTGCTGTGAGCCATAATCACACTTACTGCACTCCAGCCTGGGTGACAGAGGGAGCCCTTACATAAAAAAAAAAAAAAAAAAATTTAAGATGCCTTTCAGTTTAATGTAGTCCTATTTGTCTGTTTTTGTTGCCTGGGCTTTTGAGATCTTAGCCATAAAATCTTTGCCTAGACCAATGTCTTGATGCATTTGCCCTGTGTTTTCTTCTTTTAGTTTTACACTTTTGGGTCTTATATAATATAAGTCTTTAATCTATTTTTGTTGATATTTGTATCAACTAAATGGTGAGAGATAGGGACTCACTTTCATTCTTCTGCATATAGTTACCTGGATTTCCTGGCACCGTTTGTTAAGAGGGTGTCGTTTGCCCAGTGTGTGTTCTTAATGGCATTGTCGAAGATCGGTTGTGTATAAATATGAGGATTTATTTTTGGGTTCTCTATTTTGTTCCATTGGTCTGTATGCTTGTTTATATACCAATACTTTGTTGCTTTGGTTTCTATAGCCTCGTAATATGTTTTGAAGTCAAGTAGAATGATGCCGCCGCTTTATTTTTTAACTCAGAATTTCTTTAGCTTTTCTGGCTTTTTTTTTGGTTTCATGAAAACATTAGGATTCTTTTTTCTGTTTCTTTGAAAAATGGTGTTGGTATTTTAATAGGGATTTCATTGAACTGTACATTAGTTTGGATAGTATGATCATTTCAACAATATTTTGTGAGCATGAAATGTCTTCCTGCTTATTTGTGTTCTCTTCAGTTTCTTTCATCTGTGTTTTTGTAGTTTTCATTATAGAGATCTTACACTTCTTTGGCTTTTGTTTGAGCTACTGTAAAAGGTGTTGCCTTCTTGATTTCCTTTTTTAGCTATTTTATTGTTGGTATATAGAAATGCTACTGGTTTTTGTATGTTGAATTTGTATCCAGCAACCTTACTGAATTTATCAGCTCTAAGAATTTTTTGATAGTCTTTTGTCATCTGTAGAGAGGGACAGTTTAACTTCCATGTTTCCAGTTTGGATGTCGTTTATTTCTTTCTCTTGCCTAATTGTTCTGGCTAGGACTGTCAGTCCCATGTTGAATAGTAGTGGTGAAAGTGGGCATCTTTGTCTTCAGTTCTTAGAGGAAAGATTTTCAGCTTTTCCCCATTTTTGTGTGATGTTAATGTGAGTTTGTCATATGTGGCCTTTATTATTTTGAGGTATAATCCTTCTGTGCCTAGTTTGCTAAGAGTTTTTATCCTGAAGGGATGTTGAATTTTATGAATTCCTTTTTCTGCGTCTAGTGAGATGACATACGACTTTTGCCCTTTATTCTGTTGATGTGATATGTCACATTGATTTGCATATATTGAACCATCCTTGCATCCCTCGAATAAATTCATTTGATCATGGTGTATTATCTTTTCAATGTGCTGTTAGATTTGGTTTGCCAGTATTTTGCTGAGGATTTTTGCATTGGTGTTCATCAGGGATATTGGTTGTTGCTTTCTTTTTTTTTTTTTTTTTTTTGCTGTGTCCTTGTCTGGTTTTGGTATCAGGGTAGCACCAGCTTTCTAGAATGAGTTAGGGAAAATTGCCACCTCTTCAGTATTTTGGAGTAGTTTCAGGAGGATTGGTATTAGGTCTTTATACATTTGGTAGAATTCAGTGTGCATCCATCTGGTTCTGGGCTTTTCTTTGTGGGGAGACTTTTTATTACTGATTCGTTCTTGCTACTCATTATTAATTTGTTCAGGTTTTCTATTTTTTCCTGGATTTTTCTTTGATAGGTTGTATGTTTCCAGAAATTTATCCATTTCCTCTAGGTTTTCCAGTTTGTGGGTGCATAGCTGTTCATAATATTCTCTGATGGTCTATTTATTTCTATGAGAATGGTTGTAATGTCTCCTTTTTCATTTCTGATTTTATTTAGGTCTTCTTTTTTGTTGTTGTTAGCCTAACTAGTAGTTTATCAATTTTGTTTATCTTTTTGAAGAACAAGCTTTTCATTTTGTTGATCCTCTGCCTTTTTTAAAAGTCTCTATTTCATTTAGTTCTGCTTTGATCTTTATTAGTCGTTTCCTTCTGCTAATTTTGGGTTTGGCTTTGGCTTGTTCTTTCTGGTTCATTGAGGTAAATCATTAGATTGTTTGAAATCTTTTTACTTTTTGGATGTAGGCGTTTATTGCCATAAACTTAGTATTCATGTCCTGCTTTTGTTGTATCACACAGGTTTTGTGATACAAAAAATCACATAGGTTTTGTGATACAAAAGCACTGCTTTTGTTGTATCACATAGGTTTTGGTATGTTGTAGTTTCCATTTTCATTTGTTCCAAGAAATTTTTTGATTTTCATTTTAATTTCCTTATTGACCCATGGTCATTTGAGACCATGTTATTTAATTTTCATGTATTTCTGTCACTTCCAAAGTTCCCCTTGATACTGATTTCTAATATTCCATTGTAGTTCGAGAACATACTTGATATGATTTTGATTTTTAAAAATTTGTTGAAAATGATTTTGTGGCCTAACATATGGTCTTTTCTGAAGAATGAATGTTTCATGTGCTGTTGAGAAAAATATGTATTCTGCAGCTGTTGGATAAAATGTTCTACAAACATCTGTTAGGTCCATTTGGTCTAAAGTCTGGTTTAAATGCAATGTTTCTTTGTTAATTTTCTGTCTAGATGATCTGTCTAATGCTGAGAGTGGGGTGAGTTTGCCCAGTACGATTGCACTGGAGTCTCTCTCTCTCTAGATCTAGTAATAACTTGCTTTAGGAATCTGGGTGCTCCAGTGTCAGGTTCATATATGTTTAGAATTGTTACATCTTTTTGCTGGTTTGATTCCTTTGCCATTAGATAATGACCTTCTTTGTCTTTTTTTTTTTTTTTTTTTTTTTTTTTTTTTTTACTATTTTTGACTTAAAGTCTGTTTTATCTAAGTATAGCTACTCAGGAGCCTGAGGCAGAAGAATCGCTTGAACCTGGAATGCAGAGGTTGTAGTGAGCGGAGATCACGCCGCTGCCAGGCTGGAGTGCAGTGGCGCAATCTTGGCTCACTGCAGTCTCCGCCTCCTGGGTTCAAGTGATCCTGCCTCAGCCTCCCAAGTAGCTGGGATTATAGCCATCTGCTACCATGCCCAGCTAATTTTTTGCATTTTTGGTAGAGACAGGGTTTCACCATGTTGGCCAGGCTGGTCTTGAGCTCCTGACCTCAGGTGATCCACCCATCTCAGCTTTCCAAAGTGCTGGGATTACAAGCATGAGCCACCGTGCCTGGCCACTAAATAGATTTTCTAATCCTTTTGTTCTCTCTGCTCATTTGGTTTCTATTTGCATGGAATATCTTTTTCCATGCTTTAACTTTCAGTCTGTATGTCTCTTTACAGGGAAAGTGCATTTTTTGTGGGCAGCACGTAGTCGGATTATGTTTTTTATCCTTTTAGCCAGCCTGTATCTTTTAAGAGGAGAGCTTAACTCCATTTACATGCAGTTATTAATTATATGTGAGCCTTTTTTCTGTCATATTAACGGTTTTCTGGTTGCTTTATATATTCTTTGTTCCTTTCTCTTATTGTTTGTTATAGTGGTTTGCTGTCTTTTTATGGTAGTACCATTTGAGTCCTTTCTCTTCCTTATTTGTGTGTTGCTTTACCACTGAGTTTTCTATTTGTGTGTGTTTTTATGATCATAAATGTCATCCTTTCACTTTCAGGTTTAGGACTTCTTGAACATTTCTTGTAGGTCTGGTCTAGTAGTAATGAATTCCCTCAGCTTTTGCTCGTCTGGAGAAGACTTTATTTCTCCTTCATTTATGAAGGATAATTTTGCTGATTATAGTATCTTTGTGATATGGTTTGGATTTGTGTCCCTGCCCAAATTTCATGTCAAATTGTAATCTTCAGTGTTGGAGGTGAGGCCTAGTGGGAAGTGACTGGATCATGGGGATGAACATGAACTTCCTCCTTGCTTTTCTCATGATAGTGAGTGACTTCTCATGAGATGTGGTTGTTTAAAAGTGTGTAGCATTTTCGCCTTCACTCTCTTCCTCCTGCTCCGACCCTGTAAGATGTGCCTCCTTCTCCTTCCTCTTTGCCTTCTGCCATGATTGTAAGTTTCCTGAGGCCTCCCCAGCCATGCTTCCTATGCAGCTTGAAGAACCATGAGCCAATTTAATCTCTTTTCTTTATAAATTACCCAGGCTCAGATAGTTCTTTACAGCAGTGCAAGATCAGACTAATACACTTTGGCTGGGAGTTTTTCCTTCAGCATTTTGAATATATCATTCTCTTATCTCCAATGAATATATTATTCTCTTTTCTCTTCTCTTTTCTCTGGGTCTGTAAGCTTCCTACTGAGAAACCTGCTGTAAGTCTGATGGGGGTTCCTTTATAGGTGACTAGATGCTTTTCTCTTTGCTGAATTTTTTTTTTTCCTCTTTGCTGTTTTTAGAATTCTCTTTGTCTTTGATTTATGGCAGTGGACTATAAATATGCCATGGAGAATACCTTTTTGCATTGTATTTGTTTGGGGATACCTGGGCCTCCTATATCTGGATATCTACCTCTCTTGCTAGACTTGGTGAGTTTTCATGTATTATTTCACTATTTCACTAAATAGGTTTTCTGGTATTTTTTGGTTTTGTTTTGTTTTCGAGGCATAGTTTCACTCTTGTGGCCCAGGCTGGAGTGCAGTGGCGCAATCTTGGCTCACTGCACCCTCCACCTCCCGGGTTCAAGTGATCCTGCCTCAGCCTCCCAAGTAGCTGGGATTACAGCCATCTGCCACCATGCCCAGCTAATTTTTTGTATTTTTAGTAGAGACGGGGTTTCACCATGTTGGCCAGGCTGGTCTTGAGCTCAGGACCTCAGGTGATCCACCTGCCTCAGCTTCCCAAAGTTCTGGGATTGCAAGCATGAGCCACTGTGCCTGGCCACTAAATAGGTTTTCTTTTTTTTTTTCTTTTTCTTTTTTTTTTTTTTTGAGACAGAGTCTCGCTCTTTCGCCCAGGCCGGACTGCAGTGGCCTATCTCGGCTCACTGCAAGCTCCGCCTCCCGGGTTCACGCCATTCTCCTGCCTCAGCCTCCCGAGTAGCTGGGACTACAGGCGCCCACCACCGCCCCCAGCTAATTTTTTTTTTTTGTATTTTAGTAGAGACGGGGTTTCACCCTGTTAGCCAGGATGGTCTTGATCTCCTGACCTCGTGATCCGCCCGCCTCGGCCTCCCAAAGTGCTGGGATTACAGGCGTGAGCCACTGCACCCGGCCACTAAATAGGTTTTCTAATCCTTCTGTTCTCTCTTTGCTTTGAGATACCCCAGTAATTCAAATAAATATTTGGAGGCCGGGCGCAGTGGCTCACGCCTGTAATCCCAGCACTTTGGGAGGCCGAGGCGGGCAGATCATGAGGTCAGGAGATCGACACCACCCTGGCTAACACAGTGAAACCCCGTCTCTACTAAAAAATAAAAAAAAATTAGCTGGGTGTGGTGGTGGGCGCCTGTAGTCCCAGCTACTCAGGAGGCTGAGGCAGGAGAATGGCGTGAACCCGGGAGGCAGAGCTTGCAGTGAGCCGAGATCATGCCACTGCACTCCAGCCTGGGGGGCAGAGCGAGACTCAGTCTCAAAATAAATAAATAAATAAATATTTGGTCACTTTATGGAGTTGCATATGTCACAAAGACTTCGCTTCTTTTTTTTTTTTTTTTTTTTGAGACAGAGTCTTGCTCTGTCGCCCAGGCTGGAGTGCAATGACGTGATCTCGGCTCACTGCAACCTCTACCTCCTGGGTTCAAGCGATTCTCCTGCCTCAAGCTCGTGAGTAGCTGAGATTACAGATGCCCATCACCACGCCCAGCTAATTTCTGTAATTTTAGTAGAGACAGGGTTTCACCATGTTGGCCAGGCTGGTCTTGAACTCATGACCTCAGATGATCCACCTGCCTCGGCCTCCCAAAGTGCTGGGATTACAGGCATGAGCCACCGCATCTGGCCGACTTTGCTCATTTTTAAAAATTCTTTTACCCTTATTTTTTTTTTTGACTATATCAGAAAAAAAAGACCTGTCTTTAAGTTCTGACATTCTTTCTTTTGCTTGATCTAGTCCATTGTTGAAGCTTTTGAATGTATTTTGTTTTTTATTCTATGAATTCTTCAGTTCTAGAATTTCTATGTGGTTCTTTTTTTCTGATATCTATTCTCTGGTAAATTTGTCATTCATATCCTGAATTGTTTTTCTGATTTCTTTGTATTGTTTTTTGGAAACTTTTTGTATCTCACTGAGCTCCTTTAGTATCGAAATTTTGAATTCTTTTTCTAGGATCTTATGAATTTCTTTTAGATTGAGATCTGTTGCTAGAGAATTATTGTGTTCCTTTGGAGATGTCATATTTCCATGCTTTTTAATGTTTTCTATGTCCTTTACCTTGATATCTGTGCATCTGGTATAATAGTCACTTTTTCCAGTTTTTTTAATTTACTTTTGTAGGGAAGAACTTTTTCCTGAAGATGTATCTTTAGTATTGCTTGGGTAGAGCACAGTGGCTTTGATTCTAGGTGGGTGCAATAGCATAGGATCGGTATGACTTATTTGGCTGTAAACAGCATCAGTGGTGTCTGTGATTTCATCAGTGACTTAGGGTGCAGTTGTTAGTGGAGGCTGTGGTAAAGTTTTGCTGGGGCCTGGAATGCCAAGTAGGCCAGTCTTCAGGTCGCAGTGGTGGTAGTTGTGGATTGAGCATGCCTGTCCCTGGGCCCCAGAGTGTGTCTGCTGGCACCAGTGTTAGCAGGCCAATTCTTGAGCCTCCAGGTAGCTTGATCAGGTGCTGGGAATGGCAGCAGTGGGCCAGGCTGTTGGGTGGGTTCTTGAGCCCCTGGGCAGTGGATGTAGCATGGGAAATGGCAACAGCAGTGGTGGGACAACCCTCTGGGTCCTAACTGATCAGCATTGGTTTTGGCAGTGACTGTGATTTGTTGATTGGGCCAGTCTCCATATCCACAGGTGGTGCATGGCAATGAGTGCCAGCTGTGGTGGTAGCAGCAGGTTAAGTGGGCCCTATCTCAGGCCCCAGGTTGAGTGCGCAGGTGCCACTGGTAATGGACTGGGCTGGACAATACCTAGTCCCCTGGACATTGCTCTCAGGTACTGGTAGGGGCTGGAGCCAGGACAGGCTGTGTGCCCTTAGGTTCCTCGGTGGTGCGTAAAGATGCCGGCTGTGGTTTATAAGGGTGGGGTGAGTGTCCCAGGCCACCAGCAGAATGTTCAGGTGGAGACAGCAGCATGTTGTGTCGCTGCGACTAAGGAGAGTGAAGTTGCTTCCCCTGGGAGCAGCCATAGGTAGGCAGCATCACCTGTGCGTCGGCCCACAGCGGTCTTTAGCCACAGCAGCTGCAGGCAGTGGAATTTGTCCTCAGGGTTCATGAGAATGCTCAGCCACCCCTCTGCATGGTTAGAAGGGGCAAGATTGCCACCCGTGCTGCCACCTCAGCCCAGGTTGCCGGGCAAGACATAATCCAGTGGAGTGGAGGCCATGGCACTGTGCTGCCACTTTTCAAAACTCAGGGGCTTGTGGGGACAGCGTGAGCTCTCTGGAGCAATGCCTTCATGCAGCTTTCAGGAAACTCCCTTTGTGAGTCTTGGGACCCACAGGGGTCAAGGGACCCTTCTATGGCTAGGATTGTAGAAGTCTGCAACAGGAATGTGGACAGCTGAGAGTCTCTCACTTAGCCTTTCTGAGCATTGGGGAATTTCTCTCTTCTCCCAGCCAACTGTAGCGGAGCAGGCTGCCTTGCCTCCTTCCCTTTCCTTATGTTTTAGGCCATTTTTGCATTGCTATGAAGAAATACCAGAGGTCTATGGGAAAAATGGAAGGATGGAAGGAAGGAGGGAGGGAGGGAGACGGGAGGGATGGAGACCTGAGACTGGGTAATTAATAAGAAAAGAGGTTTAATTCGTTCATCGTTCTGCAAGCTGTTCAGGAAGCATAGTTTGACATCTGCTTGGCTTCTAGGGAGGCCTCCAGGAGGTTTTATTTATGGCAGAAGGCAAAGGGGAAGCAGGCACGTCACATGGCGAAAGCAGGAGCAAGTGAGAGAGCACTGTGGGAAGAGGTGCCACACACTTTAAACAACCAAATCTTGTGAACTCAGAGTGAGAGCTCACTTTTCACCAAGGGAATGGCCCAAGCCATTCGTGAGGAATCCACCCCCATGATCCAAACACCTCCCACTAGACCCCACTGCCAACATTGGGGGTTACATTTCAACATGAGATTTGGGTGGGGACAAATTTCCAAACTATATCACCTTAATGTGTTTTCCGTCACTTCTCTGTTGAATTTGTGTTCTCTCTTGGATGATCTGTATGTATGTAATTATCTACTCACTATTTTGGTTCATAGTGGAGGAGGTAAGTAAGAGATGCCTCTAATCAGCCACCTTTTGAAGCCCTCTCCTAACCTTGATCTCAGAGTATTGATTTTTTGAAAACTTTTTATTTCAATAGCTTTTGGGGTACAAGAGGTTTTTTGTTACATGGATGAATTATATAGTGGTGAAGTCTGAGACTTTAGTGCACCCATCACCAGAGTAGTGAACATTATACCTACTGTGTAGTTTTTTATCCCTAGCTCCCCTTCCACCCTCCCTCTTTTGCATCTCTAACATCCATTATATCACTCTGTATGGCTTTGCATACTCATCGCTTAGCTCCTACTTACAAGTGGGAATATATATGGTTTTTGGTTTTACTTCACTTAGAATAATGGCCTCTAGCTCCATCCAAGTTGCCTAAAAACACATTATTTCATTCCTTTTTATGGCTGAGTAGTATTCTATAAGTCATTTTGGATTGCTGGATTGAATGATAGATCTATGTTTAGCTCTTTAAGGTATCTCCATACTGTTTTCCATAGAAGTTTGTACTAATTTGCATTCCCACCAGCGGTGTATAAGTGTTCCCTTTTCCCCACATCCACGCAAACATCTGTTGTTTTTGACTTTTTTTGAAACGTAGTCTCTCTCTGTCGCCCAGGCCGGGGTGCAGTGGCACAATCTCGGCTCACCGCAACCTCTGCTTCCCAGGTTCAAGCTGTTCTCCCTCAGTCTCCTGTGTAGCTGGGATTAAGGTGGTATCTCACTGTGGCTTTAAGTTGCATTTCCCTGATGATTATGATGTTGAGCATTTTTTAATATGTTGGCCATTTTTATATATCCTTTTCAGAAATGTCTATTCATGTCCTTTGCCCACTTTTTAATGGGATTATTTGGGGTTTTTTATTGCTGATTTGTTGAGTCCTTGTAGATTCTGGATACTAGTCCTTTGTCAGATGCGTAGTTTGCAGATATTTTCTCCCATTGTGTGAGTGGTCTCTACTCTGTGGGCCAACACAGTCTTGATCTCCTGACCTCATGACCCGCCCACCTCAGCCTCCCAAAGTGCTGGGATTACAGGCATCAGCCACCACACCCGGCCAACATCCATTTTCTTAATGGGCCAGTGGGTTTCTTACTGGTTTGTAGAATTTTTTAAAATACATATTTGTTGTTATTTTTGTTGTTTGTGTGGTAAATATCTTCTCCCAGCTTATGGTTTCTTTTTTATTTATTTATTTATTTATTTTTTGAGACAGAGTCTCGCTCTGTCACCCAGGCTGGAGTGCAATGGGGCGATCCCAGCTTATTGCAAGCTCCATCTCCCGGGTTCATGCCATTCTTCTGCCTCAGCCTCCCGAGTAGCTGGGAGTACAGGCGCCCACCACCACACCTGACTAATTTTTTGTATTTTTAGTAGAGATGGGGTTTCACTATGTTAGCCAGGATGGTCCCGATCTCCTGACCTCATGATCCACCCACCTCAACCTCCCAAAATGCTGGGATTACAGGCATGAGCTACCTGCACCCGGCCAGCTTATGGTTTCTTGAGTTTAAAGCTGTGTTTTTGACATTTAAATCTTAATCCATCTGGAGTTTATTTGTTTATAATATGGTATGAAGTCTTTTTTAATATCAATAACTTTTTCAACCTTAATTATTGAATAGCCTTTCTCCATTAACCTAATATTATGGTTAAAAATATGTTTGCGTTTGTCTGAACTTGTTTTCTATTCCATTGGTTGTCTGTGCCTTTGCTGATACTATATTGTCTTTATTATTTTTCTATAGCCTTAGAGTAAATCATGATATCTAGGAGAGTAAGTCCTCTCTTTCTTCTCTTCAAAAGTATCCTGGCTATTCTTGGTTTTTTACTTTCCCATATACGTTTAGAATTTTGTCATATTCCATGAAAAACTTCATTGCGATTAATTGGAATTGCGTGGAATCTGTAGTTTTATAATTTCCCCTGTGGAACGCCTTCACACATCTTTTGGTAAAGTTTTTCCTAGACTCTTGATATTCTTTGATACCATTGTAAATGCTGTCTTCTTTGTAATTATATTTTCTAAATATTTGCTACTAGTATCCAAAAATGGAACTGACTTTGTATATTAATCCTATATCTACTTTGTGAAACTCTGTTGTTTCTAATTACCTATAGATTCTTCTAGATTTTTTATATAAACAGTCATACCATCTGAAAAACCATTTCTTTTTTAATCTTTATGCCTCATGTCTTATTTTTTTATTTATTTTTGAGACAGAGCCTCGCCTGTTACCTAGGCTCAAACATGATCCTCCCACTTGCATCTCCCAAAGTGTTGGGATTGCAGGCATGAGCCACCACTCCTGGCCACCTCCTGTCTTTTTAAAGCTTTATTTTACAGGCTAGGGTATTTAATACAATGTGGATTAGCAGTAGTGATAGTGTACTAATGTTTTATTTAGGATTTTTGCATTTAGATTTGTCATAAAATGGGTCTTTGATTTTTCCTTTCTGTAAGTAGTTGGATATTGGTTTAAAGTTATGCTGATTTTATAGAATAACTTGGGGATTATTCTTGCTTTTTATTTTGTCTAAACGAGTTTGTATGAAATTGGGATGATCTGTCCCTTGAAAATTTGATAGAACTCACCTTAAAAACCATCTATTCCTCCTGTTTTCTTTGGTGGACAATTTTTAACTATTTGATTTTTAAATATAGTATTATGCTTCTTAAATTTTTTGTGAGTCAGTAAAGCTTTATTTTTAAAGGAATTGTTATCCATTTCCATTGAGTTTTCATTATTATTGACAAATAGTTATTCATAATAATTTTCTTTTTCTTTTTTTTTTTTGACACATAGTCTTGCTCTGTCACCCAGGCTGGAGTACAGTGGAGTGATCTTGGCTCGCTGCAACCCCCACCTCCTGGGTTCAAGCAATTCTCCTGCCTTAGCCTCCAGGGTAGCTGGGACTACAGGCACCCACCACCACACCCAGCTAATTTTCTTTGTATTTTTTAGTAGAGACAGAGTTTCACCATGTTGCCCAGGCTGGTCTTGAACTCCTGACCTCAAGTGATCTGCCCACCTCTGCCTCCCAAAGTGCTAGGATTACAGGCATGAGCCACCATCCCCGACTTACATAGATATGCTTCCTTTTACACTGTATTATTTTTTGGAACTTCTGTCTTTTGATCAGTTTTATTAAAAGGTGTCTATTTTGATAGCTGTGTTAAAAGAGCTGACTCTTGGCTTATTGATTTTTTTTTCCATCTCATTAATTTCCTCTTTAATTTCTGCAGAGAATAACCTGTCTCTGAGGGAGGAAGGACATAGATTATTTCTTGCTTACTCTCTGACTGGTCCCTATTCAGATTGTTGACCAATCACCAATTTTTGAGCCCCACACATGACACCTCCCTCAACAATATCTGTTGCCTCCAATTCTGAGCATTTCAGTTCTGCAGAATATTTGCCAGGTTCTCATGTGTTTCCTTGTGCAGGTCCTTAGGTTATAGCTTTCTTCCTGCTTCTAATTCAGTTCATCCTCCTCCGTAATTCAGTTTTCCAAAGATGTGTTGAAATTTCTCTTATCCTTATATCTTTTCTCCTTTTCTCTTTGCGCAATGTGTTCTACCTTTTAAAATCTCTTATTCTCACTTCAGTGTGTTTTGAAAAGGTCAGGAGATAATTACGCATGTGGTCAATCCACCATTTTTTAACCCCAGGCAAATAAATCTTGTTCTAAAATAGGCATTAACTGAACGTCTGGATGCTCTTCTTCTGGAAAAAGCAGAGACTGAGCAACAGTGTCTTTCTCTGAAAAAGGAAAATATAAAAATGAAGCAAGAGGTTGAGGTAAGTCAATATTTTAGTGTTCTTTTCTTTTTTATTAACATATAGTGTAGTCATTAATTTTAGAGGTAAGACTTTAAAAAGCATCTAATCTGATTAATATTTTATAATATAAACAAAGAAACCGAGATTGAGATTTTAAAAGAAAAATAACTGAATCACCTAACTATACAGCAACAGAGGTGACATTTACTTTTGTTGCATTATCTTTTTTATAGCTATAATGCCATCTTTACTAAAAGCGAAAAAAAGTAAGTTGATTTTCACACATGACTAAATACCATTATCTCTTTAGTTCTACGGTATTCAGAGGCATTTCTTGCCTATTTCTTGCCTATTAGGTCTGGGCTAATTTGAGTAATAGATTTAATATTGTAGATATATATTGTCATACTTTAGATAGGCAGCACCTAAGGAGAGTTATTGGAATATCAGTATCATGTTTCTCCAAATACATTTCTGCTCATTTACTTTTCTCTCTACTTAGCTTGTGGCTAATATTTTTCCTAAGGTCAGAGGCTCCTTTTGTCTTACTTAAATAATTTATGTGTGCTTATTTTTTGTAATAGGATTCTGTAACAAAGATGGGAGATGCACATAAGGAGTTGGAACAATCACATATAAACTATGTGAAAGAAATTGAAAATTTGAAAAATGAGTTGATGGCAGTACGTTCCAAATACAGTGAAGACAAAGCTAACTTACAAAAGCAGCTGGAAGAAGCAATGAATACGCAATTAGAACTTTCAGAACAACTTAAATTTCAGAACAACTCTGAAGATAATGTTAAAAAACTACAAGAAGAGATTGAGAAAATTAGGCCAGGCTTTGAGGAGCAAATTTTATATCTGCAAAAGCAATTAGACGCTACCACTGATGAAAAGAAGGAAACAGTTACTCAACTCCAAAATATCATTGAGGCTAATTCTCAGCATTACCAAAAAAATATTAATAGTTTGCAGGAAGAGCTTTTACAGTTGAAAGCTATACACCAAGAAGAGGTGAAAGAGTTGATGTGCCAGATTGAAGCATCAGCTAAGGAACATGAAGCAGAGATAAATAAGTTGAACGAGCTAAAAGAGAACTTAGTAAAACAATGTGAGGCAAGTGAAAAGAACATCCAGAAGAAATATGAATGTGAGTTAGAAAATTTAAGGAAAGCCACCTCAAATGCAAACCAAGACAATCAGATATGTTCTATTCTCTTGCAAGAAAATACATTTGTAGAACAAGTAGTAAATGAAAAAGTCAAACACTTAGAAGATACCTTAAAAGAACTTGAATCTCAACACAGTATCTTAAAAGATGAGGTAACTTATATGAATAATCTTAAGTTAAAACTTGAAATGGATGCTCAACATATAAAGGATGAGTTTTTTCATGAACGGGAAGACTTAGAGTTTAAAATTAATGAATTATTACTAGCTAAAGAAGAACAGGGCTGTGTAATTGAAAAATTAAAATCTGAGCTAGCAGGTTTAAATAAACAGTTTTGCTATACTGTAGAACAGCATAACAGAGAAGTACAGAGTCTTAAGGAACAACATCAAAAAGAAATATCAGAACTAAATGAGACATTTTTGTCAGATTCAGAAAAAGAAAAATTAACATTAATGTTTGAAATACAGGGTCTTAAGGAACAGTGTGAAAACCTACAGCAAGAAAAGCAAGAAGCAATTTTAAATTATGAGAGTTTACGAGAGATTATGGAAATTTTACAAACAGAACTGGGGGAATCTGCTGGAAAAATAAGTCAAGAGTTCGAATCAATGAAGCAACAGCAAGCATCTGATGTTCATGAACTGCAGCAGAAGCTCAGAACTGCTTTTACTGAAAAAGATGCCCTTCTCGAAACTGTGAATCGCCTCCAGGGAGAAAATGAAAAGTTACTATCTCAACAAGAATTGGTACCAGAACTTGAAAATACCATAAAGAACCTTCAAGAAAAGAATGGAGTATACTTACTTAGTCTCAGTCAAAGAGATACCATGTTAAAAGAATTAGAAGGAAAGATAAATTCTCTTACTGAGGAAAAAGATGATTTTATAAATAAACTGAAAAATTCCCATGAAGAAATGGATAATTTCCATAAGAAATGTGAAAGGGAAGAAAGATTGATTCTTGAACTTGGGAAGAAAGTAGAGCAAACAATCCAGTACAACAGTGAACTAGAACAAAAGGTAAATGAATTAACAGGAGGACTAGAGGAGACTTTAAAAGAAAAGGATCAAAATGACCAAAAACTAGAAAAACTTATGGTTCAAATGAAAGTTCTCTCTGAAGACAAAGAAGTATTGTCAGCTGAAGTGAAGTCTCTTTATGAGGAAAACAATAAACTCAGTTCAGAAAAAAAACAGTTGAGTAGGGATTTGGAGGTTTTTTTGTCTCAAAAAGAAGATGTTATCCTTAAAGAACATATTACTCAATTAGAAAAGAAACTTCAGTTAATGGTTGAAGAGCAAGATAATTTAAATAAACTGCTTGAAAATGAGCAAGTTCAGAAGTTATTTGTTAAAACTCAGTTGTATGGTTTTCTTAAAGAAATGGGATCAGAAGTTTCAGAAGACAGTGAAGAGAAAGATGTTGTTAATGTCCTACAGGCAGTCGGTGAATCCTTGGCAAAAATAAATGAGGAAAAATGCAACCTGGCTTTTCAGCGTGATGAAAAAGTATTAGAGTTAGAAAAAGAGATTAAGTGCCTTCAAGAAGAGAGTGTAGTTCAGTGTGAAGAACTTAAGTCTTTATTGAGAGACTATGAGCAAGAGAAAGTTCTCTTAAGGAAAGAGTTAGAAGAAATACAGTCAGAAAAAGAGGCCCTGCAGTCTGATCTTCTAGAAATGAAGAATGCTAATGAAAAAACAAGGCTTGAAAATCAGAATCTTTTAATTCAAGTTGAAGAAGTATCTCAAACATGTAGCAAAAGTGAAATCCATAATGAAAAAGAAAAATGTTTTATAAAGGAACATGAAAACCTAAAGCCACTACTAGAACAAAAAGAATTACGAGATAGGAGAGCAGAGTTGATACTATTAAAGGTACCATTCATTTGAATTCTATTGTTTCAAATAAATTCTTAGTTCAACTCTACAATATATACGTTAAACATTTTTACACCTTGACGTCAAAAGTAAATTTTTACCATTTAAGCCCAAGTGGCAACTTTCTG
This sequence comes from Homo sapiens, assembly GCF_000001405.40. NCBI lineage: Eukaryota > Metazoa > Chordata > Mammalia > Primates > Hominidae > Homo > Homo sapiens. The sequence continues at coordinate 108,472,248 of NC_000002.12, forward strand.
AAAAGTGCATTAGACATTTCCATGTTGTATGTCCAGTTTATTACATTTATTTTTGGGGAGTTTTAGATACTTTTAAAATCTTGAGTTTATAGAAGATTAAATGATTAGGGGTTTAAATGTCTTGATCAGAAGTTTATTAGTCACTAGCAAAACAACTAAACATGGAAAAACTTGAGTTTCATTCTCGTGTGATATGCTTAGTTATTTTTTGTAAAGAGCACTTTTTAAGTAAGAGCTGTGGTGGTATTGCTAAAATTTTAGGGTTTTCTTTAAAAATTAAAGATTAAAAATCATTTAATCTTCTCCTTATTACACATGTATTTAATGTATCAGGTTGTTTATCTTGGCCTTGGTTACTACTTTTTTTTTTTTTAATAGTAAATGCCATATGCATAGTAAGGTCAGTATTAATTTTCTGGTCTAACAAGGGAAAATCTGTTGACCAAATTGGTTTCTGTAGGAATTCTCTTTGATAGTGATTTTCTTATGCTTAACATGATGGCCAGTTCATTATGGAAAATGAATTCTGATTCTGGTTTTTGTTTTGTTTTGTGTTTTTTTTTCCCCTGTAAAATCTAGGATTCCTTAGCAAAATCACCTTCTGTAAAAAATGATCCTCTGTCTTCAGTAAAAGAGTTGGAAGAAAAAATAGGTAACTATGGTTTTGCAGATGTTGTCACAATTAATTAGACAGATTCTTCTTAGTGTTAGAATAGATTGGGAAATATAGTAGCCAAATAATGAGTTGTTAAAAACACAGTTCGTAGCTGTCTTTTCCTCGAGCTCACATTCTTGCCCCTCTAACACCTGTTTGCCTTCTCTTTCAAAAGTGTTACTTTCTATTGTTTAACCCAAGCAAGATTGGTGTGATTTATAAATGGCTTCATGATTTATTTTGGATTTTTCATTCATTTAGCAAATTTTATTTAAATGCCCAACTATTCTAGACCCTGGTGATAGAAAAGTGGTTGAGGTACAGACCATGTGCTCAGAGATCTCACTGTTGTTTGAGGTGTGGACAAGATACAGTACTAACAGCATAGGAACTTAACACTGTTTTGAGTTAAAAAAAAAAAAAAAAGCAGCGTAGAATAGGGTTTTCAGCCAAGTCTTGAAGAATGAGAAATTTTACACAGGAAGAAAGGTATTCTAGGAAGAAGGAAGAGCAGGTGCTTGTAGGTTGACATATAGCATACATCAAGGCACGTACTAGGAAGTTCCTGGAGAGGTAGGAGCCTGATCATAAACACACTAGTATGATTGATATGCAGAGGAGTTAGGACTTTATCTTATCCATTTATTCCTCACAGTAACATTATAGGATAGCTCTTTTATTCCCATATAAGAATCAGGAAACGAAGACTTAGAAGTATGTAATGTGCCAATGATCCCTGAATTTAGTACCCTGTTAGATTAGGGTAAGGGAAGTTGAAGAGTTTAGAATGACTCCCAGTTGTCTATAATGGGTGATTGGGGCAGATTGGGATGTTCAGTTTTAGAATTAAGTTTAAATACCAGTCCAAGTAAAGATGTTAGAATGCTATGCAAATCTGGAGTTAAGGGGAGAGAGCTAAGCTAGAGATAAATACTTCTAGTTAAAGAGTGGTCATTAAAAGCCAGGAGAGGCCGAGTGCGGTGGCTCACGCCTATAATCCCAGCACTTTGGGAGGCCTAAGTGGGCGGATCACGAGGTCAGGAGATTGAGACCATCCTGGCTAACACGGTGAAACCCTGTCTCTACTAAAAATCAAAAAAAAAAAATTAGCCGGGCGTTGTGGCGGGCGCTTGTAGTCACAGCTACTCGGGAGGCTGAGGCAGGAATATGGCATGAACCCGGGAGGCAGAGCTTGCAGTGAGCCAAGATCATGCCACTGCACTCCAGCCTGGGCGACAGAGGGAGACTCCGTCTCAAAAAAATAAATAAATAAAGCCGGGAGATTCAAATTACCAAGGGAGTATAGCCAAAAGATGGAGACCAGAGACATTTTTCCATTCATGTAAACATAGAGAAGATAGAGACAACACAGGAAATTGAGAAGGAACAGCTAGTAAGGTAGGAAAACCTGGGACATAAAATGTCTTGAAAGCTAAGGCAAGTGACATGGAAGTGAAAGAAGTGCTTCAAGAGGGAAAAAGCCATTGCTAGTGCTGCTGATGTATCAAATAAGATGAGTACTGAGACCTGACCACTGCGTTAAGCAACATAGAGGTCAGTGTCCATGACATGCTGGAACCAGAGCTTGATTGCAGTTGGTTCTAGAAAAAAATGGGGGAGGCAATGTTTGAGAGCATATATAGACAACTCTTTTCAAGGGATTTGCTATAGGGAGAAAAAAAGCGATGGGACAAAACTAGAGGGACCGGGTGGTTTAATTTTTTTATTTTAGAGGGGCAGTGTGGTTTAATTTTTTATTTTATGGGAAGAATAACAGCATGTTTAAGATGTTCACCTGTCCCCTACCCTCTTTAACTGCTTTCACTATTTGTTCCTGGCCTTAATTTCTTGATGATAATTTTTCTTGTTGCATGTTTATAAAATAGGAAAAAATCGACTAGAAAGGGGAAAATTATTGCTGCAGAAGAAGGAGGGAGAATTGTTGCTCTGATGCTTGAGTAGGTAATGAGACGCAGGATGAAATGCAGATGTGGAACAATTGGCCTTTGCTCCGCACACAGACACTTCACTATGGCAGCCAGAGGGAAGGCACCGGTGCAAGTAAATTAATAGGCCAGGACAGAAATTCAGATCATAACTGAATTTTTAGAAACAAATACCAAGAAGTCCTGAACTCAGGAGTTCAAGCTAAAGAAGTTAACAGAGATCAATATTGGATAGGTAAAACATATTACAGGTTTCGTTGTGAAAATCAGACCCAGCAGCCAAGAGGAGGAGTGCACTTATGGAGCATAAATGTTGATCTGCATCTGATATCTCTGATACTTGATCCTAATTTGCACACTATCACCTAAAGTCCTAGCATACCTGCATTTCCAGGAAATCTAATGAGAAAGAAGTCCTGAAAGCCTCTAATTCCTGGAAACATATGAAACGGCTAGAAAAAAGTAGACTATTTTGGAGGATTAAAGACAATGGAAACTTTTTACATTGTTTGTCTCACATAATGAATAAAATTCCACTTTAAAAAATGATATTACTGTTTTTACTGCTTATTTTAATATCAAATTACCAATTTTGTGCTCCCAAATAATCTAGGGCTAAAATAAGCAAGTAATTTGAATTTTTTCCTTTTGAGTTCGTATGTAATCCATTTATTTTCTATTTTTAGAAAATCTGGAAAAAGAATGCAAAGAAAAGGAGGAGAAAATAAATAAGATAAAATTAGTTGCCGTAAAGGCAAAGAAAGAACTAGATTCCAGCAGAAAAGAGGTGAGCTGACTTTAAAAATGTAAGATTCCGGAATCTCACATTTTTAAAAATCAAGAGTTTTTCTATCCATTAAAAAAAAACAAAAACCTCTTTAATTTTACTTGTGTTTAAAACAGACCCAGACTGTGAAGGAAGAACTTGAATCTCTTCGATCAGAAAAGGACCAGTTATCTGCTTCCATGAGAGATCTCATTCAAGGAGCAGAAAGCTATAAGGTAAAAAATAGTCATTTTAATAACAAGTTATAAAAGTTGTAATAATAACTTCTAAGTTAAGAAATGTAGTGGAAATGTAAAACTATTGTCAACAAAACAATCACCTTGTATTTTTTAGTAAATCTTTATTCTGTTTTGGGGTGCAATGTAATAGAATCCTAATATCAAGATTCTAAAGTGGTTAAGCTTTAAATAGTGGCTTGCTTTTTTTTTTTTTTTTTTTTTTTTTTGATGAAGTCTCTCTCTCTCGCCCAGGCTGGAGTGCAGTGGCTCAATCTTGGCTCACTGCACCCTCTGCCCCCAGGTTCCAGCAATTCTCCTGCCACAGGCTCCCGAGTAGCTGGGACTACAGGTGCGCGCCACCATGCCCGGCCAGTTTTTGTATTTTTAGTAGAGACGGGGTTTCACCATGCTGGCCAGGCTGGTCTTGAACTCCTGACCTCGTGATCCACCTACCTCGGCCTCCCAAAGTGCTGGGATTACAGGCATGCGCCACCACACCTGGCCTAAATAGTGCCTTTAAATTGTTGTTTATAAAAGTAAAATTTTGTTTTGGGATTTCCTAATAAAATCAGTAACAAAAAGATAACCTATTCCTACTGTGATTATTTAATATTGTTCTGGCCAAGTGAATAAACCTGAAGCTTAAACAAGGTGAAGCATTGTTATTTGGAGGCAATATGCTTATTCACCTTAGTAACATGAAAATGTATTATTAAAAAGATAAGAATTAAAAATTAAAGTATGTTTACCTTAGTAACATGAAAATGTATTATTAAAAAGATAAGAATTAAAAATTAAAGTACAACAAAATCACTGAATGCAAGATAAACATCACTACATTTCTTCAGGTATTCATTCAGCAAATGTTATGTGGCAGACTGACTTCTGAGTTCTGGGGCAGGTTGGAGGTCAACCAAATAGACTGAGTTCCTATCCTCTTAGGACTTAAAAAAATCCCAATGGCAATAACAGGCAAACATACAAAAATAGAAGATACATACTGTGTAGAAAAGTAAGGTGGGTAGGGAGAAGAGAGTGAGTGGTAATCAGGCGGGATTTGATGAAAAAAAATATCCCACAGCAGCCATAAAATCCAATCTTAGGAAGCACTTAAATGAGAAGTTTTGGCACTTAATGAAGAAAACTGCAAAACTTATATAGGATGACTATTATTTGAACTATCAGTTCTCAGATTGGTTTATAAATTCTAAGAGAAATTCATTGAAAATTGTAGATTTTTTTTGGCTGGATCTTGACAGAATTCTAAGTTTTAAGTAAAAACTAGCAAGAGTAGCTAAATTTTTTTTTAAATGAAAAGAAAAAAGTGACATCCTACTCAAAGAGACACTGAAACTTATCACAGAGTTACAGTAATGTGGTAGAATTCTGATGCAAGAATGGTACAGATTAATGTAGGAGAAGAGATAGATACTTCTGCATAACAACAAACAGGTGCCAGGCTCTCTTCTAAGCACTTTACATATCTCAATATGTTAATTCTCAAAACAACCCCCAAGTATATTAGCATCAACACTTTACAAGTGAGGACTCTGAGGCATAAATAGATGAAGGAACTCAAAGTCACAGACTCCGATTTCTTAAGAGACCTCAGGGTCACAGAACAAGTAACAGAGCAGAGCTGAAATTTTAATTCAGGGAGTCTCGTTCCAGATCTATTGTTTCACCAACTAAGCTATACCATCTCAGTAAAGTTTGAAACAGAAACCAATGAAGAAAGAAATTCCTTCTAAGGAATTAGGTTTTTATTTCACTCCACATACCAAAATGTATTCTGGATGGATTAAAAAATTTTGTGAAAAATATTTTTTAAAAACCTAGAATGAAATACTTGATCCTTTAACTGACTTCTGCATACAAAAGACTTTTTCAAACTTTAGATACTAAATTTCGGCCAGGTGCAGTTGCTCACGCCTGTAATTCTAGCACTTTGGGAGGCCAAGGTGGGTGAGTCACTTGAGGCCAGGAGTTTGAGATCAGCCTGGCCAACACAGCGAAACCCTGTCTCTACAAAATACACAAAATTTAGCTGGGCATGGTGGCACACACCTGTAGTCCTAGCTACTCTGATGGCCGAGGCACGAGAATCACTTGAACCTGGAAGGTGGCAGTTGCAGTGAGCGGAGATTGTACCACTGCACCCCTACAAAGGAAAAGATTACAAAGGAAAAGATTGATAGATTTAACTATTTGAAATTGATATGCCTGGTCTACCTCTGGAAGAAATTAATAGATTATAGGGTCTCTTAAAATGTAAAGAAGCAAGTTCCTTGTGTAACTTGCTCTTATGAAGAAGCCCATATATAAATTTTAAATGGGTTTTTTAATGGATTTGTAAGATCTTTGTATATAAACATACTAATTCTTTGTCATGTATAAATTTAAATTTTCAAATTTCATTACCATATTTTCATATGTAATATAAACTTACGTATAAAAATGTGACAGGATTTAAGGTAGAACCAGAGGTGCTGAAATGTTTAAGAATGTTGATCACTTTTAAAAACACATGTACCTACGCTCTATTAGGTTCTTCAGGATGCATCATTATAAAGATACTGAGTAATTTTTGGAGTTTGTTAATTTGGCTAGTTTTTTCAGTGTTCATATCACTTGTAATAACTTGTATCGGTTTATTAAAAGATCTGAACACACAGGAGTCCTAGAGGGACAATAATTTGTAATTATTCAGATGTTTAGAAGCGTCTACCCTACATAAGGAAAGTAGACTCTTGTATGCATGGCATTCATTTTTGTTCCAAGACTCCCCTTAGGAATAATACTTGATTAAAATCAGAATTTCCCAAAGGGAGCCATTGTTTATTATGCCCTGGCATAGCAATTCAGTTTTTACAGCTATTGACAGCAGTTGGAACCAGAATGAGTAAAAATGAAGAAGGCCAGATAGAGACTAAGAGGATAAATATCTCTGATTTCTAGAGGAGCCTACCCAAATACTAAACAAGCACAGGATCTTCTTTCTATGGAAAAGAAAAGACCCTAATGATACCTCAACCCTGTATGCATGTGTGCCAAGAAGTAGCAGACTCAGATAAATAAACATAGAAAAACATACTTTGGGAGGCCGTGGCTTGAGGATTGCCTGAGGTCAGGAGTTCGAGACCAGTCTGGCCACATGGTGAAACCCCATCTCTACTAAAAAATACAAAAAAATTAGCTGGACGTGGTGGCTGAGGTAGGAGAATTGCTTGAACCAGGGAGGTGGAGGCTGCAGTGAGCTGAGATCACGCCACTGCACTCCAGACTAGCGACAGAGCGAGACAACGTCTCAAAAAAAATAAAAAATAAGCCAGATTCTAGATTCCCAAGTCTTGTCTTCTGCCACTGAAATCACTAAATGGACAGACTATAAAATCAAAATTCAGATTGTAACAGTCAGCCACCAGTTGAGTCAAATAATTGACCATGTGTAAATGAGAATTAGAAACAAAAGTGCGTTAGTCAAGGATCCGATCTGGGAAGCAAGAGCCGGGCATGGTGGCTCACACCTGTTATCCTAGCACTTTGGGAGACCTAGGCAGGCAGATTGCCTGAGCTTAGGAGTTTGAGACCAGCCTGGGCAACATGGTGAAACCCTGTCTCTACTAAAACTGCAAATATTAGTTGGCTGTAGTGGCACACACCTATAGTCCCAGCTACTTGGGAGGCTGAGGGAGGAGAATCGCTTGAACCCAGGAGACAGAGGTTACAGTGAGCTGAGGTTGCGCCACTGCACTCCAGCCTGGGCGACAGAGCAAGACCCTGTCTCAAAAAAAAGATTTCGCAAGCACGATCCAAAAGAGCATAAATGCCACACAAGACCCAGCAGAGGCCGGGCTCAGTGGCTCATGCCTGTAATTCCAACACTTTGGGAGGCTTGAGGCATGCGGATCACCTGAGGTCAATTCAAGACCAGCCTGGCCAACATGGTGAAACCCCATCTCTACTAAAAATACAAAAATTAGCCAGGTGTGGTAGCACATGCCTGTAATCCCAACTACCCCAGAGGCTGAGGCAGGAGAATCATTGGAACGCGAGAGGCGAAGGCTGCAGTAAGCCAAGGTCACGCCACTGCACTCCAGCCTGGCGACAGAGCGAGACTCCATCTCAAAAAAAAAAAAAAAAAAAAAAAAAAAAACGAAAAACCCCACCAGAGAAGCCTGCGGAGGTGAGCCAAGGACACAAGAGGTCCAGGTCCACAGGCAGGCACTGCCAGGCTTCACAGTCCTCTTGGTTAATGTCGTTTCTCTTTTATGCATAATATCTCAGTGGAACTTCCAAATATAAACTTTGCAAGAAAACATAAACAGTGTGCTAGCAATAAAACCATAATTAGATACCACCTCACATCAGTCAGGATGGCTACTATTAAAAAGTCAAAAAAATAACAGGTGCTGGTAAGGTTGCAGAGAAAAAGGAACACTTACACTTTTGGTGGGAGTGTAAATTAGTTCAGCCATTGTGGAAAACAGATTCCTCAAAGACCTAAAAACAGAAATACCATTTGACCCAGCAATCCCGTTACTGGGTATATACCCAAAGGAATGTGAGTCATTGTGTCATAAAGACACATGTACATGTATGTTCTCTGCAGCACTATTCATGATAGCAAAGACGTGGAATCAACCGAAAGGCCTGTCAGTGGTAGACTGGATAAAGAAAATTGGTATATATACACCATGGAATACTACACAGCCATAAAAAAAATATGAGATTATGTCCTTTGCAGGGACATGTATGAAGCTGGAAGCCACTATCCTTAGCAAATTAATGGAGGAACGGAAAACTAAATACCACATGTTCTCACTTATAAGTGGGAGCTAAATGATGAGAACACATGGACACATACAGAGGAACAACAGACACTGGGGCCTAACAGAAGGTGGAGGGGTAGGAGGAGGGAGAGGATCAGGAAAAATAACTAATGGGTACTAGGCTTAATACTTGGATGGTGAAATAATCTGTACAACAAACCCCTGTGACACAAGTTTGCCTACATAACAAACCTGCACATGTACCCCTGAACTTAAAAGTTAAAAAATTTTTTAAAAACACCATTTTGCTAGTAATTTTGCAGGCACATTTATGGGAAGAATAGAAGTTTTCCAGAAACAAAGGCAAAAACAGGATTTATAAGGAAGGAGAGAGAGAGAAAAACATAAAGAACTACATGCAGTCTCGAAACTGAATCTCATTTACATATTTTGGTGGATAACCTAATTAGCTTGTGTGTGGCAAGAAAGTCTGATCATTCTGTCCTTCAGTAGGCCAACTAGGAATATCAAAGAAAATTCAGTTGTCTTTGGATTCTTCAGGAAATATTGAAAGTGTCACTGCAGAGTGTGAGAGACTAAATCTGTGAATGTCTTCCAGTGTTCTTTCATTAGCACCTTTACTTTATATTAGGTCAGGCCTGGAATATTTCTCTCATTAGAATTCTTCAGGTGGAGTTAGGTATCCAGGTTAAACTTTTTATCCTCTGTCCTTAAATTGTGTTTATTAAACGTTGTATCTATCCTTAAATTGTGTTTACACTTCAGAAGTTCATTTTTGTTAATGAGTAGAATATTTAACCTTGGAGCTATTATATTGTTTATATTTAAAATTTTCTTCTTCTTTCATATATTTCCCCCACTCTCCAATACTAAAAGTTACCCAAAATGTGCTAGTTTTATTACCTAATGCCAGTTAGGTATTCTGTTCAACTTGGGTAAATATTTTAAGCATCCAGAATGGACTCATGAATCTTAAGGTGGCTTGATGATGAAGTCTGACCTGTTGAATGCAAAATTATATACCAAAGTTAAATCCTTCTTTTATTGAAGAATCTTTTATTAGAATATGAAAAGCAGTCAGAGCAACTGGATGTGGAAAAAGAACGTGCTAATAATTTTGAGCATCGTATTGAAGACCTTACAAGACAATTAAGAAATTCGACTTTGCAGGTAATTTTTTAATAAATCCAAAAATGAAAACTATAACAGGTATATTTTAATCTCAATACTTTTTGCATAAAAAATTTAAAAAATATAGTCGGAAACAGAATTTATTCCCCCCCCACTTTACCCTCCTTCCCACTTAGGAGAGAAGAATAAGACAAAACAGCTAGCAACTATCTTGCTTATTATTCTAATCTCAGTTCCCCTAGAGGGTTGTTTGTTTGTTTGGGGGTTTGTTTGTTTTTCGTTTCTGCTCTTTGCTCTGCCAGTGCACCTGGTCTCTTGTAAGGTTTACCATATTAGTATTTCAATGACAGATTTTAAAACTGATTCTTAATATTATCGTTCTGTAGCATGGACTTGGAAATCTTCATTTGTCACACTATGCCAATATTCTCATTAATGTACCTGTTCATTCTTCCTCTGCTGTATATGTTTTTTGCATGTTTATAGTAATGAATCATTTGTCATTTCAGTGTGAAACAATAAATTCTGATAATGAAGATCTCCTGGCTCGTATTGAGACATTACAGTCTAATGCCAAATTATTAGAAGTACAGATTTTAGAAGTCCAGAGAGCCAAAGCAATGGTAGACAAAGAATTAGAAGCTGAAAAACTTCAGAAAGAACAGAAGATAAAGGTAAAAACAATCCTATGAGATTGATTCACATATATATGATGCATTTACCAAAATATTATTTAAATGAAGGGAAGACTTACTAAGAGTAGCATTTATGAATACAGCAGAGTTCATTAATTCCTTAATACCAACCATAAATTTGAGAATCCATGCTGTGATTTGGGGTGTATATATTTTAAACATTGAAATATTACCAAACTTTTTGTATTTTAGCGTGTCAGATTTATTTTATTTTATTTTTTTGAGACGGAGTCTCGCTCTGTTGCCCAGGCTGGAGTGCAGTGGCGCAATCTCAGCTCACTGCAAGCTCCACCTCCTGGGTTCATGCCATTCTCCTGCCTCAGCCTCCCGAGTAGCTGGGATTACAGGCACTCACCACCATGCCCAGCTAATTTTCCGTGTGTATTTTTAGTGGAGACGGGGTTTCACTGTGTTAGCCAGGATGGTCTCAATCTCCTGACCTTGTGATCCACCCGCCTCGGCCTCCCAAAGTGCTGGGATTACAGGTGTGAGACACCACGCCCGGCCGTCAGATTTATTTTAAAGCCCCTTAAAAATACCTTTTTAATATTGGTTGGGTGGTGTGGGTTGTTTTTATTTTTAATTTCAGGAACATGCCACTACTGTAAATGAACTTGAAGAACTTCAGGTACAACTTCAAAAGCAAAAGAAACAGCTTCAGAAAACCATGCAAGAATTAGAGCTGGTTAAAAAGGTAAAATAAAACACTAGGATCAAAATTGATGTAATATTCACATTGTTCTGTTTTGTTGTTCTGTTTGTTCTGTTCTCTCTGCAATCTCACTCTGTGGCCCAGGCTGGAGTGCAGTGGCATGATCTCGGCTCACTGCAACCTCCGCCTCCCGAGTTCAAGCAGTTCTTGTGCCTCAGCCTTCCAAGTAGCCGAGATTCCACGCATGCGTCACCACACCCGGCTAATTTTTTGTATTTTGGGTAGAGATGGAGTTTCACCAATTTGGTTAGGCTCGTCTGGAACTCCTGACCTCAAATGATCCGCCCATCTCAGCCTCCCAAAGTGCTAGGATTACAGGTGTGAGCCACCGCACTCAGCCTGCATTGTTAAACTATTCTATACATGTTGAAAAGGAATATTTTAGAATGTTACTTGTGGTACTAAAATAATGCTTTATAAATTATTTGCTCAAAAAATTGGAAATTTAACTTACTTCTCTAAGTACCAGTCCTTTCAGAAGAATCTAGGCTCCTGAGTTACAAGATTTTGGTTTGACAGTTCATTTTGTATACATGATTGTTGTATGACACATTAAGATTTAATTAATGTCAAAGCTTGAAATTTGTATTATACTTAAAACTTTGGCTGACTTTACTCCTTCAAAGATGAGGCTAAAAAGAAATGTACTATAAGAGCCACTTGACATATTAGTATTTTATAAATAAGAGCTCCGCAAGCTACAGCTGCTAGTTGTAGTTAGTTATAATGAAATAAAATGAAACTAAGAAAGTTGGGTTAAACTATTAGAAAATATTTTGTGAAATTAAAAAGTAGAAAATATCCAACTCCTCATTTCTTTGTTACAGTGTAAACAATTTCAGTATTACAGAAAAGCACCCATTTATTGCTGTGGCATCATTTTAGCAATTTTACAAATGAAAAAAAAAATTTACAAATGAACTGATCTACTATTGTGTAAATCTTTTACTTATAAAATGTGCAGGATGCCCAACAAACCACATTGATGAATATGGAAATAGCTGATTATGAACGTTTGATGAAAGAACTAAATCAAAAGTTAACTAATAAAAACAACAAGATAGAAGATTTGGAGCAAGAAATAAAAATTCAAAAACAGAAACAAGAAACCCTACAAGAAGAAATAAGTGAGTTAAAGAAAATTCACTTTACTTTTTAATTATTTCATCATAACAACTTGATTTGGTGGGGGGCATTACTTGTTTATTTCACCAGTCTTTCACTGTCAGTCAGGTGTTTAACACAGTGATAAATGTTACTGGGGACCCAGAATGGGTGTAAAACTGTTTGCCATTAAGTTGTTTGTAGTCCATGCCTATGTCCTGAATGGTAATGCCTAGGTCTTCTTCTAGGGTTTTTATGGTTTTAGGTCTAACGTTTAAATCTTTAATCCATCTTGAATTGATTTTTGTATAAGGTGTAAGGAAGGGATCCAGTTTCAGCTTTCTACATATGGCTAGCCAGTTTTCCCAGCACCATTTATTAAATAGGGAATCCTTTCCCCATTGCTTGTTTTTCTCAGGTTTGTCAAAGATCAGATAGTTGTAGGTATGCGGCGTTATTTCTGAGGGCTCTGTTCTGTTCCATTGATCTATATCTCTGTTTTGGTACCAGTACCATGCTGTTTTGGTTACTGTAGCCTTGTAGTATAGTTTGAAGTCATGCTGCTATAAAGACACATGCACACGTATGTTTATTGCGGCATTATTCACAATAGCAAAGACTTGGAACCAACCCAAATGTCCAACAATGATAGACTGGATTAAGAAAATGTGGCACATATACACCATGGAATACTATGCAGCCATAAAAAATGATGAGTTCATGTCCTTTGTAGGGACATGGATGAAATTGGAAATCATCATTCTCAGTAAACTATCTCAAGAACAAAAAACCAAACACTGCATATTCTCACTCATAGGTGGGAACTGAACAGTGAGATCACATGGACACAGGAAGGGGAATATCACACTCTGGGGACTGTGGTGGGGTGGGGGGAGTGGGGAGGGATAGCATTGGGAGATATACCTAATGCTAGATGACGAGTTAGTGGGCGCAGCACACCAGCATGGCACATGTATACATATGTAACTAACCTGCACAATGTGCACACGTACCCTAAAACTTAAAGTATAATTAAAAAAAAAAAAGAAAAAAAAAAGATGTTTGTAGTCCACATTTATTCACTTTAACATTTCTTAAGTACCTTGCTGTTTCCTGGTCTGGGTTAACTAAGATTGTCTATGGGTTGTAATTGTTACAGCCGGGAGTTGGGTACAGTAGAGTTTATGGCACTGTTGTTACTACTGTCACATATGTTTGAAGTATTCCATAATAAAAAGCTAAAACAGGCTTAAAGACAAGCCAATACAAAGAAGACATATTTGTGTATTTAAATTCACTGATAAAAATTGTTACATCTTTTTCTGCTGAAATTATTTCTTGTGCTAGCTTCATTACAGTCTTCAGTACAACAATATGAAGAAAAAAACACCAAAATCAAGCAATTGCTTGTGAAAACCAAAAAGGAACTGGCAGATTCAAAGCAAGCAGTATGTTAATTTTTCAGTTTCATATTTAGTACTTATTCATAATTTATTTATGAGTAACATTAAAAAAAATTTAACCAAGATTCTCATTCTATAGGAAACTGATCACTTAATACTTCAAGCATCTTTAAAAGGTGAGCTGGAGGCAAGCCAGCAGCAAGTAGAAGTCTATAAAGTAAGGGTTTTACTTTTTAAGATTAAAAAAATGTTTTTTCATGTAGAAGTGAGGTACCATTTAGAGATTTTATTGATTATCCTATAACGATATCTAGAAAGATTCCTCAACATTTTGAGGAAGTTACAACAATAAATCAAGTCTGGCATATAACTGGAGTATATTATTTGGCTCAAGCTAGATTATTTTCATGTATTTGGAAATTCATAATATACTATAGAATAGTGCAAAATAAAATAAGCCTGCATCTGAACTAAATGCTATTGCAGTTACAAGGAACAGTTTATAAAATGATTTTATATGTTTGCTATATTTGTGTATATTTTTATATATATAATGTCTTGAAGTATTTAAACATTGTATGTTAAATATGTAGTCTGGGATTTTCTTTTTTTTGAATTGATGTTGGTTTAAGAAAAGATAACTTAGAAAATGTTCTACTTGTCTCTGCTTTTTCAATAATAATACATAAAAATATTTCACTACTTAATTATGCCTTATATGTACTTATGTCTCAAACCTAAAGTTTGTATTTTAAGGAAAACCTCTTTAACTAGTGAAGATAGGATTTGCTAAAGCTAAATTTAAAGATTTACCCCCAGATACAGCTGGCTGAAATAACATCAGAGAAGCACAAAATCCACGAGCACCTGAAAACCTCTGCGGAACAGCACCAGCGTACGCTAAGTGCATACCAGCAGAGAGTGACAGCACTACAGGAAGAGTGCCGTGCTGCCAAGGTGCGTTCTTCAGGGCAGCCACAGCAAGCCACTGGGATTTTATTATCAGCTAGTCATTGGTTTACTCCAGGGCTGTGCTCTGCCTTTTTAGTATTTTCCTGTTAAGAGCACTTACTAGATTAAGACCTGTTCAGTTAATCTGGCTTTAACCCCAATCCCATGCCAACCCTAATCGTAAGTTGGATCACTTTTTTTGCCAAAAGGAAAAACATGATGTTTTTTCCATTTCAACCTTGTTTTGCAATTTATGTGTCACTTATTTATAAAACTTTTTTTATTAGAAACGTGTTACAGTTCTTAGGGCTAAATGATTATAAAATAACATTTTAATAGCATGGCTGTGGGGGCCTACTTTCTTGTCATCATCCAAAACAGAGACAGTGCAGTGGTTGTGTTAGATGCAGGTCTTATTTAAGCAATCCTGGCAACACTGTTGTGGGAGTTTACAGATCACTTCAAGAAAGTGGAAGACCTAGAACTTAACACTTAACCACCCTGTTTTGAAAACTGAAGTTCAAATAACTTAATTTCTGAGTTAATTTTTCTCAAATTTATAAAAAGAGGGGATATCATAAGAGAAAATGTTTATTAAGTTCCAAAAGCACATAGTGTCACTATAAAATGTATGGTTAGTAAATTAATCTACCAGGGTAGAAGACATGGTAGAAACAGATCTCTTATCAGAAAATATGTATTATTGAGAGGCCTTTAAAAAGTGTAAGGCCTCCCAACATGAAGACCTGATAAATGTTGGAGGCAATGGATATCCTAATTACCCTGATTTGCTTATTAGACATTGTATGCATCCATCAAAATATCACATGCACCCCATAAATATGTACAATTATGTATCAATTAAAAAGAAAATTTTTTAAGTGTAAAGCCAACAGAAGTATGCTTTTTAGCAAGGTTAATCAAGAAACCAAAAAGAATGTCAGCCATTTTTCTCATTTTCAAAAACAGGTTTTTATCTCAATTTGTTAATCTCTGAAAGAAAATAGAAGGACCCTGTTACAGTAGAAAAACGTTTCTCTCTTTTAAATGTTATAGGCAGAACAAGCTACTGTAACCTCTGAATTCGAGAGCTACAAAGTCCGAGTTCATAATGTTCTAAAACAACAGAAAAATAAATCTATGTCTCAGGCTGAAACTGAGGGCGCTAAACAAGAAAGGTAAAGTCTGAATTAAATATGCAGAGTTTTCCTCCCACAATGCAGGTTCTTCACCAAGTAGATTGAAAATCCTATTATGATTTTTTTTTTTTTTTTTTTTTTTGAGACAGACTTTCGCTCTTGTTGCCCAGGCTGGAGTGCAGTGGTGCAATCTCAGCTCACTGCCACTTCGCTTCCCGGGTTCAAGGGATTCTCCTGCTTCAACCTCCTGAGTAGCTGGGATTACAGGCGTGTACCATCATACCCAGCTAATTTTTGTATTTTTTATTAGAGACGGGGTTTCACCATGTTGGCCAGGCTGGTCTCAAACTCCTGACCTCAGATGATCCACCCGCCTCAGCCTCTCAGAGTGCTGGGATTACAGACGTGAGCCACAGCACCCGGCCTAAAATTCTATTATGATTTTTAACTGTGAAATTATGTATATTGTTACCAAAGAGAACAGAATTTCTTGGCTTCACTGTGTCTGCAGACAGTAACAGGGAAACTTCATTACAAAGAACACTGTTGCAACCTCTAAAATTAGATGTTAAAGTGCACAGTGAAGCCAGGATATGAGATAATAGGCTAACAGTTCAATCTTAATAAGATCTTGTCGTGGTAGAAATACAGGCATTAAAATTACATTATGATTTGTTTTTCCAATTTTGAAAATTTAGAAGTAAAAATTAAAATGCTAAGCATACTTATTTGCCATTAATTTAGCTAAACAGAAGTTGCTTTAAAATGTTTCACTTATTTCAAAAATTTTAAATTTAGTACTGAATTTTGGTCTAGAATTAAACTTTTCTTATTTATGACCATTTCAGTTCTATTTGAATGGTATATTGTTTATGCTGCTTTAAAACTAGCATACAGATCCTGTTTGTACTGGGAGTAAGAGAGAGAGAGGGCATTCCATGGCATCTGTGTTGAGCAGTTCAGTATTCAAAGCAGTTTTACATCTGGCTCTTACTGTTCTAAACAAGACTAATTATTCTGAAATTTTTGTATGTTTATGTTTCTGTTACTTTCATTTAGGAATCTATTAAATATAGAGACTGTAGATTGAAACATGGTATTTTCTTTCCAGTAGCTCATTATATAAAGGGGAAATTAGATACTGATACATTTCAAAAATATAAATGTCACCATTTTCAAGAGCCATTTTTGACCATGCCTAAATTTTGAGTTCACATTACATGAATGTAAATGTTTTGTGTTCCTTCTACTTTCTTATAATATAAATACGTTTTTTAAAAAAAGAAACTAATAGTGTATTGTACTCATTGTGGCAGAATCAGGATTTTAACTATCTCCACCTAGTGTTTTTTCCAAGTCTAAAAAGACCTGCTCTTCTTCAGGGATTATCTTTCACTGTAACTTGGTCTGACATACCATTCTTATAACAACAATTTAAGAACTGTGTGAGTGCGCCAGGCATGGCGGTTCACACCTGTAATCCCAGCACTTTGGGAGTCCAAGGCTGGCGGATCACCTGAGGTCAGGAGATCAAGACCAACCTGACCAACATGGTGAAACACTGTCTCTACTAAAAATAAAAAATTAGCTGAGCGTGGTGGTGGGTGCCTGTAGTCCTAGCTACTTGGGAGGCTGAGGCAGGAGGATCACTTGAACCTGGGAGGCGGAAGCTGCAGTGAGCCAAGATTGCGCCACTGCACTCCAGCCTGGGCAACAGAGCCAGACTCCATCTCAAAAAAAAAAAAATAGTGTGAGGTTTTTTTCTTTAACTGACATAGTCCTGTAACATAAATAGGCTATTTTGATGCCCCTTTTTGAATATGAAATTCTAAATTTTAGAGAAATTTTTTGTAAATCTGTAGTGCCTAAGATTTTAAATCTGGCTATAATATCTTTTTATTATGTTTAATCCTAGTCTTGAATTCTTCTATTATATTTCCTTTAGAATCATCCAAGAGTATGGCATTGAAAGGTTAAATGGTTAAACTATATTTAAAACCACAAAATCAAATTCACCTTTTTCAAAAAATTTTAAAACTGTGTATTTCTGTTTTAGGGAACATCTGGAAATGCTGATTGACCAGCTAAAAATCAAATTACAAGATAGCCAAAATAACTTACAGATTAATGTATCTGAACTTCAAACATTGCAGTCTGAACATGATACACTGCTAGAAAGGCACAACAAGATGCTGCAGGAAACTGTGTCCAAAGAGGCGGAACTCCGGGAAAAGTAAGACTGTTAGCAGCACTAACGCTGTACCAGACAGCAATGTATTTCTTTGTTGAAACTTCTAATATGTTGATCCTTGAGATAAATGCAGATTAGAAAATAAAAAATAGACATTTCTAAAGGCTTGGAAACTTTGCTTTATCTACCTTAGAGCTTCGCCTTTTACATTGCTTTTGTATTTTGCATTTTTAAGAACAATTAATGTCTATCTGCTCATCCAGTATTCTGTGTCTCCTACAGCCTTCTTGGCTAGGATGTTTCTCTAAAAAAACAAACAAAAACATACTACTTTCCAACCCAAGTATCAAATCATAAGCATTTTTTTTTCTAGAAGAAAACACCCAAATAGTTGCTAACTGAAAAAGAATATGCAAGTTATCTTTGCAATTCTGTCTTCAATTTGTCATATTTTGTTCACTGTAATACTTTAAATAGACATTAGAAGTATTGGCAAAATAAATAGATTATTGTGAACAAGAAGTTTTCAACTCCTGTGATAAAGAAATTGGGTAGTAGGAGTATTAGGCTGAGGAAAAGAATTCTTCATTGAGCATCTTTTATCAAGGGTGTTGATAATTTTATCACAGATTTGCTTATATAATATATACCTAATCTTATGCTAATCTGAAAAATGAAAGCAGGTTTAGCTTTTTGTGGCTTCTGTCTGTTAACAGTGTAATTTGCATGTTAATCATGTAAACCAAAAGTTTCAGGGAAGATGTACCAGTTTTCTAACTGCCTATCACCAGGGTTTACCATGAGATTATCTTATATATAGTGATGTTTGCTTGATATTCTCCAACACTTATTCTTTTGGAAAGTTATTGCAAATTACATTGCTAACACAAATAAAGTACTGTTGATTCCTCTAAAGTAATTCAGTCTTTCAGTAAGTGTTTTTTGAGCACCTACTATGTGCCAGTCACTTTTCATAGCATTTTGAGGTATCTTTAGGAGTCTTTCCTCTTCTTCAGAAATATTAAAAACTAATGGTATTGTTACTGTCTGCCCAAGTATGAAGAAATAGCCTTCTCTTTATGTAGTCTCCACTTTTAAAAAATGTTTTAATATTCATACTTTATCTATAGCAGATTGTGAAAATGGTTCCAGAGGAATGTGATAATTAGGCTAATTAATATCTGTATTACGCAGAGACTACAGTTAATATAAACACCTCTGTAACAACTGAGACAGAACAGTGAACTTCCATCAGCACAATCATTCTGATTCCAGATGGGGGGTTTAAGCGTTTAGCTTTCAAATTGGTAAATTCATAAATGTCAGTGATACTGCCTGAGAATAGACACTTTACCCACCTCTAATTTTTATCCTGCTTAGACTATTTTTGTAACCTCCGATGGTTCTTCCTTTGCTTTCTGGGTAGATATTGTTTGAAAAAAATGCTTGCAGAGAAATTTGTATACACTAGTATTTTCTAGATTCATTAATCAGTATGAACTTAGTAATTAAGATTTCTTTTCTGAAACATGGTATTTTATTGCATTTCTCCTTTCAGCCACTAAACCCTGTTTGAAACCTTGTATGGTGCGCATGTGTGTAGCAGGTAGAAAAAATATCTTGGAAAAGTACAGACTAAACTGTTAACAACGTTTATCTACCTGTGGAATTGGGATTTTATCCTGCCAGGCATGAGAGTAATTAATAAGGGGCTTTTACTTTTTTCTCTGACGGCTTTTGTATTTTTTAAATTTTTATGAGAGAATTCTGTGGATCCCCTGTATAAAAGGAAATTTATTTATTTATTTATTTATTTTTTTTACCAAAGCCAAACATATAAAACATGAAAACTACAGGTAAACCATTAAAAGTGATGGTTCCCAAATTGTAGGCCCACTGGTTAGTTTCAGGCTGAGTACATAAAAATCACATTGAAAACTACTAAAAGTAGGAAATTCCTGGAACCACTACTGAGATCCTGATTCAGTGGGTGTAACATGAAAATTAGAGGTCTCTATTTTCAACAAGGTATTCCAGTGATTCTCATGTGCAGTGAGATTTGAAACAGCTATAGTAAACCAAGTCTGTGTTTGTTGTGGTTTATGTTAATCAACTCAAAAATGGATACTTTCCTCTAAAGTTTTCTGAGTAAATCAGAAGAGTGTGGGGTTTTTTTTTTTTTTAATGTTTTCAGGGTAGTAGATAAAAGGGAGATTAATCTTACATTCATGTGAGTTACCACATATGATGATGTGAAGAAGTGGACTAATTAAAAGTATAATTATTTTATGCTTTAAATATAATCCTATTTTCTGATGAACCATGAAAGAAGTTCCTAGTCTGGACAACACAACACAGTTTCTTAACTGGGGTTCTTCATCTGAAATGTGTAACACAGATTATTTGAACTAGATGACAGCCAGTGTCAGTTCTCATCAAGTTATTTCACAATGAGTACAGTGCAGGTATGTAGGAGAGAAGTTGATTCATACATTCAGTAGAGGTCTTAGAGCTAATTCTCTTGCAGAACCCAGTTGAGAAAGGCTAAGTCAGCATATAAAGTTGAAAGATCTTCTGTAACTAAGTTTCTCATCTTTCAGATTGTGTTCAATACAGTCAGAGAACATGATGATGAAATCTGAACATACACAGACTGTGAGTCAGCTAACATCCCAGAACGAGGTCCTTCGAAATAGCTTCCGAGATCAAGTGCGACATTTGCAGGAAGAACACAGAAAGACAGTGGAGACATTACAGCAGCAGCTCTCCAAGATGGAAGCACAGCTCTTCCAGCTTAAGAATGAACCGACCACAAGAAGTATGTATGTACACATGGAAATATTAGTTGTTCATGTTTTCATGCATTTGTCTCTTAAATACATTCTTCACAAATTCATAAGAAAGAAAATTTACTAGGTGTCACCAGTGTCAAATCTGTGATTAATGAATTTTGGATTTGCTTACTAGAAAGATAATTGAACCATCTGAATCCTTCCCTCTTCATTATACTTACAGAAGTCTGTATAACCTCTGAGAATGCTGACTTTGATGTATTCCTTACCCTCAATGGAAAGGAGTATTTCTTTTTCTCTGACTTAAACATCCTCTGTCAGTCTCGTGACATGTCTTTTTTTTGAGACGGAGTCTCGCTGTGTCGCCCAGGCTGGAGTGCAGTGGCGCGATCTCGGCTCACTGCAAGCTCCACCTCCCGAGTTCAGGCCATTTTCCTGCCTCAGCCTTCCGAGCAGCTGGGACTACAGGTGCCTGCCACCAGGCCGGCTAATTTTTTGTATTTTTAGTAGAGACGCAGTTTCACCGTGTTAGCCAGGATAGTCTCGATCTCCTGACCTCGTGATCCACCCGCCTCGGCCTCCCAAAATGCTGGGATTACAGGCATGAGCCACTGCGCCTGGCCGACACATGTCTTAATTCTAGTATTCACCAGATTTCTTTCATGTTCTCCGTTGTTAGACATCAAATTTGTCTACTTTTTAAATAGAAACATTAGATAGAGCAAGGAACTTAGAAACACTCAAGCGGCACTGAATGTGTTAGAACTGCATAACCAATATAGCTTCTTTGCTTTCACATTTACAATTAGTTGGAGTTTTAGTTCAGCCACACCCAGTATCTTCCATTCTGCTTCCAGGAAGACATGGAAAAATGTCAGCCATGATGATGCAGTATTTTAGTAGCAAGTTGATGGTGTTTTGGTTTCCCATGGGAAATATTGTCACTGGAGCATTAGCCGCTATCGGTCACTTATTAGGGTAAAAAAGCAACTTCAGAAGAATTTAACATATGCCAAAGAATCAACAAAGGAAGTAATCAGCCAGGGCAAAGGTCGCACAAGAGATTGTAATCTAGCAATCAGCAGTGGAATAAGCAGTCAGCTTACCAGAAACCCAGGAAAAAGCTTCAAAAAGGGCAGTCAGGACTAAGGCAACTTAATGAAATGCAAAATAAATGAAATCTGAAGTTTAAAAATCTAGATTACAATTCTGGTTTCTAACTCAGTTATGAGACCTTGGGCAAAGTCATTAAATTTCTCTGAACTTCAGATTTTTGGGAGTCAATAAACCAATACATGTCAAAGGGCCTGGTAAACTTTACAGTTTAGACCAGGCGTGGTGTCTCACCCCTGCAATCTCAGCACTTTGGGAGCCAAGGCAGGTGGATCACATGAGGCCAGGAGTTTGAGACCAGTCTGAACAACATGGTGAAATCCCATCTCTATTAAAAGTACAAAAATTATCTGGGTGGGATAGCATGCACCTGGAAGTCCCAGCTACTTGTGGGGCTGAGGTGGGAGGATGGCCTGAGCCTGGGAGGCAGAGGTTGCTGTGAGCCAAGATCGTGCCACTACACTCCAACCTGTGTGACAGAGTGAGACCCTGTCTCAGAAAAAAAAAAAACACTATACAGTTTATCAGCAAACAGGAAAGTCTTGCTAGACAATGTAATTGATTAGTTCCGTGCCCTGGATTCTGGGCTCTTACTGTATGAGCACTGTAGGTGTGAGCAGCAACAATTAAGAAGCTGCAGAGGTAAAGGTATAAGGGCAGTGATTGAGGATGTCTGCCAAGCAGATTTCAACAAGTGTGTTTCAAGAAGTATGCAGCAATCTGAAATACCTAATCCTGAAAAATTGCTAGAATCTAGTCTTTTAATTTTGGCCAGTATTTAGCAGTAGTTTGGCCCTCTACTCTAAATTAATAAAAAATAAGTAGTACTATATTATGAGCTGTGTTATCTAACAGTTTATCTTAGCTAGTAGCAATTAATTTATAGCTTCTATTAAAATGAGTAACGTATTTAAAAGTTTGATTACTAAGTTTTTGTTTGTTTGTTTTGTTTTTGAGCTGGAGTCTCACTCTGTCGCCAGGCTGGAGTGCAGTGGTGTGATCTTGGCTCACTGCAACCTCCGCCTCCTGGTTTCCAGCAATTCTCTGCCTCAGCCTCCCCAGCAGCTGGGATTACAGGCACCTGCCACCGTGCCTGGCTGATTTTTGTATTTTTAGTAGAGATAGGGTTTCACCATCTTGGCCAGGCTGGTCTTGAACTTGCTGACCTCGTGATCCACCCACCTTAGCCTCCCAAACTGCTAGGATTACAGATTTGAGCCACCACGCCCAGCTTTGATGACTAAATTTTAAGAAATGCTTTAGCAATTCTTCATACACCTTTCACTTATCTTATAGTTACTTAATTCCTCTACTCTTATCATTTGATATTTTCATTTTATTGTGTATCTCTGTAAGGCCAAATCAATAGATTTTGAACAATCTCACACTTAACCTTTTAAAAAAATCTAATAGGCCCAGTTTCCTCTCAACAATCTTTGAAGAACCTTCGAGAAAGGAGAAACACAGACCTCCCGCTTCTAGACATGCACACTGTAACCCGGGAAGAGGGAGAAGGCATGGAGACAACTGATACGGAGTCTGTGTCTTCCGCCAGCACATACACACAGTCTTTAGAGCAGCTGCTTAACTCTCCCGAAACTAAACTTGGTATGTTACTCTGTCTAAATATGTTTTTCTTATTTAATTTCACTGTCTTATTTAATTACTATTACTCTAAGTTACATATGCTTTTTTGGGCTGCTCCAATAAAATTTCTTTCAATATTCCACTACCTGTTTGTATTAGGGTTCTCTAGAGGGACAGAACTAATTGGATGGTTGGATGGATGGATGGGATGGATGGATGGATGCTTATTAAGTATTACCTTACACGATCACTAGGCCATCTGCAGGCTGAGGAGCAGTGAGAGCCAGTCCAAGTTCCAAAACTGAAGAACTAGGAGTGTGATGTTCAAGGGCAGGAAGCATCCAGCACAGGAGAAAGATGTAGGTTGGGAGGCTAGGCCAGTCTCGCCTTTTCAGGTTTTTCTGCCTGCTTTATATTCGCTGGTAGCTGATTAGATGGTACCTACCAGATAAAGGGTGGGTCTGCCTTCCCCAGCCCACTGACTCAAATGTTAATCCCTTTGGCAACACCCTCACAGACAACACTCAGGATTAATACTTTGCATCCTTTAATCCAATCAGCTTGACACCTAGTATTAACCATCACATTGTCCAAATGGAAAAATTATTAAACAAATCTTTTTTAAAATAAAATGCTAGCTCTTGCCCTAGGCTTGAACCATAAATAAGTGGTGGGAAGTTTATAGTCACAAATAGGTGGTGGGTATTAGAAAGCAGGATGAACTATCCTCTCACGCTTCCAAGAAACTGACAGTTTCAGTTTATTCCTCTTGATGAAGTAATGCTAAATTTTTGTAGTGATGTTTTGGTATATTTTATTACCTGTAATTAATATTACTGTTCAAAATTTAGGGGGAATCTGTCATCTCCCTGAAACTTCAGAATCACCTGGAGTAAGGGTCATTTGTATTCATGGTCACTGACCACGTGGGGTAGAAACTGCAAGTCATGGTTCCTTCAGGCAAAGTTAATAGTGGTGACATGGAGGCATCATGATAGAGCAGCAGACTCCAGAAGCCAATTTGACTTTGTGATTTCTGCAAAAATTACCTGTCAACTGTGAGCCTGTTTCATCGTCTGTAAAGTTTGAATAATGATACCTACCCCGCCTGATAGAAGATTCTTATGAGGGAACATGATACGTGACCAGTAAATGTTAATGCTTTCCTTATACGTGAAATGACATAAAATCTTGGAATATTAATAGATAGGAAGAAGATGTGTAATAAAACTGTCTATAAACACAATTCTGACAAATTTCAGAACTGGGACTCATAGGGCTTGTATTCAGTTAGATGACATGCTTTACAACAGAGATACTGTTTTATTTGTGTCACCTACAACATATAATCTGTTGATTGAGGTATGCCGAATAGATGAATGGCAAAGAAAGCAGACCTATAAAATATCACATAGTAAGATATTTATATTTAGATTTTTCTTATTTAGAATCTTCATCTTTAATGTATGATTTTGAAAATTAATTCTTGGAACAACATGTTGCAGAGCCTCCATTATGGCATGCTGAATTTACCAAAGAAGAATTGGTTCAGAAGCTCAGTTCCACCACAAAAAGTGCAGATCACTTAAACGGCCTGCTTCGGGAAACAGAAGCAACCAATGCAATTCTTATGGAGCAAATTAAGGTGAGATCAGAAAACCTGGCCGCCGTGAAAACCGCCAGTTTGGTTTTCTTGACCCTCCATACACATGCACGATCTCAGCTCACTGCAAGCTCCACCTCCCAGGTTCACGCCATTCTCCTGCCTCAGCCTCCCGAGTAGCTGGGACTACAGGTGCCCGCCAACATGCCTGGCTAATTTCTTTGTAATTTTAGTAGAGACAGGGTTTACCATGTTAGCCAGGATGGTCTCGATCTCCTGACCTCGTGATCCGCCTGCCTTGGCCTCCCAAAGTGCTGGTATTACAGGCATGAGCCACTGCATCCAGCCAAAATACTTCTTTTACACCTATTACATAAAGATTATTTCTTAATTCCTACTTTTTCTAAGAAACCGTAATAGATTTAGAAACTAGAGAGATGTTCACAAATCATTGTTCACATATGCTTAAATAAAACTTAAATGGGTGTGAGTCGTTGAATTCTAAAGATAACCAGTGAATTTAAATTATTCAACTGATATTTATAGTACTGAACTACTAAACAGTTTTCAGGTGGAGATGGCAAAGTGGCATGGGAAGTTTTTCCTGTTTAAAGTAGACACCAGAAACATCTAGGAATGTTGCAGAACAGTTGAGGATTACTCAAATGAGGTATTTCCACCCTGGCTCACTGATAAATCACCCCTCAGAATATAGTCATACTGCTTATTGAGGAGTTCTTATGACCCAGGCCCTGGGCTCTACATACGTTATTTAATCTCATCACTGGTTGAGAGAAAAATTGAAGCTGGTAAATGGTGGAACAAAATTTAAACCCATAGCTGTCTGAAAAGTACATGCTTTTCCCCTGTACTTTGCTGCTCCTAATAGATCTGTCCTGCCACTGTGCAAGGCCACTAGCTATCCTTGTCAGATTATTTTAAAGCTGAATTCAGTTATTTTCAGTAAATTGTATATATCATGACATTCCACCATTAAATACTTCAGTATGCATCTCTATAAAATAACATTTTCTGACTAATAAAAACATTATCGTAGCTAACAAATCACTAACTAGCCCAGTAAACCTAAATGACTTATTTAAATGTTATATTTTCTTTTTTTTTTTTTTTTTTTTTTTTTTTTTTGAGATAGAGTCTCGCTCTGTCTCCAGGTTTGGAGTGCAGTGGTGCAATCTCAGCTCACTGCAATCTCCGCCTCCCAGGTTCAAGCGATTCCCCTGCCTCAGCCTCCCGAGTAGCTGGGACTGCAGGCACGCACCACCATGCCCGGCTAATTTTTTTTATTTTACTAGAGGCATGGTTTCACCATGTTGGCCAGGATGGTCTCAATCTCCTGACCTCGTGATCTGCCTGCCTCAGCCTCCCAAAGTGTTGGGATTACAGGCATGAGCCACCACGCCTGGCCAAATGTTATATTTTCATAAATTTATACTCTCTTCATGATTTCTTAGTCTTCTTTATTGTCACTTTTTTAAATGGTCCTAGGTTTGAGGACAAAGTTCGCTAACTTTCTTGCCTAACCTAAAATGAAAATATACTAAAAGCTATGGCTTGGTTTCAACCTGGAAATCTTCCTCAAAGACTTGAACATCCTATTACCTTTTTTATATCATTCTTTGCCTCATTTTTCTGATAGTGTTTTACATTATCTTATATTCCTGAATTTTCACTGTGTCTGAACTTTTGTTTTGATTAAGTGCCGTTCACTGTGGACGTCTTAACTGCCTGGGACTTCAGGAACAGGGTAGGGGCAGGGGGTTAGTGGAGGCTGCCGATGTTCCCCTCAGCCCATTTTCAGAGCCCCATGCCATACTGGCTTAGTTTCTATCGAAAGTAGAAGGCAGAGGGAACATCTTGGTACCAACCCATGGCTCCAGTTAGTTGCTCCTCATGGAGACGTTCCATCAGTTCCCCAGCTTTCAACTCCATTTCCATGATACCCTGTGCTTCTGAGACAAGAACCCCAGTATTTACACAGGATGCATCCTCTCCTCGTCAGTGATACTTGGTAAGCTGCTGGACTGACTCATTTCCACCTCTTCATCTGTTTCTCGTGAGAATTTCTTGATGTGTCTCATCTACTTTTTCTCCTCTTGTATTAGCTTCTTGCCTTTCTACTTCACCCCTCTTCCTTCCAACCCCAAATAGCTTAGGACAGTGGAGTTATATAGCCCAACACTTGGTTCATACGCAGCAATCCACTTTCTAGGCAAATGCAGCTTTGAAACTATCTCATAGTTGGAGTTCCGGTTTTCATGTCAAATGGATTTTATACGGTGATGTCATAAACTCCTTTGAAATGCTTCACATGCAGCTGCTGTAGTTAACTGAATTCCTTCCTTTATTGCCATATGGAGGGAAGGGGGAAATTTGGGGGGAAGAGAAGAAAAATACATGAGTTCAGTCTGCCATATTTAATCAGAAGCTCCTAAAGCCCATTTTTAACTCATTTCTCTAACACCAGCTTCTCAAAAGTGAAATAAGAAGATTGGAAAGGAATCAAGAGCGAGAGAAGTCTGCAGCTAACCTGGAATACTTGAAGAACGTCTTGCTGCAGTTCATTTTCTTGAAACCAGGTAGTGAAAGAGAGAGACTTCTTCCTGTTATAAATACGATGTTGCAGCTCAGCCCTGAAGAAAAGGGAAAACTTGCTGCGGTTGCTCAAGGTGGGTAAAAGGAGAGTCTCAGAACTTCTGACTTCTAACTTAAACTAAACAGCCTGGTGGTTGAGAAGTTGTCTGTATGTGTAACTTTTCAATTTTGCTCATTTGAATTGGGTCTGTCATATGAGTAGGCCGTGACTAGATTTGAAAAGCTGACTTTTTAACATCTTGAGGCAACTGTAGTACATTTATATAATTTTAACGTTCAGCAAAATACAGTAAGTGCTTAGCTTGATCTTCTAGCTCTTTGAAAA
This sequence comes from Homo sapiens, assembly GCF_000001405.40. Lineage (NCBI taxonomy): Eukaryota > Metazoa > Chordata > Mammalia > Primates > Hominidae > Homo > Homo sapiens. The sequence goes on from NC_000002.12 coordinate 108,500,006, forward strand.
TTGGATTTTTATCCTGGTGTTGCGTTCTGGTGTTCAGCTGAACGTGGTTTTGTTTTAAATTCTACTTTTTAAAAAACATTTATTAGCTTGTTCCTTTTCTACTTCACGCCTCTTCCTTCCTCCAACCCCAAATAGCCTAAGACAATGCAGTCATATATAGCCCAACACTTGGTCTATATACAGCAGTCCACTTTCTAGGCAAATGCAGTTTTAAAACTGTGCCATAGGCCAGGTGCCGGTGGTTCACGCCTATAATCCCACCACTTTGGGAGGCCGAGGCAGGCGGATCACAAGATCAAGATACCGAGACCATCCTGGCCAACATGGTGAAATCTCGTCTCTACTAAAAATACAAAAATTAGCTGGACGTGGTGGCATGCGCCTATAGTCCCAGCTACTCAGGAGATTGAGGCAGGAGAATTGCTCAAATCCAGGAGGCAGAGGTTGCAGTGAGCTGTCACGCCACTGTACTCCAGCCTGACGGCAGAGCGAGACTCCATCTCAAACAAAAAACATCAACAACAAAAAAAAACTATGATGTAGTTAGAGTTGGTTTCCATGTCAGATGGATTTAATACTGTGATGTCATTAACTTCTTTGAAATGCTTCATATACAACTGCTATAGTTAACTGAATTCAAGCTGCATCTTAAGAATTATGGTTTCATGTTTGTTTTAGTTTTAAATTACTTTTATTTTTGACATTTACAAGCATACAAGGAAGACACTATAATCTCTCTTGCGTTGTCACCCATCTCTAAGTTTTCAACTCATGGACAATCTTTTGGCGTAAATAGGGGAGAGTTAGAGACTTAAATCCCACACATCATTTCTTTCCCCAGTGAATAATTCAATGTTTATTGGATTTCTCTGTCACCTATACCTAGTTTATGTTCATTTTGCCTGTGTTATTGTGAATGTCTTTTTATAGTATCCTAAATAGGGCTCATATATTGCATTTGGTTGATGTTCCTTAAGCTTTATTTTGTTGTCGTGTTTTTGTTTGTTTGAGACATAGTGTTGCTCTGTCACCCTGGCTGGAGTGCAGTGGTCCGATCATGGCTCACTGCAACCTCCGCCTCCCAGATTCAAGCGATTCTCCTGCCTCAGCCTCCCCAGCAGCTGGGACTACAGATGCACGCCAGCTAATTTTTCTATTTTTAGTAGAGACGAGGTTTCACCATGTTGGCCAGGATGGTCTCAATCTCCTGACCTTGTGATCTGCCCGCCTTGGCCTCCCAAAGTGCTGGGATTACAGGTGTGAGCCACCACGCCCAGCCATTTTGTTGTTTTTTTATCTATAACAATTATATATATAAATATATTTTTAATGTGCCACTTATTGAAGAAAGTGGTCATTTATGCTATAGCAGTCCTGTATTTGGGTTTTAATCATTACAGGGTAACACTGAACTTGTTCTAATTGCCTATAAATAGGAAGATCCAGGTGCAGTTGGGTGGGATGGTGGACAAAAACACATCATAGATGGTATTGTGTGCTTTCTAAGACATCAAGAGGCCCAGAATGTCCAGACATCTTACTTTTGCCTGATTGACCTTATCTAGTTGGTGTTCTTTAACATGTTCCCCATCCCCTGTAAACCCTAATAACTAAACTGATAAGAGTCATCCTCAAAATTGAGCAGGCATCTGAATCATCTGGTATACTTAGTAAAATTCCAATTGCTGGTCCCCAATTTCTGACCCAAGACTCTGCATTTTTAGCAATTTGTTGCTGATACTTCTGGTCTGGAGCCCATACCTTGAGAACCCCTGGTCTAGAGGCCTGATAAGATTCAGGCTTAATTTTTTTTACAGACATACTTCATAAGTAGTATTGATAGTTTCTTTGAATCTGGTTTTTTATAATCTTTCTAATGATGAAGGAGGAATGTTCTCAATACTGACAGTAATCTCAGTTCTTCAAACTATAGGATAGGTTTCTGTAGCCACAATAGTATTTTCGTCACAAGGGCCCAAATAAGAATACATCATGTGTATTTTTAGTAGTTATTCAAATTACAAATTCACTGTCTTTAATTTATTCTAACAAAAGTAAACCTAATTTTATGATTATAAAAAAGAAGAAATCTAGTTACCTAAGAGTAAAACTGCCCCTATAAAAAAACAAGACAGAAATCTCAAAATTATAACTAATTTTATAGTTATAAAATCAACCAGGACTTTAAGAACGTTTGCATTTTAAAATTAAAGTTTTCAATAGCTTTCAATACAACAATGATATTATCTCAAAATACTCAGCATGTCTAACAGGCCTCTTTTAAAAGCTCAGCATGTTTAATGTAGATGTTGCTAACGTCCAGGTGGCTCCTATAAGTTAAGGGTCCATTGATTTAGAAGTTCTAAAAGAGACTAACCTAAGGGATACCAAGAACAGATATTTTTAAAGAATTTCATAGAGGAGATACACATTAGAAACCCAGAACTCTAAGATGTGCATTTGCTAAGTCCTGTAAACAGACAGGAAAACACATTTAAATTAGTTTGCCCTTTAAAGATTATTTACTACTTGTCTCTTATCAATGTGAGTACATAAAAGAGACCTTATTACAATTAAAAACAATGATGGTTTAGCAGCAGATTTAGATACCTTACATTCTCTCTTAAAGAGAGAGAATGTAAGGCCTGGCACGGTGGCTCACACCTGTAATCCAGCACTTTGGGAGGCTGAGGAGGGTAGATCACCCAGGAGTTCTAGACCAGCCTGGCCAACATGGTGAAACCCCGTCTCTACTCAGAATACAAAAATTAGCCGGGCGTGGTGGCACATGCCTGTAATCCCAGCTACTTGGGAGGCTGAGGTAGGAGAATCGCTTGAACCCGGGAGGCAGAGGTTGCAGTGAGCTGAGATGGTGCCATTGCACTCCAGCCCGAGCAACAAGAGCAAAACCCTGTCTCAAAAAAAAAAAAAAAAGAATGTAAACTACAAGATAGTTCAAAAGAAATTACACAGAATTCAGCATGGGAGAAACAAAAAACAATAGTGGGAAAAGACATCAAACATGTTTTTACTAATTGAAGTTCTAAAAGGAGAGAAAAGAATACAGCACAGATAATATATGAAGAGAATGGCTGGAAATCTTTCAGAACTGTTGAAGGATATCCACAGATTCAAAAACCCAATAAAATCTCAAGCAGTATTAAAAAAAAAAGAAGAAATCTACTTCTAGTCACATAAGAGTAAAACTGCCCCTAAAAAAGACAGAGAGAAATCTCAAAAGCAGCCAGAGAAAGAAGACACATTGCCTCACAATAGACTTCTCAACAGCATTGGTGTAATACTATCTCATGTACTAAAAGAAATAACTGCCAACCTTTTATATTTTCCAAGATCTCTTCTGGAAAACAAAAACTTTAAGAATCTGCCTTCATTGAAAATTCTTAATGATGTACTTTAAGCAAAAAGAAAATTTCCTAGGTAAAAGGTCTAAGATGCAAGAAAGAAAGACATGCAAAGGAAACTTACCACCATATTACAGATATGGACTGTCAGTCTGACTGGTCACACTAGGGGCATTTTGTTACCAAGGCCTTGAAAATAATAACCAACACTGCATACATGAGGGATGCCAGAAGAAAGATCTGAGAGCCACTCTTCCTGGCACTGAAGGAAACAGGGCCCATCAGAGCAAACAAGTACCTTTTGCCTCTCTCATCTCCTTGGAGGCAAATGTTTATAATCTCTGGTTTTGTGTAAAGTTTATAACAGTATTTTTCATTCAGGTTGCTACCTATTAGTGGATGGTGAAATTAATTTGGTGGATCACATTCAGAATATTTTTTTAAAATCAAAAGAATACAAGCTGGGCTCAGTGACTCACACCTGTAAGCCCAACAGTTTGGGAAGACCAGGCAGGAGGATTGCTTGAGAACAGGAGTTCAGAATCAGCCTGGGCAACATGGCGAGACCCTATGTCTGCAAAAATTTTAAAATATCCCAGATCTGGTGGCATGTGTCCATAGTCCTAGCTACTCAGGAGGCTAAGGCAGCAGGATTGTTTGTTATAAGGAGTTCGAGGCTGCAGTCAAACTTCTGGTCGAAATCCTGGTCATGCCACTGCATTTCAGCCTGGACAACAGAGTAAAACCCCATCTTTAAAAAAAAATTAAGAAATAAAAATAATATGTCAAACATTAGAATATGTTGCATCTAGTAAGGGTAAGCAATTATTTCTTGAAACTCTACATATATACATGAGTGTTGGTAAATACCTGACTGTATCATCAGCTCTAGATATAAAATGTTTATGATGTTGGCTGTAAGTTAATGAGGAATAGTTTTCCTTTCTGTGGGTTTGGGTGTATTTGGGAAACATTAGCTTAGGGGGTAAAGTAGGTTACCCAACTCGGAAAAGCAACATCAAAGTCCTTATAATTAACACATATTAGGGGCCCAACTTAAATTTCAAGCAGATGTCATGAGCTGCTCAGAGTAGCGTGTTACAACTCTGCGTTATAAGGTAAAGTGACTTAGAGTGTAACAGTAGTCCCCAAACAATGTCAAATAGACACTGGTAAGTATAGATTGCTCCTCTCCTTGCATCACAAATGTTAATTCACCTTGCCCCCACACACATTAAAACTCAGCATATTTCACAAATTGAGTGTTTCATTTCTATTTCAGGTAGACTTATGGTAAGTCAGTTTTGCTCCCCAAATAAGTTAGCCATATAGTACTTCTATATGCAAAATTTGAATCTCAATTTTACTACTCAAGCAGGAAGTAAAAGTCATTTTTCTATATCTTCTTTGCTCCCAGACTGTGTTACAGTTTACAGATCTGAATATTGTCACTTGTACACCATACATACACAGAGGTCTAAAACTCTCTACAAGTAAATAAAGACGAAAAAAAAGCCCAGCAACCCAATAGGAAAATAGGCCAAGCCTGTTATAGGCTTTTTGATCATCTCCAGACTGGCAGGCAGAGAATGCATACTCACACTGTAAGTGCCTGATTTGATTTGCTGAGGATATAGAACCTTATCAGAAAACAACCTTCCAAGGCAAGAGCAAATGCATCCTATCTTAGCACAGCTTTTCTCCAATTCTTATTTACCTAAGGAGATGAATAGCTGCCAGGAACATTGTTTGCACAAGGGCAGGGGCCTGCCAGATCTGAGAACACAGCAAAATTTTTGTCAAAAATCTTATATTCAGCTTACACCATTCATTTCAGGGGAACATACAACAGTCTGCATTTCAGTTTAGGGAAATGTTTACAGTCGTCTGGTTCTCTTTATTCTTGGGAACAAGGTTACCTCACTTGAAATACATAACCAGTGCCAAGTTGTCCATCCCTAAGCAATATCGCTTCCTCCTACTTTCTAGAAGTTCTTCAGATTGTGGAAGACAGACTTCTCAGAATTCTTTGCCCTCATTCCCTCCTCCAGAAATTCATGCCTTTGTATAATCTCTTCCCCTTGAGAGCCAGTAGGCTAACCTAATGAGTTATTTTTAACCAGTAGAATACAGCAAAAATGATAGATTACAAGAGATTGTGGCTTCTATCTTGCTAGCGGACTCTCTGTCTTCTCTGCTTGCACACTTTGTTGAAGCAAGCTACCATCCCATAGGCAAGGAACACAGGCCATCAGTTTAGCGGCCTTGAGGAACTAAATTCTTCCAACTACCACATAAGTTTGGAAGTAGATTCTTCTCCAGTCCAGCCTTCAGATGAGACCCCAGCCATGCCAACATCTTGATTGCAGCCCTGTGAGAGTCCTTGAAATAGAACCATTTCTGATCTCCTGACCCACAGAAACTGTGAAATAAATATGTGTTAAGGTACTAACTTTGTAATTTGTTACGCAGCAGATTGTAAATAACACGCAGATAAAACCAGACAGAACAGAAAAATAAAATGGCTTTAACTCTAGAAAATTTCCCCATGTAAAATTTTGAAAATGCTACTCTGCCTAAGGTCAAACTGACATACATATATACGTATGAAAACACAGAAAGGTGTCTGGAAGGATAATACCAAATTAAATCTTTATCCAAGAGGAATGAAAACCAGTATTCACACAAAAACCTATGCACAAACCTTGTGAATATATTAAAAACCAGTGACTTATGCACTTTAAAAAGGTGAATTATGTGGTATATGAATTATATCTCCAAAACATTTAATTAAAAACCTGTACACAATTATTCATAGAAACTTTCTTTAAAATTGCTAAAAACGAGGAAGATCTCAGTTATCCTTCAACTGGCAAATGAATAAACTGGTACAGCCATGCAATTGAATACTGCTCAGCAATAAAAAAGAATGCACTGCCAGTACAGCAACATGGATAATTCTCAAATGCCTTATGCCAGTTGACAGAGGTCAGACTCAAAATACTATGTACAGTGTGATTCTACTTATATGACACTCTGAAAAAAGCAGAACTATAAGGACAGAAAACAGGTTAGCGGTTGCCAAGGAGTGGGAGAAGCAGCCAGGGAGAACTTTGAGGAGGTGAAAATGTGCCAGGCCTTGGTCGGTGGTGGTACGTAACTGTGCATTTGTCAAGACTCAGTGCTATATGCTGAAAAGGGCAGGTTTTACTATAAGTAAGTTGTACCTCAATAAACATGATTTTTAAATGATTAAAACTTTGGTTTTTGTTTGTTTTGGTTCAGTTTTAAGGTTTACCATAAATCTATTGGTTTTAGATTCTAAGTTGTATATAAGCTTCTGTTTTAAAAGAATTTTTTTTTAAATCCTCTTATCGTCAACAATACTTAGTTGTGCTGGAAATTTTATTTTGGTATTGTTTAATGGAGAAAGACAAATAATGTTCGAGAACAGACATTGATTCATAACATCAAAGTATATTGTGAGAAGATGGTATTTCAGAATAGAAGAAGAATTTCTTATGTGCTGGTAGGATTGTTTGTAAATAATCATTTCTGCATGATTTTCATAGCTGGATTTCTTTAATAAAGCCATTTAAAGGTTAAGTTCTAGATTGCTTCATGTTGCTTATCAATGTTTTAAAGCTAAAATAGAAAATTAGCTGTTAAGTTGGCTCAACCGGAAATTCAGTATATCCTTTAAAAAGAGAAATTTAGTAAGTAGTGTGTCTAAAGAATGACATATGGATGGGTACAGTGGCTCGTGACTGTAATCCCAACAATGTGAGGCTGAAGTGGGAGGATCACTTGAGCCCAGGAATTTGAGACCAGCCTGGAAAACAGTGAGACCCGCATCTCCACAAAAAAAACAAAAAATTACCCAGGCATGGTGGCACACACCTTGTGGTCCCAGTTGCTTGGGAGGCTGAGGTGGGAGAATCACTTGAGCCTGGGAGATCAAGGCTGCATTGAAGTCTCATCACGCCACTGCACTCCAGCCTGGGTGACAGAGCAAGACCCTGTCTCAAAAAAAAAGAACCCCCCCCCCCAAAAAAAAGGCATGTAATCAGTAAAAAACACATTATTTGCTTATATTGTAGAGTGATTCTAAAATATAGATTTTACATTGAGAAATTTTAATACTCTCTTTTTTCTTTTATTTTTCTTTTTTTTTTTGTTTTACTTTCCAAAGGTGAGGAAGAAAATGCTTCCCGTTCTTCTGGATGGGCATCCTATCTTCATAGTTGGTCTGGACTTCGATAGGTTGATGGAAGGAATATTTTTATTAACCAAATAGAATCTATTTACAAAAATGGTTCACGTATATTACCACAATTCTTTTGTCAAAAAGTGTGTATATATGTTTGCATCTACATATATTTGTACATCTATATGACAGATGTATTTTAAAAGTTTCATCTTGAAGTAAAAGTACAACAGCTTGAAGTGTTGATAGCAGGCCACAGCCCTCTAACTCATGTGATTTCCCATGCATGCTGCCAGAATAAAACCACCAGGAATGAATTCACTCCCCACTTCTCTGGAACCTCAGGACCCGCCCATTTCTCGGCAGTACTGTGAATTTTGAAGTTAAACTAAATTTTGGTACCATACCAACTGGAATTTAGGCTTTAAAAATAATGTTTCAAGGCCAGGTGTGGTGATTCATGCCTGAAATCCCACTACTTTGGGAGGCTGAGGCTGGAGAATTGCTTGAGGCTAGTGAGCTGTGACTCCCACTGCACTCCAGCTCGGGGAACAGAGCGAGACCTTGTCTCTAAAAATAATAGTAATAAAATAAAAATAACGTTTTATGACTATTTATTGCAAGGTCAGAGTTACAGATTGTTATAAATTGTTGAGAAATTTTTGTGATTAGAATATGAAGGAAAAAGCTTTGTTGGTAAAAGTGACATGTTAAGGGGCTATGAAGTAAATATGCTGCAGTTAATTATGCTAAGTTAAAATACAGTTTAGTTATTTGCTTTAAAATAAACTCTTCTTTTTTTCTTTAAAGTATACTATCTCAAAACTCATTATGTTGTCAGAGCCCTAGAGCTGGCTAGTGTAACACTGACTATGAGTAGGTGGGCCCACACTTGAGTTGAGGTGATTTCATGGTGTCTTTCCAGGCTCTTGATAGGGTGTCACTGCATGCAAGCCATGAATCTGTTTTGAGAATCCTCTCCATTTTCCCAAATAAAAACCTATCACAACAGTGACTATATCACTCAGCATTGGATCTAAATATAAAAGTGGTGCTTTCAGTGTTTTTGGCAGATAGTGTTCCATAAGCTTTCCATCAGAAGGGATTTTAGACACCTTAGAGGTCCGTGCTACATCGTCACAGTTCCTCCGAATAACCTTAGGTGGTAGTGTTACTTGCCTTTGACACCTCTGCATATGTTTTAATGACTAGATCCAAACTGTGTTGTTCTTAAATCAAAAATTGGATAATTTGTAATATTTATGTGTTAATCACACAGTATGCTCTCTGAAGTTCTCTTAAGCCTTCAGTTTATACTCTTAATTTAATTTTCTTTCTGAGCTGGAGAACTGGCTTTGCACTTTGGTTACACAGAACATTGGTTTCCAATTCAGTTTAACTGAAATTTGCTGCTGATATGTTGAGTTTGTTCTTTAAAAAATAGCTCATATATCTCATCTTTCCTCCTGTCTTAGAAGAACAGACCTAACTAGTGAATGTATTAATGAAAATGCATCTATTTCAGAGCTGACATGAAGAGTTTAGTTTTTTTACTTTATAAACTGTGAATATGAGTATGCCAGCTGCATACGATGTAACTAATCATATTTAAATATATTTCACTTTCTCTTTGACTTTAGACCTTTTGAAGTCTGTATAAACTTGTTTTGAAATATAGTCTCTGCTTACGAATGTCATAACAAAATAATTTTTTGCATGATAAAAAATTACTTTGATTACAAAAGGCATATTCTTTCATGGTTTCTGCAATGAGAGGAAGTGTAATGATTATTTTAATATTTCTATTAAATATGTTTAACTGTATATTTTTATGGCTGCTCTTTTATGTTACACACTGTCTCTTTGGGGTTGTTAATTGGTTTCTGAAAGGGAACTTCAAACTCCTTTACTACTGGCCTTACACGATTGGTCCCTATTAGGTTGTCGAGAGAACATCGACCAACTCTTTGATACCCACCAGGTAGACCGTAGTACCTGCCATGTCTGACACCCTGCATCCAGCTAAAACTAGAAACAGCACTGGGCCTCCCTGTAGACAAGACATTGATTTGACCAGAAGCAGATGTCTGGCTAAGGCTGCCAACCAAAGGGTGGCCTTAGATGAAGGGCTTTGTTCAGTTAGGGGCAGAGGTCATTAATTTTTTTTTTTTTTTTTTTTTGAGACAGAGTCTTGCTCTGTCGCCCAGGCTGGAGTGCAATGGCGCGATCTCGGCTCACTGCAAGCTCTGCCTCCCGGGTTCACGCCATTCTCCTGCCTCAGCCTCCTAAGTAGCTGGGACTACAGGCGCCCGCCACCATGCCCGGCTAATTTTTTGTATTTTTAGTAGAGACGGGGTTTCACCGTGTTAGCCAGGATGGTCTCGATCTCCTGGAGGTAATTAATTTCTTTGGATGTTTGGACTAGGATATGGGGAGAGACAGAGCAGAAAGAGAAACACAGATGCCACAAGAAGGAGGAACAGAGCTAACCCTGCATAGGACTGGACACAGCAGCCAGACCAAGAGAGGCATCTAGTGAGAAGCAGCTCTTCAGCCCTGGGCCTGGTGCACACATCACTCCTTGGTTTCTAAGAACCAAATTTGGCCCAGCACAGTGCCTCATGCCTGTAATCCCAGCACCTTGGGAGGCCAAAGCGGGTAGATCATGAGGTCAAGAGATCAAGACCATCCTGGCCAACATGGTGAAACCCCATCTCTACTAAAAACACACAAAAAATCAGCTGGGCATAGTGGTGTGCACCTGTAGTCCCAGCTACTTGGGAGGCTGAGGCAGGAGAATCACTTGAACCCGGGAGGCAGAGTCCAGTGAGCCAAGATCACACTACTGCACTCCAGCCCGGTGACAGAGTGAGACTCCGTCAAAAAAAAGCCAAATTCATACAGTCCCTGAGGAGTGGGAACTGATGCACATCTCTTGTATACAATAAGCTATGCTTGTGCTCTGAACGGTGTAAGATTGAGAATTGTATTCCTTTAAAGAAAGTTCGGCAGAACTGTAACTGAATTACTAACAAGGCACTGAGAAGGCATACCATACTTTGTATTCTTTTTAAAGTCCCTGTTAGGTGGTGGTGTAGCTGGAAGTGTATAGTATTGAGGATGTAAAGTTTCCCCTAAAAAATTTTTGGTATTTGGCGAATGGCATAACACATCAAAAAATTGGTTGTATCATATGATTAAATTGCAACGTGATGATTTCAACTTGGTGGAAGACTTCTGCTTCGTCTTGGTATCTGAAAATCCCCTTTGCTTCAAACTTAATACACACCAAGGAGAACAACCTGATACAAGTTTGCAAGTGTCTTTGAGCTAATGGTTTTTCGTGGGTATTAAAAAGCATTGGGTTATTTATGTATAATTACGTAGAAAGAAAATGTTCCATTCAAGATACGGTTACACGAAAAGGCATCTAGTTGGGACCTTCAAATTATTACTTATATACCTACAGAAAATTCCTATAAATAGGCCGGGCGCGATGGCTCACACCTGTCATCCCGGCACTTAGGGAGGCCAGGGTGGGCAGATCACCTGAGGTCAGGAGTCCAAGACCAGCCTGGCCAATATGGTGAAAACTTGTCTCTACGAAAAATACAAAAATTAGCCAGGCATGTTGGCCCATGCCTGTAGTCCCAGCTACTCAGCAGGCTGAGGTAGGAGAATCACTTGAACTCGGGAGGGGAGGCTGCAGTGAGCCAAGATCACACACCACTGCACTCCAGCCTGGGCAACAAAGTGAGACCCCCATCTCAAATAAGGAAAGAAAATTCCTATGAAGAAACACTATACCTCTGAGTTTCAATAATAGAGATGATTAACCCAGTTTCCCTGCAAGGATGTGCTCACTGTGAACAGATGTAGTGGTTACCACTCCAGATGTCTGCCTAGCATTTGAGACAACAGTCCCTGTCACCCCTGCCTCTCTCTGGGAACTTCTGCCCCACCACCATACAGAGGGGCAGTAGGCCCAGCCATAATCAACTGAAACAGATACAGAGTTATGACCTGAGCCTAGGCAATTAGGTTTTCTCAGGAATATGGATCTGGGACTAAAGAACTCAGCATCTTCCTGTGACTGGAATTGTAGCATGTAAGTACAGAAGCTTTGGAGTGCCCAGAAAGAGCAGAGAAAGCCAGCCAAGAGAGTGCCAGGTTTAAGTTGACAGAAGAGGTCAACAAAATCGTGAAGTGAGTGTTCTGGGGACCTGAGAGTCAAGGGACTGGATTCTGTACAATGTCTCTGCATCATCATAGTAAACTTTCTACACATGCTTTGAAAGTAAATATCAGATAATTTGGAGCACAGTATAATGGTAAAGTATAAAATGTGAACTTACACAAGTACACCACAATTTCCGCCTCACTGACGAATAACTTGGGGCATGTTCTTCTTGACTGCTCGGAGCCCCCATTTCTTTATCTGTAAAAAGGAAATAAATTACATAGCTGTGAGTTATTGGATGACATCATAAAACCCAGCACAGAGGGCTGGACGCGGTGGCTCACGCCTGTAATCCCAGCACTTTGGGAGGCCACGGTGGGCGTATCACGAGGTCACGAGATCGGGACCATCCTGGCTAACATGGTGAAACCCTGTCTCTACTAAAAATACAAAAAATCAGCCAGGTGTAGTGGCGGGTGCCTGTAGTCTCAGCTACTTGGGAGGCTGAGGCAGGAGAATGGCGTGAACCCAGAAGGCAGAGCTTGCAGTGAGCCAAGATTGCACCACTGCACTCCAGCCTGGGCAACAGAATAAGACGCCATCTCAAAAACAAACAAACAAAAAAAAGCCAGCACAGAGTAGGCATGCCAGCATTCTCTCCCTTCTCAGCCTGCAAAAAGATTTATCAATTTACCTCATTTTCTTCTGTTCCTTGTTCTGACCTCAGTGCATGACCCATAGCACCAAGTGTTACTGTCGTTTATGAGTGAACAATTGAGTTAATAAGGAAATAAATTGAATGTTTTCTAACATTTTGACCTTAACTTATTTTTTAAAACTTTGTACCTCCCAGAGCTGGGAAGAGATTCCAGATTTCCCGACTTAGTCCAGAATGATGACTAATGCTGGACTTCGTCTATAGCTCTTATTGAAATGTCAGAAAACATTTTTTTCCCCAAAAACTATTAACTGATAAATTTATAGCATCAAACTGCATTTTTTAAAGGAGGCTTTTTGTTTTTTCTTTTTTGAGAGAGAGAGAGTCTTGCTCTGTCAACCCAGGCTGGAGTGCCTTGGCATAGTGTCAGTTCTCTGCAATCTCTGCCTCCCGGTCTCAGGTGATTCTCCTGCCTCAGCCTCCCAAGTAGCTGGGACTACAGGTGTGCACCACCACATCCAGCTAATTTTTGTTTGTTTGTTTTTGGTAGAGACGAGGTTTTGCCATGTTACCTAGGCTGATCTTGAACTCCTGGACTCAAGTGATCCACCCACCTCGGCCTCCCAAAGTGCTGAGATTTCAGGTGTGAGCCACCACACCTGGCCAAAAGAGACTTTTTTTTTTTTTTTTTTTTGAGACGAGTGTCGCTCTGTCGCCAGGCTGGAGTACAGTGGCATGGTCTCAGCTCACTGCAACCTCCACCTCCTGGGTTCAAGTGATTCTCCTGCCTCAGCCTCCGGAGTAGCTGGGACTACAGGCACGGGCCACCACGCCCGGCTAATTTTTTGTATTTTTAGTAGAGATGGAATTTCACTGTGTTAGCCAGGATGGTCTTGATCTCCTGACCTCGTGTTCTGCCCACCTTGGCCTCCCAAAGTGCTGGGATTACAGGCGTGAGCCATCGCGCCCAGCCCATGCGCAGCTAATTTTTTTTTTTTTTTGGATTTTAGTAGAGACAAGGTTTCACCATGTTGCCCAGGCTGTTCTTGAACTCCTGAGTGCAGGCAATCCGCCCACCTCACCCTCCCAAAGTGCTAGGATTACAGGTGTTTGGTTTTTTGTTTGGTTTTCAAGCAACCTTTCTAAATTTTGCTATGCTCACTCTTTCTTCACATGTTGGTACTGGCTAGATACAGATTTTGCTTTCCTATTGGAGACTTTTGAGAGCTGGCTATCCCCTCTTGCTCCTTTTCTTTTTTCTCTTCCCTACTTCCAAGTTTCTTGCTCTTTTTCTTACCCCATAAGTTACCAGAAATTCATACGCCCTTGAGAGCGCTTTTTGTTTGAACTTCAGTCTTTGGTTTCATCAACTTTTCTAAGGAAATTGATCTGTTAATGAAAGTTGGCTTGCTTGACTTCAGAATATCTGTATTATTCAGTGATATGTGTTTTTCTGGTTGCTTTGTTTGAGCACAGTGTAAATATCACCCATTGCATAGCTTTGGCAGTGACATAAATCTAGCAGCGTAAGATTGAGAAAAGCTAGAAGTCCCACCACAGATTGTATTTCAGTGAAAGGGATTCTTTTTAACTGCTTATAAAACTAAAGAAAACTTATAAACATGGAAAACAATTATTAAACCCACCATATGCTCATACTGATATTAAATGGTGTGCCGGATTCTAGTAAGAGTTACCTTTTGGTAAGAGCACTGCTTGTTAACTATAGTTGATTGCTTTAGATGTCTAGTGTGTACACAAAAGCATGAATTTTATTCCTTATAACCAAAGTAGAAACCTACTCTGAGCAATTTGACAAAAGGTTTACATTATTTATTTTAGTGTTGTTTAAGATTACAGTAAGATGCAATTCCCAAAGAGTGAAATATAAGGCTGGGCGTGGTGATCACGCCTGTAATCCTAACACTTTGGGAGGCTGAGGCGGGTGGATCACCTGAGGTCAGGAGTTCAAGACCAGCCTGGCCAACATGACGAAACCCCGTCTCTACTAAAAATACAACAATTAGCCAGACGTGGTGGTGTGCACCTGTAATCCCAGCTACTAGGGAGGCTGAGGCAGGAGAATCACTTGAACCTGGGTGGGGCAGAGGCTGGAGTGAGCTGAGATCATGCCATTGCACTCCAGCCTGGGCGCACTCTGAAAAAAAAAAAAAAAGTGCAATACAACTTTTCACAAAATATGGAACTGTGGTAGTCTAGAACAACGTCTCAATATACCTCCTACACTAAGTATAATAGTAAATATCTGTATTTGGTGGCATAATATGCTCTTAGTGTAAACCAAAAACACATGCTGAGCATTGGACATTGTCCAATGTTTAATTCATATGATTCATTCTGAGTTTCTGACTGAGATCATTCTTTCAGACTATGTCTATTTGTCCTGGGACCCATAAAATATGCAGCCCTAACATGATTTCATTTTTGTTTCCTTTCCTGGAAAAGGAGAAATCATTCAGATCAGCTTTCATATTGCCTTATAGACAATGACTTCAAAATAGTTTGAAAGGGACTCCTTTGTTCTAGAACTGCTCTAACACAGTAGCCACTAGCCACATGTGGCTATTGAAAGATTGAAATGTGGTTATTCCAAATCAGGATGTACAGTAAATATAAAATACACACCAGATTTCAAAGGCTTACATGAAAAAAGTAATGTGAAATATCTCACTAGTAGTTTTTATAGTGATTACATGTTGAAATTTTAACATTGTGAACATATTAGTTTAAATAAAATATATTGTGAAAATTAATTTCATGTTTCTATTTACTTTTGATAAAAGTACTACTAGAGGCTGGGTGTGTTGGCTCACTTCTGTAATCCCAGCACTTTGGGAGGCTGAGGTGGGAGGATCACGAGGTCAGGAGACCGAGACCATCCTGGCTAACACGGTGAAACCCCGTCTCTACTAAAAACACAAAAAATTAGCCAGGCGTGTTGGCAGGCGCCTGTAGTCCCAGCTACTAGGGAGGCTGAGGCAGGAGAATGGCGCGAACCCGGGAGGCGGAGCTTGCAGTGAGCCGAGATCGTGCCACTGCACTCCAGCCTGGGCTTCAGAGCGAGACTCCGTCTCAGAAAAAAAAAAACACTACTAGCACATTTTTAAATTACTTGTAGTGATCTCATTTGTACCACATTACATTTCAATCGTATACTGCTTTTCTAAAGAGTCACTGCTAAGCCCTGAAATTAACTCCAAATACCTCCCTGGAATACAGTGCCAAGGCAGGGGCTTCCTTGAACTTCAACCTCTAAAACTAAGCAAGAATTGAGAAATATCTTCTGATTTGAAAAATATTCACTCCCCAATCCTAATACATCAATTACATATTATTTGGGGGCTAACTAAGCTCCTATTTTAAAATGTAAATTGAAGAAATTAGGCCAGAGTCACTCCCATCTTAGTGCCAGTCATATAATCAGATAATTAGATTGCTCTTTCCCTAAAGCCTGTTTAGTTTTCTTGTTTGCTGGTTTTGTTGTTGTTGGGTTTTTTAATTTGTTTTTGTTGTTGTTGTTGTTGTTTTTGAGATGGATACTCACTGTGTCACCCAGGCTAGAGTGCAGTGGCATGATCTCTGCTCACTGCAACCTCCAACTCCTGGGTTCAAGCGATTCTCCTGCCTCGGCCTCCTGAGTAGCTGGGACTATAGTTGCATGCCACCACGCCCGTCTAATTTTTTTGGGTTTTTTTGTTTTTTTTGTTTGTTTTGAGACAGAGTCTCACTGTTTCCCAGGCTGGAGTGCAGTGGCACGATCTCGGCTCACTGCAACCTCCACTTCCGAGGTTCAAGCAATTCTCCTGCCTCAGCCTCCCAAGTGGCTGGGACTACAGGTGCATGCCATTATGCCTGGCTAATTTTTTGTATTTTTAGCAGAGATGGGGTTTCGCCATGTTGGCCAAACTGGCCTCAAACTTCTGGCCTCAGGTGATCCACCCGTCTCAGATCAAAGTGCTGGGATTACAGGCATGAGCCACCACTCACAGCTCGCTAAGGCCTTTTGCCAAGACAAATTAGCTCTTAGAGAACCACAGGATTCCTTTTGTAATGTATTACAAACTAAAGTCTTACCTACTCTTGAAGAGTAGAAAACATGAAAAAGTTCTATGTTAGCCCTTAGAATAATTAAAAATTCATAAGCTCTGAAATAAATACAGGTAATAAAATCATTGCATATGACAAAACAAAGTTTAAATTGGCGTTTGTAAACTCTGCATGAAAGCCAGGTTTCTCACTACTAGAAAAAGAAAAAAAGTTATAAATAAGCCAAGGAGAATTCCAGAATGAATCCTGTGGTGCCAAATATATGTTAACTACAAGGAATAACAGTGACCTTACACTGGAAACACCGTAACCATGGGCCAAGGTTAAAGATATAACAGCTTTCTCACACCCCTTGCACAGCTACCCCCAATGTTAACATAACTGTTAACAAATTATCAAAACTAAGAAATTAGTCTTGGTATAGTATCACTAACTAAACTCCAGACCTCAGTCAGGTTTTCCCAGTCTTTACTTCAGTGTCCTTCCTCTGTTTCAGGATTCAATCCATGATCCTTGACACTTGGTACTTTGTCAGATGTCCCGCTGTATGGGTTTGTTTGATGTTTTCCCATGATTAGGGATAGACACTGCAAGACTCAGAGCTACTTTACAAAGAAGCCTCTAGGGAGCTCCCCAGAGAAGACAGGGGAGACAACACAGGGACACTAGAGGAAATTTTAGCCTCTGACATCCATGACTATATAGCAAAGAGTAAACAAAGCCTAACTCCTAGCCAGAGAAACACAAAATCTCATACTAAAGCCTTATTTAACTCAGTTCCTTTCACCCAGTACATCATATACAGCCTCAAACAAAAAATTACAAAGCATACTAAAAGACAAGAAACCCCACACTTTGAAGAGACAGAGGAAGCATCAGAACCAGACTCAGATATGAAAGAAATATTGGAAGTATCCAACCAGGAATTTAAAATAACTAAGATTAACATGCTAGGGGCTCTAATGTAAAAACGGCATAACATGCAAGAACAGATGGGTAATGTAAGCAAAGAGATAAAAACACTAAGAAGAAATAAAAATGAAATACTAGAAATAAAAAACACCATAACAGAAATGAAGAATGCCTTTGATGGGTTCATCAAAAGAATGGATATGGCCAATGAAAGAATCAGTGAGCTCGAAGAGATGTCAATAGATACTTCAAAAGCGGACACACAATGAGAAAAAAGAATGAAAAAGAAAAAACAGAACAAGAGTCAAGAACTGTGAGACAATTACAAAAGGTGGAACGTGGAGACTTTTTGGAAATACCAGAAAGAGAAGAAAAAGAGAAAGAAAGCTGGGCATGGTGGCTCAGGCCTATAATCCCAGCACTTTGGGAGGCCGAGGCGGGCAGATCACAAAGTCAGGAGATTGAGACCATCCTGGCTAACACGGTGAAACCCTGTCTCTACTAAAAATACAAAAAATTAGCGGGGCATGGTGGCAGGTGCCTGTAGTCCCAGCTACTTGGGAGACTGAGGCAGAAGAATGGTGTGAACCTGGGAGGCAGAGCTTGCAGTGAGCTGAGATCATGCCACTGCACTCCAGCCTGGGCAACAGTGCAAGACTCCGTCTCAAAAAAAAAAAAAAAAAAAAAGAAAAAAAGAGAAAGAGAAAGAAACAGAAGAAACATCTGAAGCAACAGTGACTGAAAATTTCCCCAAATTAATGATAGATAACGCTATGGTCTGAATGTTTGTGTCTCCTCAAAAGTTATATTGAAACTTAATCCTCAATATGATAGTACTGAGGTGGGGCTTTTGGGAGTCAATCAGGTTATGAGGGCTCTATCCTCAGGACAGAGATTAATGCACTTATGAAAGAAGCCCCAGGGAATTAGCTAGCCCCTGACACCATGTGAGGACAAAGCCAGAATGTGTCATCTATGAGGAAGCAGGGCCTCACCAGACACGGCTAAGTGCCTTGGTCTTGGACATCACAGCCCCTAGAACTGTGAGAAATAAATTTCTGTTGTTTATAAACTCTCCAGTTTATGATATTTTTGTCACAGCAGCCCAAATGAACTAAGGTAGACATAAAGGAACAGATCCAGGAAGCTCAAAAAACACCGTATAGGATAAATAACAAAAATGCTACGTCGAGGTATATCTTTTTTTTTTTTTTCTAAGGTGGAGTTTCGCTCTTGTTGCCCAGGCTAGAGTGCAATGGTGCAATCTCAGCTCACTGCAGCCTCTGCCTCCTGGGTTCAAGTGATTATCCTCCCTCAGCCTCCCGAGTAGCTGGGATTACAGGCCTCTGCCACTAAGCCCAGCTAACTTTTTGTATTTTTAGTGGAGATGGGGTTTCACCATGTTGGTCATGCTGGTCTCGAACTCCTGGCCTCAGGTGATCTGCCCACCTTGGCCTCCCAAAGTGCTGGGATTACAGGCATGAGCCACTGGGCCTGCCTAAGTATATCTTATCTAGACACAGATCTCACTCCTTTCACAAAAATTAACTCAAAATGGATCATAGACCTAAATGTAAAATGCAACACTACAGAATTCCTAGAAGATAACATAGGAGAAAACTCAGGTGACCTTGGATTTGGTGATGACTTTTTAGATATAACATCAAAAACACGACTCATAAAAGAAAAAACTGGTAAGTTGGACTTCACTAAAATTAAATTTTTCTGCTCACAAAGGACACTGTTAAGAGAATGAAAAGGTAAGCCATTAAATGGGAAAAAAATCTTTGCAAAAAATATAGTTCTTTATATATGATATATATATTCTGAAAAAGGCAAAACCATAGAGACAGTAAGAAGTTCAGTGGTTGCCAGGAGTTAGGAGTTGGGGGCGGGGAGGGTGGATAAATAGTGGAGAACAGCTGATTTTTAGGGTAGTGAAACTATTCTGTTTGATTCTATAATGATGAATACATGTCATTATACATTTGTCAAAACCCATAGACTATACAACACCAAGAATGAACTCTAATGTAATCCAAAAGGACTATTGTTAATAAAGTTTTAATAATGGCTCATCAGTTATAACAAATGTACTACTATACTAATGCAAGATGTTAATAATAAGGGAAACTGGGGGGTGGGAGGGTTTGGGGTAAGAGGGCTTATGGGAATTCTCTTCTGTGTGCTCACTTTTCTGATAAGCTGAAATTGTTCAAACAATAAAATGTATTATTAATAGTTTTCAAAAATTCACTCGATGGGCTAAATAGCAGAATGCAGATGATGATAGCAGTTTGTGAACTTGAAGACAGATTAGAAATGGTAGACCTAAATCCTACCAAATCAATAATTATATTAAATGTAAATGGTCTAAATATACCAACTGTAAGGCAGAGATTGTCAGACTACATTAAACAGACAAGACCCAAGTACATGCTATTTATAATAAAATCACTTTCAATATAAAGACTTAGTTGATTAAAATTAAAAGAATGGGCTGTTCTTGGTGGCTCACACCTGTAATCCCACCACTTTGGGGGGTTGAGGCAGGCAGATCACGAGGTCAGTAGACCAAGATCATCCTGGCTAACACGGTGAAACCCTGTCGCTACTAAAAATACAAAAAATTCGCCAGGCATAATGGCACGCACCTGTAGTCCCAGCTACTTGGGAGGCTGAGGCAGGAGAATGGCTTGAACCTTGGAGGTGGAGGTTGCACTGAGCTGAGATCGTGCCACTGCACTCCAGCCTGGGTGACAGAGTGAGACTTCATATCAAAAATATATATATAGAAAAATAAAATTAAAAGAATGGAAAAATGCAAATACTAATCAAAGGAAATTAGGCTGGGTGTGGTGGCTTACACCTGTAATTCTAGCACTTTGGGAGGCCAAGGCAGGAAGATTTCTTGAGGCTAGGAGTTCCAGACCAGCCTGGGCAACAGAATGAGATCCCTTCTCTACAAATGAAAAAAAAAAATTTAAATAGCCCAGCATGGTGGCATGCATGGTATAATGTACCCTAGCTACTTGGGAGGCTGAGGTGGGAGGATCGCTTGAGCTCAGTAGTTTGAGGTTACAGCAAGCTATGATCACACCACTGCACTCCAGCCTGGGAAACAGAATGAGACCCTGTATCTAAAAAAATAAGCAAAAGAAAAAGGAAATGAGAGTGTCTATATTAATATCAAAGTAGACTTCAAACAAAGATGATTACCATGAATAAAGAAGGATATTACATAATTATTAAAGGGTCAATTCAACAAGAAGACGTAACAATCATAAATGTGTAAATATAATTCCATAGTAAAAGGAATCAGGAGGCTTGAGAGATGCTTATTTCAGGTCTGGGGTAAGGAATGTACAAAGTGAACCAGGACTAATGAAGTTATATTAAAACTCCAAAAGACGAAAAGAGTCATTTAAAAGACTAATGGAGTCATATGAAAAGGTCCCAGGAGCCAACAGAAAGGACTCCCCTTGGCCAAATCTGGAACATTTTGACAGTTTGAGCATCAATAAGAGTAATGAACCATAATTGACTAGAAGACATTTAAAGCATAAAAATTATTGAGTCCATAATCATACTCAATAAAGATGAAAACAAACCATCTTATTCATCACTGATGGGGGTGGCTGTTATTCAAGTTCTTATTCTAAAACTTGGTAATTAAAGGTAAATAAAGAATAATGTATTCTTTCTCTGCAGTGGAACTAAGTTTTAGATACAAAATAACCCCAGTGGATGAGGGAAAGTTCTTTAGAGGTAAGAATGACAGTTAATAAATGTAGAAAAAAGAAGATAATTTAATCACCATTTTGCAACTTCTAATTAAGTAACTGATGTGAGAAAGAATCATTACTGCATGCTAAAACCATTAAGGGAAAGATTTCAAAGATCTCAGTGTTTCAACCCATAGAATACTTTCCAGTGGCAGGATGATAAATGGATAGTTAACCCTATAATCTTAGAATCTCTAATAGTGGGTACACTAGATACTATGTGAAGAAAATGGCATCAGGCTGGGCGTGGTGGCTCATGCCTGTAATCCCAGCACTTTGGGAGGCAGAGGTGGGTGGATCACCTAAGGTCAGGAGTTCGAGACCAGCCCGGCCAATATGGTGAAACCCCATCTCTACTAAAAATACAAAAACTTTCTGGGCATGGTGGCAAGCGCCTGTAATCCCAGCTACGTGGGAGGCTGAGGAAGGAGAATCACTTGAACCCAGGAGGCGGAGGTTGCAGTGAGTCGAGATCGTGCCACTGCACTCCAGCCTGGGTGACAAGAGTGAAACTCCATAAGAAAGAAAGAAAGAAAAGAAAGAAAGAAAGAAAGAAAGAAAGAAAGAAAGAAAGAAAGAAAGAAAGAAAGAAAGAAAGAAAGAAAATTGTATCAACGGTGAAGAATTGTTGTCCAACATGTTTAATGTAATTGTGTTCAAGCCTAAAATTCTGCTTTACTGGAAATAAAAGAGAATACAGTTAAAGGACACCATGAGGAAACAATCAGATAAATACAGAAAGTGAGAACATTGACCCAACTTCTGTAAGTCAACTGGCTAGGTCTCTCCAATAAGTTCAAAGTCAAGAAAAAAAAGGGGGGGGGCCAGGTACTACACTTGATTTTTAAAAAGCTTAGAGACAAACAATGAAATGCAACCTATGCTCCTTAATTAGAACCCTATTTAAACAAACCAGCTCTCAAAGACATTTTTTGGGGTCAAAAAGGGAAAGGTGAATATAGTCTGGTTATTAGACAACATTTAGAAAGCACAGTTACTTGTGTTAGGTGTGAAAATTGTGTGATTATATTGTGAAAGAATTCATTCTTTAAAAAAGATGCATTCTAAAGTATTTAGGGGTGAAAAGTTTAAAGTAATTTACTTCAAACTACAGTGAAAAAAATTTAAACACTGCAAAATATTAACTGCTAAATCTAGATAGTGGCTTTATAATATTCATAGATGAGCATATTTCCTTTAAATTTCTAGGTGCTTAAAATTTTTCATGTTAAGTAATATATGTATTACATTGGGATACATATAACTATGATTGACAGAAAATAACACTAAAAGTGCAAGATCACTGATTCTATCTAGGAAGTAGGATTATAGGGACTTCAATTTTCTTTTCAAGTTAGCTTTTTTTTTTTGAGACGGAGTCTTGCTCTATCGCCCAGGCTAGAGTGCACTGGCGCAATCTCAGCTCCCTCCAAGCTCCACCTCCCGGGTTCACACCATTCTCCTGCCTCAGCCTCCCGAGTAGCTGGGACTACAGGCACCCGCCACCATACCCAGCTAATTTTTTTTGTATTTTTAGTAGACACAGGGCTTCACCGTGTTAGCCAGGATGGTCTCAATCTCCTGACCTCGTGATCTGCCCGCCTCAGCCTCCCAAAGTGCTGGGATTACAGGGTGTGAGTCACTGCACCTGGCCCAGTATTTGTCCTTTTTATGATTTGCTTCTTTCACTTAGTGTAACGTTCTCAAGGTTGATCCATTTTGCAGCATAAGTCAGAATTTCCTTCCTTTTTTTTTTTTTTTTTTTTTTTTGAGATGGAGTCTTGCTCTTGTTGCCCAGACTGGACTGCAATGGCATGATCTTGGCTCACTGCAACCTCCACCTACTGGGTTCAAGTGATTCTCCTGCCTCAGCCTCCGGAGTAGCTTGGACTATAGGCGCCCGCCACCATGCCCAGCTAATTTTTGTATTTTCAGTAGAGATGGGGTTTTACCATGTTGGCCAGGCTGGTCTCGAACTCCTGACCTCAGGTGATCTGTCTGCCTTGGCCTCCCAAAGTGCTGGTGTTACAGGCATGAGCCACCTTGCCCAGCCAGAATTTCCTTTTTAAGGGTGAATAGATAAATATTCCATTGTATGAATGTACCACACTTTATTTATCCATTTATCCATTTCTGGACATTTGGGTGGTTTCCACCTTTCATCTATTGTGAATAATGCTACTATGAATGTGCACATGCAAATATCTCTTCAAGACCTTGCTTTCACTTCTTTGGGATATAGATCCAGAAGTGGAATTGCTAGATCACATGGCAACTGTATCTTGAATTTTTTAAAGAACTGCCTTACTGCTTTCCACAGGAGCTGCACCATTTTACATTCCCTCCAACAGTGCACAAGGGTTCCAATTTCTCCACATCCTTGCTAACATTATTTTCTGTTTTTTTGATAGTAGCCATCTGAAAGGGTAAGGGGTATATCTCACCATGGTTTTGATTTGCATTTCCCTAATGATTAGTGATGTTGAGCATTTTTTCATATACTTATTGGCTATTCTTATTTAACAGCTGCAGAGTATTCCTGGTAGAAACCGTAATTTACTTAAACAATATCCTGGATAAATAAACCTTCTCAGTTCCTAAAAACAAAACTGCAATGACTCCCCTTGTACATTCGTCTGTTTTCAATTTTTTTTTTTTTTTTTGAGACGGAGTCTCAGTCTGTCGCCCAGGCTGGAGTGCAGTGGCACGATCTCAGCTTAGGGGAGGAGACCACCCCTCATATTGTCTTATGCCCAATTTCTGCCTCCAAAGAAAAAAAGGTAAAAACTAAAAGGCAGAAATGAAATCCACAAGCAGACAGCCCGGCCCCACACCCTAGGCCTGGTAGTTAAAGATCGACCCCTGACCTAATCGGTTATGTTATCTATAGATTACAGACACTGTATAGTAAAGCACTGTGAAAATCCCTATCCTGTTTTGTTCCGATCTAATTACCAGTGCATGCAGCCCCCAGTTACATACCCCCTGCTTGCTCAATTGATCACGACCCTCTCACGCGCACCCCCTTAAGAGTTGTGAGCCCTTAAAAAAGACAAGAATTGCTCACTCGGGGAGCTTGGCCCTTAAGAAAGGAGTCTTGCCTATGCCCCCGGCTGAATAAGCCCCTTCCTTCTTTAACTCGGTGTCTGAGGAGTTTTGTCTGCGGCTGGTCCTGCTACATTTCTCGGTTCCCTGACCGGGAAGCGAGGTGATTGGCAGATGGTCGAGGCAGCTCCTTAGGCGGCTTAAGCCTGCCCTGTGGAACATCCCTGCGGGGGACTCCGACCAGCCCGAGCGGATCCTGAGAGCGCTCCCAGGTAGGCACTTGCCCGGTGGGATGCCTCACCAGAGCAGTGTGTGGCAGGCCCCCATGGAGGATCAACGCAGTGGCTGAACACTGGGAAGGAACAGGCACTTGGAGTCTGGACATCTAAAACTTGTTAAGACTAGTCTTTGAAACTTGCGCACTCCGTTTGAGTGGAAGCGTGGCCTGATCACCCATGGCATGCCTTTATCGGCACTTTGGTTTTGGTTTTGACTTGGTTTGAATTGCTTGACAGGATTGGTCTTAGGAACTTGCCTACTCCATTTGAGTGGAAGCATGGCCTGATCACCCACGGTGTGCTCGTACCGGCACTTTGGTTTTTGTTATTAACTTGATTTGGATTGCTTGATACTTTGGTTTTGATTTTGACCTGGCTTGGATTTCTGGATACTCTGATTTTAGTTTTGATTTTGGTTTGGTGCAAATTGCAAAGGTGTGTGTGTGCCCTTTTTACCCGTTCTTTGTTTTATGGTGTGTGTGTGGTGTAAGTGTGGTGTTTTGTCTCGAAGAAGCATAGGTCAGGCACCAATAAGCCCACCCTACTAGGAGATAAGTTGAAAATTTTCAAAAAAGAATTTAAAAGAGACTATGGAGTACTGTGACACCAGGAAAACTTAAAACTTTGTGTAAGACAGACTGGCCAGCATTAGAGGTAGGTTGGCCATTAGAAGGAAGCCTGGACAAGTAAGTCCCTTGTTTCAAAGGTATGGCACAAGATAACCTGTAAGCCTGGGAACCCAGACCAGTTCCCGTACATAGACACTTGGTTACAGCTAGTTTTAGATCCCATGCCCCCAACACACAGTGGTTGAAAGAACAGCAGCATAAGCAGCTGGCAGAGGCAAGGAAAGACCAGCAGAGAGAGATAAAGGAAAGAGACAGAGAGGAAAAGAGGCAAAGAGAAAGAGGAAGAGACAGAGAGGAAGAGACAGACAAAGAGGAAGTCAAGGAGAGAGAGAGAGAGAGAAAGAAAGAGAGAGGCAGAGAGAGAGAGAAAGAAAGAGAGAGGCAGAGAGAGAGAGAAAAAGAGAAAAAGAGACAGAGTCAAAAAGAAAGTCAAAGAGAGAGAGACAAAGTCAGAGAGAGAAAGAGAGATATACAAGCAGTTAAAAAAAAAAAAGGTGTACCCTATCCCTTTAAAAGCCAAGGTAAATTTAAAACCTATAATTGATAATTGAAGGTATTATCTGTAACCCTATAACACTCCAATACCACTTTGTTGTCAGTGTAAACAAGGGCGTATCCCAAAACACTGAGGCCTTCCTATCAAAAATCCTTAACCCAGTAACCCGTGGATGGCCCAAATGCATTCAATCTGTAGCGGCAACTGCTTTGCTAACAACAACAAAAAAAAAAAGTAAAAAAAATAACTTTTAGAGGAAAGGTCATTGTGAGCACACCTCACCAGTTCAAAAGTATCCTAAGGAAAAAAAAAGGCAGGGCAGAATTTATATAAAAAGAGTATTATATGGTAAATTCTTGTCCTGAAATAAATTAATTGGTTGTTTAAAGAAAGAAATATTTGTAATAAGTCAGAAAGTTAAGGCATGTCGAAGAATTGTCTGTGAAAGTCATGAAAGAGAAAAATGTTATAAAAAGAATTTATGTAAAAAATGTTGTATAATTTAAAAGTAACTAGTCCTCCTGAATGTAAAACTATTAAAAAAAAAAACAGTTTATGTGCAAGGTGTATAAGAAAAGTATACTATACCTTTGGTAAAAGGATTATAAGGGGGCATAAGAATGTACATTCTTACCTACATTAAAAAGTTTAAAAAAAAACTATTGTTTTGAAAGTTTAAGCAAGTTTTAAAACGTTAATTGTAAAGAAAATTCTGTGTGTAAACATATTAGCTAAAGTTAAAGAAGTATCATCGAGTTTTTCTGTGAACTGGACATTAAAGTAAAAGCATAATAGGTTTTTCTTAAAGCACCAACCTGCTCTTTAGCAAAAGTTATAAAAGGTTAAAAAGAGTCTATAAAATCTTACTTTATGGTCAAACATTAAAAATTAGATAAATATGTCTACAAGCTTTTATTAAAATTACATTTAATATTAATAACACACTAATATAAAGATAAAATTTAGCTTATCTGGTATAAAAATCATACAAGAAGCATTGTTAAATGTAAAATGGTATTTGGCTTCTTTGGTTTAAAAACTAATAAAAATAGGTGCTAAAGGAAATTTCTCAGTAAAAAGGCACTAAGGACTATAAAGTCCACTGCCAAAGTCCCCACATTTGAAACAAAATATCAATTTCTTAAAAATTATATACTTGGTTTATCTTCCACTTTCCTTTCTCTCAAAAACTAAAAGTCTTTTAGCACATGTACCACCCCTAGAATTTCTGGTAAACCAGCACCATCAGCCTGAAGATCATGTTCTCATCAAAAGGTGGAAAGAAGAAAAACTCAAGCCAGCCTGGGAAGGACCCTACCTTCTGCTGCTAACCACCAAGACTGCTATTCGTACAGCAAAAAAAAAAAAAAAAGGATGGACTCATCACACCCGAGTCAAGAAAGTGCCACCCCCTCCAGAGTTGTGGGCCATAGTCCCAGGGGAAAACCCTACCAAACTAAACCTAAGAAAAATTTAACTCTTTTTATCTAGTCTATTACTCTTTCTTCTTTCCTCGTTCTATTGCTGACCATCCAGTTATTAACAACCAAGTCAATTTCACCTCAAACTATTGCATTTAATGCTTGCCTTGTTATACCCTGTGGGGACTTGCCAAGTCAAAGACAGCTTTCTACTTCAGAAAAGTACTTCTGTCCCGCCTGACTCTCCTCAGACTGGGCATTAGTAAACTAGGACCATTTAATCCAGGGAGATGTCTATAAAGACCCCAGTGTCAACCAGGAGTCTTGCCCCCCCATGTAGACCTTTCATGCCATAGTTGGTCCAACGTTCTGTGGACCAGTAAAGAGCAAGGATGGACTGCCCCAACAGGTTTTTGCAATTTCCTAAAACCATACATTCATTTTACTAGAGGATCATAGAAGTTAAAGACTTAAACTTTAGCAATTAAGACAAGATACCAAGGTGCAAATGCCTGGTTAAAAGGGATCAAATATTCCATCTGCATGTTAAACAAAAATAATTGTTATGCTTGTGCACATGGCAGGCCAGAGGCCCAGACTGTCTCCTTTCCACTAAAGTGGTCGTCCAGTCAACCAGGTGTAGGCTGCATGGTAGCCCTTTTCCAGGATTCTACAGCCTGAAGTAATAAGTCGTGCCAAGCTCTCTCTGCTATATCCCAAAGTCCAGCACCCTGTGGGTCAGCCCTTGAAGGCCATCCAGCCTCCATCTCCCAACACTAAGTTCACTGTGTCTCTCTCACGACAAGTAGGAAACTTAGCGTTCCTTGGAGACCTGAAAGGATGCAGTGAGCTTAAGAATTTTCAAGAGCTTATCAATCACTCAGCCCTTGTTCACCCCCGAGCGGATGTGTGGTAGTATTGTGGTGGACCTTTAGTAGGCACTCTGCCGAATAACTGGAGCGGCACTTGTATTTTAGTCCATTTGACTATCCCTTTCACCCTGGCATTTCATCAACCAGAAGGAAAAAAAAATAAGACATCGTAAAGGGAGAGAAGTCCCTTATAGGTCTTTCGACTCTCAGGTCTATTTAGACGCAATTGGAGTCCTACGAGGAATACCAGATCAATTTAAAGCTTGAAACCAAATAGCTACAGGATTTGAGTCAATATTTTGGTAGGTGACAGTTAATAAAAATGTAGATTAGATAAACTACATCTATTACAACCAACAGCAACGAGCTTTTCATGAGTTAAAAGAAAAACTCATGTCGGCCCCAGCCCCGGGGCTACCTGACCTGACAAAACCCTTTACACCTTATGTGTCAGAAAGAGAAAAAATGGCAGTTAGAGTTTTAACTCAGACTGTGGGGCCCTGGCCAAGGCCAGTGGCCTATCTCTCAAAACAACTATACAGGGTTTCCAAAGGCTGGCCCCCAGGTCTAAGGGCCCTAGCAGAAATGGCCCTGTTAGCACAAGAAGCAGATAAACTAACCCTTAGGCAAAACCCGAATATAAAGGCCCCCATGCTGTGGTAACTTTAATGACTACCAAAGGACATCATTAGTTCACAAATGCTAGATTAACCTATGTGAAAATCCCCACATAACCACTGAAGTTCGCAACACCCTAAACCCCACCACCTTGCTCCCGGTATCAGAGAGCCCAGTGGAACATAACTGTGTAGACGTGTTAGACTCAGTTTATTCTAGCAGGCCCAACCTCCGAGACCATCCTTGAACATCAGTAGACTGTGAACGGTACGTGGACAGGAGCAGCTTCACCAACCGCTGCAAAGTGACTCTGAAGAAGACGACAAACCCTGCTCCAGTCACACCCGGAAGCTGACTGGTCCACGCATGGCCAAAGCATGAGAAAACTCATCGCGGGACTCATTTTCCTTAAAATTTAGACTTTTACAGTAAGGACTTCAACTGACCTTCCTCAGACCGAGGACTATTCCCAGGGTATACAACAAGTCACTGAGGTAGGACAAAAAGTTGCTGCGGTCCTATTATTTTGTGGTTATTATAAGTGTACTGGAACTCTAAAAAGAACTTGTTTGTATAATGTTATTCTATACAAGGTATGTAGCCCAGGAAATGACCAACCTGATGTGTGTTATGACCCATCTCAGCCTCCCATGACCACAATTTTTAAAATAAGATTAAGGACTGAGGACTGGTGGGGGCTCATAAACGATACGAGTAAAGTGTTAGCTAAAACAGAAGAAAAAGGGGTGCCCAAACAAGTCACCTTAAAAGTTAATGTCTGCGCTGTCATTAATAGTAATAAGTTAGGAATAAGGTGTGGTTGTCTTAATTAGAAAAGAGGCTATATGGCAGAAAATAAGTACATCTGTCATAAATTAGGACTGTGTGGAAATAAATATAAATACTGGTCTTGTGTCATTTAGGCCACTTAGAAAAAAAAATGAAAAAGATCCAGTCCACCTTCAGAAAGGAAAAAATGGCCCTTCCTGTACTAAGGGACAATGTAACCCCTTAGAGCTAGTAATAACCAATCCCCTTGATCCTCGCAGGAAAAAAGAGGAGAGTGTGACCTTAAGAATCGACGGGGCCGGACTGGATCCTCAAGTAAACATCTTAGTTCGAGGAGAAGTTTATAAATGCTCTCCTAAGCCAGTGTTTTAAACTTTCTATGATGAACTAAATGTGCCAGTACCAGAAATTCCAGGAAAAACAAGAAATTTGTTTTTGCAATTAGCCGAGCATGTAACCCAGTCTCTCAATGTCACTTCACGTTATGTACGTGGAGAAACTGTAATAGGAGATCAATGGCCACAGGAAGCCCAAGAATTAGTACCTACAGACCAAGTTCCTGATGAATTCCCAGCTCAAAAGAATCACCCTGATAATTTCTAGGTCCTAAAAGCCTCAATTATTGGACAATATTGCATAGCTAGAGAAGGAAGAGAATTCACTCACCCCGTAGGATGACTTAGTTGTCTGAGACAGAAAGTGTATAATGGCACCACAAAAACAGTCACTTGGTGGAGTTCAAGTCACACAGAGAGAAATCCATTTAGTAAATTCCCAAAGTTGCAAACTGTGTGGACCCACCCGGAGTCCCACCGGGACTGGACAGCCCCCACTAGATTGTACTGGATATGTAGGCATAGAGCTTATGCCAAATTACCCGACCAGCAGGCAGGTAGTTGTGTTACTGGCACTATTAAACCATCTTTCTTCCTACTGCCCATAAAAACAGGCGAAATCCTAGGCTTCCCTGTCTATGCTTCCCACGAAAAGAGAAGCATAGCTATAAGAAATTGAAAACATGATAAATGGCCCCCTAAGAGAATCATGCAATATTATAGGCCTGCTACTTAGGCACAAGACGGCTCGTGAGGATACCAGACCCCCATTTGCATGATCAACTGAATCATACGGTTACAAGCTGTCTTAAAAATAACCACTAATAAAACTGGCAGAGCCTTGACTCTTCTGGCCCGGCAATAAACTCAGATGAGAAATGCTATCTATCGAAATAGATTAGCTCTCGACTACTTGCTAGCAGCTGAAGGTGAGGTCTGTAGGAAATTTAACCATACTAATTACTGCCTATACATAGATAATCAAGGGCAAGTAGTTGAAGACATAGTTACAGATATAACAAAATTGACACATGTGCCCGTACAAGTGTGGCATGGATTTGATCCTGAGGCCATGTTTAGAAAATGGTTCCCAGCACTACGAAGATTTAAAACTCTTATAATAAAAGTTATAATAGTAATAGGAACCTGCTTACTGCTCCCTTGTTTGCTACCTGTACTTCTTCAAATGATAAAAAGTTTCATCGCTACCTTAGTTCACCAAAATGCTTCAGCAGAAGTGTACTATATGAATGAATCACTATCGATCTGTCTTGCAGGAAGACATAGATAAGAAAATGAAAGTGAAAACTCCTACTATTGAGTGAGAGTCTCAAAGGGGAGGAATAAGGCAGGAGACCACCCCTCATATTGTCTTATGCCCAATTTCTGCCTCTAAAGAAAGAAAAAGTAAAAACTAAAAGGCAGAAATGAAATCCACAAGCAGACAGCCCGGCCCCACACCCTAGGCCTGGTAGTTAAAGATCGACCTCTGACCTAATCAGTTATGTTATCTATAGATTACAGACACTGTATAGAAAAGCACTGTGAAAATCCCTATCCTGTTTTGTTCCGGTCTAATTACTGGTGCATGCAGCCTCCACTCACGTACCCCCTGCTTGCTCAATCGATCACGACCCTCTCACGTACACCCCCTTAGAGTTGTGAGCCCTTAAAAAGGACAGGAATTGCTCACTCGGGGTGCTTGGCCCTTGAGACAGGAGACTTGCTGATGCCCCCGGCCAGATAAACCCCTTCCTTCAACTCGGAGTCTGAGGAGTTTTGTCTGCGGCTCATCCTGCTACAGGCTCATTGCAAGTTCCGCCTCCTGGATTCACGCCATTCTCCTGCCTCAGCCTCCCAAGTAGCTGGGACTACAGGCGCACACCATCATGCCCAGCATTTTTTTTTTTTTTTTTTTAGTAGAGACGGGGTTTCACCGTGTTAGCCAGGACGGTCTCAATCTCCTGACCTCATGATCTGTCTGCCTTGGCCTCCCAGAGTGCTGGAATTACAGGCCTGAGCCACCGCGCGGCCATTTTCAATTTTAAAAAACTTTTTTATTACAGAAATGTTCACATATACACTAAAGTAGACAAGCTAATATAAAGAATGTAATGTATTTATGAGGTAGTTTCAAGTTATCAACCCACATTCCCCACCCCTACATTTTAAAGTAAATTTCAGTGATGTCATTTAGTGTACAGATAGTTGCCTAGGGACCTTTAAAATTTGTTCTTTCTTTTTTCTTTTTTTTTTTTTTTTGAATCGGGGTCTCACTCTGTCACCCAGGCTGCAGTGCAGTGGTGCAATTATAGCTGGCTGGAACTACAGGTGCACGCCACCATGCCCAGCTAATTTTTAATTTTTTTTTTTTGTAGAGACAAGGCAGGGGGGTCTCCCTTTTCTTCCCAGGCTGGTCTTGGACTCCTAACCTCAAGGGATCCTCCTGCTTCGACCTCCAAAAGTGCTGGGATTACAGGTGTGAGCCACCATGCCCAAATTTGTACATTCTTTTGGTGTACATATAAGAATACATTTGTAAGATAAATTCCAAAATATGAATATCTTGGGTCAAAGAAGAGCTGAATTTTACATTGATAGCTATTGCCCACTTGTTCTTTACAAAGCGTGTATGGATTTATACTCCTATCAACAATAAATTAGCCAGGCATGCTGACGTGCACTCGTAAACCCTGCTATTCAAAAGGATAGTTGAAGTCCAAGAGTTCAAGACCAGTGTGGGTAACATAGAGAGGCCTCCTCTAGGGGAGGAAAAAAGGGTTTCCCTATATCCTCATCAAAACAATATATAGTCAAACTTTTCATCTTTGCATTTGTGAAAAATTGTATTTTATTTTTGTTTTATGATACTTTAAGAAATCATTTGTATTTTTCTGTAGAAACCTGTTTTTCTCTGAGTTGAACATTTTTGTACTGATTTTTTTAATAATTAGAACTTTTTTAATAATTTAGAACTTTTTGTCATACATTTTACAAATATTTTTCTTGGTTGGGGTTTGTTATATTTATTTGCTATGCAGAAAATTTAGATTTCTATGTAGTTACATTTATCAATTTTTATTTATTTATTTAGAGACAGAGTCTTGCTCTGTCGCCCAGGCTGGACTGCAATGGCGCGATCTCGGCTCACTGCAACCTCTGTCTCCCAGGTTCAAGTAATTCTCCTGCCTCAGCCTCCCAAGTAGCTGGGATTACAGGAACCCCGCCACCACAACCGGTGAAATTTTTGTATTTTTATTAGAGACGGGGTTTCACCATGTTGGTCAGGCTGGTCTCAAACTCCTGACCTCAGGTGATCCACTCACCTCAGCCTCTCCAAGTGCTGGGATTACACGCGTGAGTCACCGTGCCCGGCCTACATTTATCAATTTTTAATTTTATGGTTTATATGCTCTTTGAAAAGTCTCTCACCACTCCAACCTTACTTTTGTTTTTTTCCCTTGTTTTCTTCTGGTATTTTCATAACCTCTCTCTTTTTTTTTTTTTTTTTTTTTGTTTTTTGAACATTTAACTATTTGCTTTGTTTGGAATTTACTTTCATGTGAGGACATCAAATAGATCCAGTGTTTTCCTCCGACATGCCTCGACTGGCAGGAGACCAAAGTTTTCATTCTATTACTAGAGAGTAGCTATAGTTACAGAATCAGGTATCCTGAGAGAGATCATTTATGCCCAGGATGAATAACTTGTCTTATCTATTAAATCTATTAAATCCTTTGGAGATTTCACTTTTTTTTTTTTTTTTTTTTGGGACGGAGCCTGTTACCTAGGCTGGAGTGCAGTGGCGCGATCTCCCAGCTCACCACAAGCTCCGCCTCCCAAGTTCAAGCGATTCTCCTGCCTCAGCCTCTCGAGTAGCTGGGATTACAGGCATGTGCCACCACCACGCCCGGCTAATTTTGTATTTTTAGTAGAGACGGGGTTTCTCCATGTTGGTCAGGCTGGTCTCGAACTCCTGACCTCAGGTGATCCGCCTGCCTCAGCCTCCCAAAGTGCTGGGATTACAGGCGTGAGCCACTGCGCCGGCCCCAAAATTTCAGGTTTTGATAGACGGAATGGGTGAAGAAAATGAGAGCTAGCAAGGAAGAACAGGATGCAGAGGCAAGACTGGAAACTCTCCAAGAAAGGTTAACTTTTCTTAACTCACAAGTTAAACAAAGGCTGCAGGCTCCATGCGGAGCTCAGGCACCCAGCGGTGACCGATCCAGACCAGGTCCTCCCGGAAGCCCGGCCTGCCCGACAGAGCCTTACCACAGAGCCCCCTCAGGCGTCCTCGCCAGGACGGGGCGGAACCCTGTGTAGCTCCCACCCCCGGGACGAAGGCCGCTGCCAGGGCCGCGCAGCCACGCGAGTGGAATCAGAGGAGCCTCGAGGCAAGGAGAGCCGGGCCCCGCTCCCTGCGCCCGTCACCGCCATCCTTGTTGTAGGGAACTCGGCCCCCGAGCCGCCGCCGCGCTCCGTGGGCTCCCAATGAGCCCCTACCCCAGCCACCCGCTGCGTTTGCGCCAGCCTCCCAGACTAGCCTGGGGTGCTGAAATGGGGGCGGGCCCGAGCCACGGGTTGGGGCGGGGTCTGATGCGCGCCCCGCCCCGCAACGCCCCGCCCCCCCGCGCCTACCTCTCCAGTCCGCGCCCTTCGGCGCCCGCCCCGCCAGTCCCCGCCCCTCCTTGCCCAGCCGCTCCCGCCCCTCCCCCGCCTTCCCGCGCGGCCCGCCTCGCCTTCCCCCCCCTCCCGCGCCCCCGCGCGGCCGGCCCCTGGCCTTCCTCCCCTTCCTGCTCCGGGCCCGCCAGTAGCCGGCCGCGGCGGCGAGGGACTAGGACGCGGCTGGAGCGGCGCCGGGAGACGAGGGGCTGAGAGACGGCGGCGGCCGAAAGCGGAGAGATGCTGGGCGTGGCGGCCGGGATGACCCACAGGTACGGGCCGCACCGCGCGGCCCCCGCCACGTCCGCCCCGCAGCTCCCGGCGGGCCTTCGGGCCGGGCCGGGCCGGGCCTGGCGCGGGCGGGCGGCCGGGCTTTCCCCGCGGCCTCCCCCGGTCGGCCGGAGCCCCGACCCCCAGCGCTCGGGTGGCGGCGTGGCTGCGTCCGGGCCCGCGGAGGAGACGGCTGCTGTTCACTCCCGGGTGTCCGCGGTGGCACAGGCGCTGACGCCGCCCCGCTGCTCCGAGAGTTCCATAAGACAAATCAGTATTTGCCGAGCTAATCATTTATCTTCTAGCAGTAGGGATCAGCGGGTCGCAGACGTCTTGGTCTCAGGACCCCTCTTGGGACTAGAGGACCTGGAATGGTGGCTATCTCCATAGACTGTACTAGAAAGGAAAACCGAGACACTGAAGTTACTATTAACTCATTGAATAAATCCGTGGTATGTTAACGTACATACCACATTTTTATGCAACATAGGGTTTTGCTAAAACAAAAGAGTTCGTGGGACGACTGGCGTCCTTTACAGTTTGCGAATCTCTTGAGTTGTCTGACTTAGTAGAGACAACTACGTTCTCCCATCTCCTTTGCAGTTCAGTCTGTTGCGGTATGTTTTTATATGAAGAAAATCTGATCTTACACAGATGTGTAGTTGGAAAAGTGAGTACTGTCTTAATAGCTGTTTCAGATAATTATGGGTATTCTTTATTACTACACCAAAACTACGTAAGTGGAAGTTTCTCAAAGGCTGGTTTGGACGTGGAATCTGAAGCTACTGTCAGCGGACTTTTCACACAGTTTCGTTAAAATTCCTTGGTCTGTCTTGCAGTTTGAATGCAGCTAAAGCTCCTGTCAGTGGCCTTTGCACACAGTTACGTTAAAATTCCTTGGTCTGTCTTGCAGTTTGAATGCAGCTGTTACCCATTGTAACACCATATATTTGTCGTTTGGAAGATATTGGCTCACTGAGTTTGGCAGATCTCAAGCTGACGCATTTCATTAATAGCGCCGAATAACATTCGTTACCATCGCTATTGATTTCATTAGGAAAGTCTTTATGTTAAAAGCCGTCAGATACAAGGTGGTGTTTACAAGTTTTCCAAAATTCTCATTTTCGGTTGAAAGCTTGCTTTTTATCATTGGGAGCAAAATATTGTCAATTGTTTTCCTCAAAGTGACAGACTCACTTTGTTCAGTTTCAAGGAAGTGTCCGGCAATACAGGTTTAAATAACCCTAGTTTGTCAGTTGTTCTTTCCCGTAAAAATGGTATTTCATGACACAAGCAAGTTAATTCAGCTCATCGCTCTATTACAGAAGTGCACGCCTGCCATTTGGTCACAAGTAACAAAAAAGAGTCAAAGCTCAAGATTTGATAACAATAATTTGTACTCCTTCATCATGGACTTTTTTCCTTAAAAAAAAGTATTGACTAGTAAGTTGATATAAAATTTAAAGTATTTGTGAGATATTAAGAATAACGGATATGTAGTGTAATAAAGGAGATAATAGTTTCCTTTTAAGACCTTCAAACCTCTCTGGTCCAGTGTCTCTCCGCATCCTATCCCCTTCCCATCCTGAATTTACCATTAGTAATTTACTTTTTGGAGGGAGAGTAATAAGTTCATTCAAATTATTGTGCATCCGTAACCATCATACATGTCCAGAAATCTTTATCTTACAAAACTGAAACTCTGTACCTATTAAACAATAATTCTCCATTCCCCTCCTCCCGCCAGTCCCTGGCAGCCATCATTTTAATTTCTGTCTATGACTTTGACTACTGCTGGTACCTCATATCTCATGTAAGTGGAATCATACGCTATTTGTTGTGCATGTCATAGTTTGTTCCTTTTTGTTGCTCAGTAGTGCTCCATGGTATGGATGTACAGCAGTTTAACTGTTCACATGTTTGAAGGACATTCAGGCTGTTAGTTTTGGGCTATTAAGAAAGCTACTACGAACAAATAGACAGGTGTTTGTTGTTGTTTTTGAGACAGTGTCTTGCTTAGTCACCCAGACTGGAGTGGAATGCAGTAGCATGATCATGACTTACTGCACCCTAGACCTCCCAGGCTGAAGCAATCCTTCCACCTCAGTCCCCCAAGTAGCTGGGACTACAGACACACGCCACCATGCCTGGATAATTTTTGTATTTTTTTGGTAGAAACAGGGTTTCGCCATGTTGTCCAGGCTAGTCTGGGGGTCCCAAACTCCTGGGTTCCAGCAGTCCACCCACCTCAGCCTCCCAAAGTGCTGGAATTTTAGAGCCACTGTGCTCAGCCTGTCTAAGTTTTATGTGAATGTAACTTTTCCTTTTCTGGGATAAATGTCCAAGAGTGTGCAATTGGCAGGTTGTACAGAAATCGTATGTTTAGTTTTTTGAGAAACTGACAGTTTTTTTCCAGCATGACTGTACCATTTCACTTAAAAAGTGAAATTGACATTATTTTCCTGTGAGTACATAAAGGTAAAGAATTCAGGGACAGTACCACGGCCCTCTTTAGTGCTAAGCGGCCAGCAGTTGTACCGACTGTTGTTTTTGCACTATCTGTGTGTCAACACAGTCCACAATGCTACAGTGACTTCTTAGGAATATCTTAGTATGATGAAAATAGTTTTGATCTCTCGGATCCCTTAGAAAGGTCTTGGAGACCCTCAGGAGTTCAAGGCCATACTTTAAGAACCACTGTTAAAGACATAATCCTAAATGATGAAGGATATGCAGGTATTGGGGATATTTAAAAAGGAACAAATACAAGGTTTCTCTTAAAATTGCTCTTGAATGCTTGT
Organism: Homo sapiens; assembly: GCF_000001405.40. NCBI lineage: Eukaryota > Metazoa > Chordata > Mammalia > Primates > Hominidae > Homo > Homo sapiens. Next base: position 108,537,394 of record NC_000002.12, read on the forward strand.
GGTAGTGTGTGCCTTGTAGTTTTGGCTAGTTTTAGTAGGATGTAATAACTAAGACTTGGACCACCATGGAAGAAGCAACTTTCTGCCTTTCAGGATTTTCCCTGATAAGAAAATGGCCAGTGCCATTATGAAGAGGGACAATGCCATGGGCCTAAGTGTATTCACACTTTTCAGTGCTCTGTGCCTGTTTGTATGGTGAGAAAATCGAACTGTTGATTTTTAAGAAAGCTAAGGAAAGTTTGGTGGTACAAAAGATCATTTCAGTTCTGGTGGTTCCGGTTTTTGCAGGCTTAGAGAAAACTGTCCATCAGGATTGTGCTGTCTTGATTTTATTTGATCATTCCCACCCTTTTCCCTTTGCTGTAGCCCCTTGACCTGTCTCCTGGGCAGTTCTTTCCTTTGCTAAATGTGAGTACAACAAGTAGGCTTTCCTTTCCTCCTAGAGAGGGGGACCTTGGAGCCCCTCCACTGGGTCAGAGAAACTTCCATAGCTGCAGCAGATCAGTAACAGGAGAGCCGAGCTTTACTCTGAAAGCCTCTATTTTCAATAATGTTGTGTTTGCTCTTTGGATAATCATTTAAATAAATAAACCTCAGTATAGGTCATGTTCTTACCTAGGTTTGCACTTAAATAGAAGGAAAAACATCTCAAACCATTTTGTTAGTTTTATAGTTCTCGTAACTACACTTTAAGCTGTGGTTTTCCACCCACAGGGATGTCATCTACATTATATGCTGGACTGTTGCCACATTGTCTTCCAAAAACTTTAATTTTAAGACACTTGAGAAGCAGGAGCTGCACTACCTGTTGCCATATACTGTGCATTCTTCAGCAACAGAGGTTTCCTTTTCACTCTTTCTGATATAATCTCATCTCTTTTATTTGATCATATCACACATTTCCACCCTGGAGCTTACTGCAGGAATGAGTAAGGGAGTCATTTTCCTGCATCTTTTTTCACGTTGGAGCACGTTTTGGAGCTTGATGAGTCTTCAGTGACATTTAACAGTGGGGCGGGACAGCTGCAGATAAAGCAAGTGCTGAAGAGTGCATTCTGTGAGAGGTAGGAAGAAAGGTGAAGGCAGTAGTTCAGCTGCTGGGAGTATGTGCTTGGCAGTGGGAGGCACGGGACTCAGCATCAGCACACCAGGAATCCAGGGCTTTCAGGATGTCTGAGTAGCAGGCAAGGTAAAGCAAGATAACAGACAACATGCATTTACAAGTAATGTTTACACATACTTTCCCTTTCTACAAAAATGGAATCATAGTCATACTATTCTGCAATTGCTTTTTTTAGTATTAAAAAAGTTACGGGAAAACATGCAAAACAAAATTTACTATTTTAACCATTTTTGAGTGTACAGTTCTGTGGCATTATGTACATTGACGTTGCTGTGCAACCATCACTACCCTTCCTTCCAAGAACTTTTTCATCTTCCCAAACTGAAACTCTGTGACCAGTAAATACCAACTCCCCATTTCTTGCAATTGCTTTTTTACTTCAACAAGCTGTCTTAGAGCGGTGTATCTGGGTTTACCTTATGTTTTTTAACCTTAGTTTTAATGGCTGCATAGTATTTCACAGTGTACATGTGATATGATTTGTACATCCAGTCCTTGACTAGTGGTTATTTGGGTTCTATTTTTTAATTATCACAAACACTTTGAACATCTCTGCCAGAGTGTTTTTTGTTTTGTTTTGTTTTTGAGACAAGGTCTCACTCTGTCACCCAGGCTGGAGTAAAGTGGTGCAATCATGGCTCACTGCAGCCTCAACCTCCTGGGGTCAGGTGATCCTTTCACCTTAGACTTCTGAGTAGCTGGGACAACAGGTACATGCCACTATGCCCGGCTAATATTTTGTATTTTTTGTAGTGACAGGGTTTCCCCATCTTGCCCAGCCTAGTGTTGAATTCCTGGCCTCAAGCGATCCGCCCTTCTCGGCCTCTCAAAGTTCTGGGATTACAGGCGCGAGCCACTGCACCCAGCTACCAGAGTTTTCATAGCTTTCTGAGTGTAGAGTTAGTATGTGCATGAGTGTTTGGGTCCATGTTCTAGTCCTAGTTCTGTCCCTTCATGGCTCTTTGACTTTGGCCCTGTCAGCGTCTTTAAGCCTCAGATTCTTAATTTATAAAATAATCCCACCTGTCTCAGAGGTTGTTGTGATAACTAAATATGAAGGCAAATGCAAATATTTCTGAAAGGATACCGATGAAATTTTTAGTGATTGTTGCTTCTGGAGAGGGAGTCTAGGCACCTGAGAATCCAGGATGAGAGGGACATTTTTTGTTGTATAGCTTTTTGTACTGTTTTGATTTTTAAAATCGTGTATGTTTTCATTTTTAAACCATTTAACACCATGCCAGGAACATAGTAGATGCTCAATGAAGTCATCATTTCCCATCATCCTGGTTCTTTTCCTCCGGACTTATACTGCTGCTAATGGCACCTAACATGGTTGCTTTTGTTTCTTCCTGTCCTTCCCTCCCTATAGCCACCTTCTTGCTGAGTTCTTACCTTCGAATTTTCTCTTGAATCCATCGTTTTCTTTTTTCACTCCTTTCTTACTGATTTCCTTTTCACCCTGGTTCTGAAAATCTTTCAAATGAACATAAGATGATAGTATTAAGACTGGGAAAGACTTGAGAGAATGCAGAGCCAGTGTCCTGTGGACTGTAAACTTATTCCAACTGGCTTGAAAAAAAAAATCTATGCACATACTAAGTGTTTGAAGTGGAACAAATGATGTTTTGTGAATGTTTCTAATTTTCATTTAACAGGTGATAAAGTACAGATTCCTTTTTTTTTTTTTTTTTTTTTTTGAGACGGAGTCTTGCTCTGTTGCCCAGGCTGGAGTGCAGTGGCATGATCTCGGCTCACTGCAGGCTCCGCCTCCCGGGTTCAAGTCATTCTCCTGCCTCAGCTTCCCAAGTAGCTAGGACTACAGGCGCCTGCCACAACACCTGGCTAATTTTTTGTATTTTTAGTAAAGACGGAGTTTCACCGTGTTAGCCAGGATGGTCTCTACCTCCTGACCTTGTGATCTGCCCGCCTCGGCCTCCCAAAGTGCTGGGATTACAGACTTGAGCCACCGCGCCTGGCTGATAAAGTACAGATTCTTTTAAAGGGTTTGTGGAATTCGTGGTAGTATTTATATAGTGCATGCTTTATCTGTTAACGTGCTAAAAAGACAATCATGGTGACATGAAGATCTAAGAAAATTTATTTAACATTTAAAAAGTGGGTTTATATGTGAAAAAGTTGGAACCTACTGAACTCATGCACTTTAGTGGGTCCCCTGCATTAGCCCTTTATTTAAATACACTGCTTCTTTATTTTACAGGACAGGATTTGCCTAGAAGGTAAAATAGTTTATTCAAGGCCGAAAGTCAGTTAACAGCAGGGTTAGGAATACAGCCCAAGATGTGGTTGTATTGTGGGGTCTCCTCTGCTATATTACGTTGGTTTGCTCTGTTACTTTATTCACATTGCATTGTTACAGTTTGTTGTGTGTATATATTTTATCTTTTTGTCTACAGTATAGAGTAAATACCTTGAGGACCAAGACCTATAGCTGAGCCCATTAACATAGTACATTTGGAAATGTCTGAATGAATTATGGATATTGGCCCAGAATTGTTCTATTACAGGTGTCCTGGATGTCAGTCTCTTTCAAGTGATTCCTTTTGAAGAACACTTCAGAAGTGTTGTTGAAGACCTGGTATTCCTAGCCACATGTGCTGGTGCTTGCAACTTTTTCCTCCCCAGAGAGATCCCTTCCTATTGACGGGCTTCCTTACCAATGCATCAGCTGAGTGACAAATGTTACCAACTACTTAAACAGATATGTTTATTTCTCATTGGTAAATGTAGCTGTTGTTTTGTTTTTGTTTGCTTACTTTTAAAGCTGGGCACATTGCTGTCCATTTTAAAATTTGCCTTGTTAATACAGTGAGGAAGGGAGGGAGAATGGACATTGGGTAGGCAGTTGCAGCTTTTGCCACAGCTAGCTGTTTCTCCTTCTCAGTGCAGTAGATTCAACAGGATTTGTTTTTCTGTGCAGGTACAGTGCAGGTGCACCTGACTGATCTGTCATCCATGTTGGTTTCAGATTTTTCTAAAGAACTACTTTGGTCACATGTTTTCAAAATATTGAGAAGCTGCTTATTGCCTGTCAAGTAGGTCCAAACTCCAGCGCCTGGAATTTAAGGCTGTTTGTGATCTGGCCCAACCCATCTTCATAGCCTTGTCACACACTGTTTCCTTAGCCTTTGTCTCTCTAACCCACTGCCTTTTTCTGAAAATGATGATTTCCTGCCTCAGTGCTGTTCATGCCCTTCTCTGGGCCTGGAAAATCATCATCTTTTGTGTTTTCTTGGCAGCTGGAACAAAATTGCCGCTTCTCTCATAAAATAACGAATTCCTGGAGCATTAATTTAGCCCCCGCTGTGTAGTAGGGAATTAGGGATTCAGAGCTTTTTCTGTTTTCCCAAAGCATTTTGAATTCTTTTTTGGTAATTACCAATTTCTGTTTTGTTTTATAGTTTTTTGTATATATGTCTAAGCTTTTCTGCCAAAGTGTAATCTCTGGAAGTAAAGGAATGTCTTAATCAAATTTGTTAAATATCCAAAGAAAAACAAGCTGCACAGTAGGCTTTATTTCTCCTTTTATTTGTTGTTAGTGAATCGAAAAGTTCAGGGCTAGCTCTGTTTAGTGTCTTTGACGTTGTTTGAATAAATTCACAAAACTTTGAGTAAAACAGGATCATTTTCTTTGGTTTAGCTTGACTCTACAGTGTATTACAGACTGCTGGCAGAGACCCAACATCATGAAACATTTAGGAGAAATTCAGATGATATTTAGGCATCCTTGTTTAGTTTCCTCCTAGGCCACTGTTTTGGAAACTCGGTTAGTCATAACCACCTTCTCTTAATTACCTACTTCCACACAAATACCTTAAGGATATTGTTTTATATAATCTTACCATCACAGCCACACCACGAAGTAGGATCTTTATATCTATTTTACAGATAAGGAAACCAAGCTCAAGAGGTTAAGAACTCACCAAGTCATACAATTAGTGACAGCTGGGATTCATACCGAAGTGCCCTGTAGAGCCCTGTGTCTCCTCACTTCATGGCACTGGTCAAGAAGAGGTCACAGCTCGCTAATTGTTTTTCCAAGTCTCAAGGCTTTTTCTTGGCATGTCCAGACAACCTATCCAGTTTTACTCCCTCCTACCCTTACGCTTATATCATCTTATTGCCAACCATACCACAGTCCTTCTTTCTGAACTTGATTTTTGTTACTCTGCTAGGAGTAGCCTTTCCTTTTTTAAGGGGGTAGGAGTTCCCAAGTCTTACAACTCAAGTCCCAGCTTAAACTCCTCTGTCTTGAAGATGACTTCCTTGGCTGCTTCAACACCTATTAGGCTTTCTTTTCTTGACCTCCCGGAGAATGCATTGGGTAAGATTCAGTTCTCTACCCAAATTTAATGTGTCTGTATTTGTGTGCAACACACAAACTTCATTATTTTTATTTGAACTCTTGGCTGTGCTTGCATATGTGAAAGTGATATTTACAAATTTTGGAACACATCTTTCAATACAATTTGTGTCCATTATATACACTGTACTATGCTATAGGGCATGGAGTATACAGCTGTAATAGAGTGAAGGACACATTGTCTAATATTGTAGCTTTGTGTGTACAAGTCCCATAAGAGACTGTTTAAAAAAGTCTTTTAGAAATTTCACTGGGCATGGTGGCTCACACCTGTAATCTCAGCACTTTGGGAGGCTGAGGTGAGAGGATCGCTTGAGCCCAGGAGTTCAAGATGAGCCTGGGCAACATAGTGGTACCTCATCTCTACAAAAAATTTTAAAATTAGCTGGGCATGGTGGCACGTGCCCGTAGTCCTGTGGCAGGCTAGGTCTCACTAATGCAGGCCTCCATAACAACTGTTTCAATACTGACTGACTGGTTAAGTGAAATAGTAAAAGCTAAACAAGTCAGTGCCCTTATCAAAGGCTGGAGTGTAACAGAAACCTACCAAGAGTTTTGCCTAGGCCTTTCCTGGGCCTTAAAGCATGAGAAAATAACAAAAGAATTCTTAACAGGACCCTTTTAGGATTAAACAAATTTTATTGTGGGTCTGAAAAAACTCCCCAAACCTCTGTGATTTAGTAGGAGACAAGGGTAATCACCTCAGCACCTGGACCCATTTAGATGAAGTAAATCTACTGAGGATCCAGAAGAAGGTCTCCAGCACTCAGACCTTAGTTATAGATTAAAAGAAGTTAATCACTTACGTCTTCAGGTGAATGCACACTTACCTGTAGACATATAGCTTAGAAGGTATATAAGCTCTGGAAAACTGCAATTTTGAGTTGGTCTGGTGATAATTTCCAGGCCTTCTCCCTGTAACTGGTTGCAGAAATAAAAACTCTCTTCCTCCCCTGTTCATCTGCATCTCGTTATTGGGCCACGAGAAATAGCAGCCCAACCCTCAGTTTGGTCCAGGAAGAGTCCCAGCTACTCAGGAGGCTGAGGTGGGAGGATCACTTGAGCCTGGGAGGTTGAGTCTTGCCACTGCACTCCAGCCTGGGCAACACAGCAAGACTCTTTCTTTCTCTGTCTTTCTCTCCCTCTCTCTTTTCTCTCTTCTCTCTTTCCCTGTCTCTCTCAAAAAAAGTAAAAAGAAATTTAAAGGAGGAAGTGGTAATTTGTTAGTAGTTATTATAGATTAGTTGTTACTTATTGAAGACATTAGGACCAGTCAAATATTATTGGATTCTTAGCAGGTAGAGGTGTATTGGTCATCGTAGGGTTCAACCAGAGGCCTGGCTTATTTGGAATGTTGTAGGGAAAATTCAAGAATCAGGGAGAACAGTGCTCTCAAAACATGGGCTGCAGACTTCTAATGGCATGGGGTTCATGCTAAAAATGCTGATTGCTCAGCCTCATCCCATACTTCTTGAGGGATGTATGTCATGAAATCTATGCTTTTTAATTTTTTATTATGGAGGATTTCAAACATATACAAAAATACAGAGAATAATATGTCTCTGTGTGTTTCTGCTCAGCTTCAACAATTATTATTTTATTTATTTATTTTTGAGGCGATGTTTTTGCTCTGTTGTCCAGGCTGGAGTACACTGGTGCTCTTGGCTCATTGCAACCTCTGCCTCTTGGGTTCAAGCGATTCTCCTGCCTCAGCCTCCCAAGTAGCTGCGATTACAGGTGCCTACCACCATGCCTGGCTAATTTTTGTATTTTTAGTAGAGACGGGTTTTCACCATGTGGGCCAGGCTGGTCTCAAACTCTTAACCTCAGGTCATCCACCCACTTTGGCCTCCCAAAGTGCTAGGATTACAGGTGTGAGCCACCACACTGGGCCAGCCTCAATAATTATTGACTGATGGCAAATCTTTGACTGAAGGCCAATCTTTTTTCACTCTTCTCTCCCCTGTGTCATATCATAGAGATTTTAATATGTATCCTTAAAAGATAAGGACTCTTCAAAAAACTGTTTAAACATAACCTCAGCATCACACCTGAAAAAGATGAGTAGTAATTCCTTGATATCATCAACTACACAGTGTTTAAATTTCTGTTTATCCCAAACATCGATTTTATTTTGTGGTTTTTCTAAATTGAGATCTGAATAAGGTTCACAAATTTGATAGGTTGATAAGTCTTTTAGTCTCTTTTAACATATAAGTATACCTTTCATCTTTTTCTTTTCTCTTGTGATTTTGTTGTTGCTGTTGTTGAAGAAATTGCATGGTTATCTTGAAGAATTTCCTGCCATCTGGATTTACCAGCTTATATCCTCAGGGTATATGGTTTAACATCCTCATATATATAATTTTGTTGCCCAGGCAGGAGTGCAGTGGCTTGATGTCGGCTCACTGCAACCTCCGCCTCCCGGGTTCAAGGGATTCTCCTGCTTCAGCCTCCCAAGTAGCTGGGATTACAGGCATCCACCACCTCGCCTGGCTAATTTTTTGTATTTTTAGTAGAGACGCGGTTTCACCATGTTGGCCTGGCTGGTCTTGAACTCCTGACCTCGGTGATCCACCTGCCTCGCCTCGGCTTCCCAAAGTGCAGGGATTACAGGCCTGAGTCACCGTGCCGGTGCATCCTCTATTATATTAATATATTCTGTAAATTGGTAGTTGGATCTAAAAAAGCAGTTCTCAGTTCTTGGTCTTGGGACCACTTTACTCTCTTAAAAATTATTGAAGACTGCTGTGTCTTTTGGAAATAGGTAACTTGTTTGATCTTAAGGGCTCATAGCTGGAGGAGAACTTGCCTCAGGATGAATGGTGCCTTGAGTCTTACCCATATCTGATTCAGATGCACCTCTTTCATAATAAATGGGAAAATGACAGAACTATTTTACCTCACAGGCTGTACAAAAACAGGGACAGGCTGGTTTGGCCTCTGGACCCCACTATGCAGACTTTCAATCTGGATTATTATTAATGCATTGAGGGTTTCAAAGATGGAAATATTCTAATTGTTATTGAAGACATTGCAGGTCCTAGCTGCTGTACTTCTAAAAAGAGAAGCCCTCCTTAACTATTTAGTAATCTGATGATACAATCTGACAGATTACACATCACTCTTATGTTGTTAGCATGTAATCCTGTCTAGTCTCCTACTTAATAATATGTGTATTGCCTTAGCATATATCACTTTAGTATAATACTGGTTATAGAATCTGTGCTCCAAAAGTACATTGTCTGTGGTATCTAGATAGTCCTTCACTTTTGGATGCTTTAGGTTTACAGAGTACTAAATTAGGGTTGAGGTGTCACTTTCTGACTTGGACTAGTGATTGTTTTCCCTTGCTCTCAGGCTACCGCCTTTTTTTTTTTTTTTTTTTTTTTAGGAGACAGAGTCTTACTCTGTCCTCGAGGCTGGAGTGTGTGCAGTGGATCGATCATAGCTCACTGTCAACCTTGAACTCCTGGGCTTCAGGGTTCCTCCTGCCTCAGCCTCCCAAAATGCTGGGATTACAGGTGTGAGCCACGGTGCCTGGGCCGCCCTCCTACTCTGTAAGTGCATGTTGCTCTTGTACTATGAGCCCCTCTGGTTAGGATGGCCTCTGCACTTCTTGGAAGTCCACTGGAATGGTGATAACTTCCCACTCATATTAAGTGATCCCTGTTCATTGGCTGATTGGCATTCCATCATTAATGTTTGGGTCATTTATAGCTAAACCAGCAGAGCCTAGTGGATCATTCTCTAGCGAGCCTGTCTAATTTGAGTGATCTTTTTTTTTTTTTTTAAAGACAATGGTATAAATAGTTTTATGTTAAATATCATACAGACTTTGAAATGTTCAATGAAAGATAGAAGGAAGATAATCTCTAAAGGGCAAAGTAAGTTGTTTATGGAGACTTCTATAAAGCACCTGTAAATCATTTGGGTGTCAATACTGTGCATGTTTTATAATGGAGAATAAAGTTTCCTTAATGATGCTTGTGTTTGAAGTATAACGTTTTGCTTTTCAGTAATGGTCTCCCTGACTATAATTGTGTCTATAACTTTAGTCTGTTACGGAAAAAATGAAATGGCTGATAGATAAGAGTTCTGATTTCATTATGAGGTAAGAAGAAGGGTTGATGGAGTTCATTGGGGGAGTTGTGGTTTGAAGTTGTTTAATGTAAATTTTGAATAAAGGTTTTACCTTGCGCTTTGGATTGCAAAGGTGCAGTTAGACTTTGACTTCAACACAAAACTGGTGTGCTTCCACACTTACTGATAGTGGTGTTAAACTTTTCAGTTGCTGGGAAATAGGCCAAGTCCTGTTGTGGATTGGGTGGTGGATAGTCAGGCAGGACATCCTTAGGGATTGCTCTGCTGTACCCTTCATCACCAAGGGATGGTATAGGGCAGAGGTGGAATTGATGAGGTTGAGGGTGTCTTTCTCTTCAAACCCTTAGAACATGATGCTTAGTGTCTCCAGCATAGGTCAGTTTGCTAACTGCTGGCTCCAAGAGGGTGGACACTCTCTTGGGTGGGATAGTTCTCTCATAGCTGGGCCCACAACACAGATGCAGAAAGAGACAGGTAAAAATGACAGGTGCCAAGCCCATAACTAGCCAAGAGGGACTGTTGGCAGTTTGACTTATGTCTTCTGTCCAGTTGAGATTTGTTCTTTGAGTGTCCTAGAAGCTAAAGCATAGGAATATAGGTTAAAATTTAGCCTGGTTCCTCAGGCTTGTGTTGAACGCCTCTTTCTGTTATTCTAATGGGAAGTTTCAGAACAAAACAATTATTCATTCTCCACTTTCAAATTTTTCCTTGATAGAGTGTGTGGAGGAAATGGTGCCCAAAATACCAGCATTTAAGGTCATTGCCTACATTAGAATATATCGGTTCCCTTGGGTTTTACTGGATTGCTGTCAGAATACTTCTTTCTTTAGAATACAATACGGACTTTGTCATATTGAAGCATGTTTTAGGGAATATATAGTAGTCTTAATTAGAATCTGGAGATGGAGTAATTCATCCGTCAAATGAGCAGCCTTTTGTTTTAGGAGTGTGGGTAGTGATATTTTTGCAATAGCCGTGAAACCTTTGTAAACATGGCTAGAGACTGGTTTTCTCTTTTTAAAAATGGGTTCAAGAAAGTAGGAGCTTTGTGACTAGCCCCATGAAATCTGGAAAGCTGTGTTCGCACTTAGCCCATTTCAGGTCATTGAATGTGTTTACATGACTGAGGATAATGATGAAAAAATGTGGTTAAAGATTTTAAAATGATGGATATCTAGGACACTAGGTTACCTGGTTAATAAGATGGATGAGAATTACAATGATATAACTTTGAGGTGGGTGTAAGGGTAATTGCTGAAACAATTTTAACAATGTTTGGGTTTTGTTTTTTTTTTTTCAATGCTGGCTAACCCACATCAGGAATTGAGAACTTTTTTGTCTTTTGGGCATTTGCCAGATCTATACAAAGCATGAAGCATCTACAGATGTCTGTTTAACACAATTCCTTTATACTTCGTAATGGAATGTTTTAACCCTGAGCATGTGGTATATACTGTATGAAATGTACTTTGTTTTAGACCTGAGTTTTCCAGTATTCGTCAGGTGCTTTCCCTTTGGGAGTGGTATTCATGATGACAGAGGACGTTGGTGAAGTGTAGAATGTGATGCTTAATTTTAATACAGAACTGTCTATTGAGTTTGATGAAAAACAAAACAAGTTCCAGCAATTCCTCAAAATTTCAGAGGTCTGTTCCATGCTCTCCCCACCAGCCCCCCTGGCAAAGGGTCATTTTGGGACCGTGAGAACAGACAAAAACCACATCTCTGATAATTTGCTCATTCATTTAGAATGCTTTCTATGACGGAAGTTACGGCGATAGGTTTTGGAATGTGGAGGGTGATGGGAACTCCAAGGATATAAGGCATGGGAACTCTACGAATATAAGGCTTGGGAACTTTTTAGAAATGAAGTTTTGTTTTGCACTGTCATGCTTTCCAGGATAAAGCATTACTGGAGATTAGCTGAACAAATGAGATGAAAGCCAAAATATGCAGTTGGATATTTTAGATAAATTTTGATAAGACGTTACTTTCTAAGAATATAGCACTTTTCTACAAAAAGCTACCTATGCTTTTTGAGATACTTAAAAATCTCATGCTCATGGGACAGTGCATTGCATATAGTAGCCATTCAGTGAATACTTGTCAAATGAATAAATAATGATGCGCAGTATATTTTATTTGGTATATATGGCTTTTTGTTTGGTTTAGTGAAGTATATTTGTGGGTAGTTGCTAATAAGTAACTTTTCAGTTGACTTGACATTAAATTAGACATGGATTATTTCAATAATAATGTACAAGTAAAGTGTTTCTTTTTTTTTTTTTTTTTTTTTTTTTTTTTTTTTGAGATGCAGTGTCGCTCTGTCGCCCAGGCTGGAGTGTAGTGGCATGATCTCGGCTCACTGCAACCTCTGCCTCCTGGGTTCAAGCAGTTCTCCTGCCTCGCCCTCCCTAGTAGCTGGGACTACAGGCGTGTACCACCATGCCCAGCTAATTTTTGTGTTTTTAGTAGAGACAGGGTTTCCCCATGTTGGCCAGGATGGTAAGTACAGTGTTTGCTTTCTCCATTAGGAGGCAATGCAGGAACAAGTTATTTGATATGGGAAGAGGTTATATTTTAGATAAATGAAGCTTCCAGATTACTGGATTAAATTTTTTAGCTGAAACATTAATTTTTTTCTTACGAATTTCCTCAACTTTCCATATTAATATATAGCTTCAATACTATTAATCAGAATTCCAAGTGGAATTCTTTTGGTAAAATGGACAGAATTATTATGAAGTTCGTTGAGAGGAATAAACAGGCAAGAATAGCAAAAAGCTAATTATTAAGAAGAAAGACAAATGGATAAAACCTGTTAGTAAAATAATTTGTCAGTATGTGTCAAGTTTAAAATGATTTGTAACTTGTAATTTGTAATTTCTACTTTTGTTAATCAAATCTAAGAACGTGTGGAGAAAACTGGGTGTGAGTAGATTTTGGTAGCATTATTTATACTACCAGAAAGTTTGAAACTATGTAGATAATAAAAGGATCACTTAAAATGCCTGATGATATCCTAGAGTTTAGTGAAATTATATAATATTTATCATATTTATTAAAGCTTTGTAATATTTTAATGTCATGACATATTATTCAGAAAAACAGGATGTGAAACTATAAATATGGTATGATTAGAACTTTATAATGTTTAAACATAAAATGACTAGGAAAAATACAAAGTGTTTTTTTAAAAATAAACAGCTGGCTGGGCGCGGTGGCTCACCCCTGTAATCCCAGCACTTTGGGAGGTTTAGGTAGGAGGATCGTGAGGTCAGGAGATCGAGACCATCCTGGCTAACACGGTGAAACCCCATCTCTACTATAAATACAAAAAAAAAATTAGCCGGGCGCGGTGGCAGGTGCCTGTAGTCCCAGCTACTGAGGAGGCTGAGGCAGGAGAATAGCGTGAACCTGGGAGGCGGAGCTTGCAGTGAGCCAAGATCACGCCACTGCACTCCAGCCTGGGTGACAGAGCGAGACTCCATCTCAAAAAAATAATAATAAAAAAAAATAAATAAATAAAGCCCAGGCACGGTGGCTCACGCCTGTAATCCCAGCACTTTGGGAGGCTGAGGCAGGCGGATCACAAGGTCAGGAGATCGAGACCATCCTAGCTAACACAGTGAAACCCCATCTCTACTAAAAATACAAAAAAATTAGTCGGGCGTCGTGGCGGGTGCCTGTAGTCCCAGTTACTCGGGAGGTTGAGGCAGGGGAATGGCGTGAACCTGGGAGGCAGAGCTTGAAGTGAGCTGAGATTGTGCCACTGCACTCCAGCCTGGGCGGCAGAGAGAGACTCCGTCTCAAAAAAAAAAAAACCCAGCTTTAGGCCAGGTGCAGTGGCTCATGCCTGTAATCCCAGCACTTTGGGAGACCGAGGTGGGAGGATTGCTTGAGGCCAGAAGTTTGAGACCAGCCTGGGCAACATAACAAGACCTCATCTCTACAAAAAAAAAATTGTTTTCTAATTCAGCTGGGCGTGGTGGCACACACTTGTAGTCCCAGCTGATTGGGAGGCTGAGGTGCGAGGATCACTTGAGCCCAGGAAGTTGGGTGCAGTGAGCTGTGATTGCACCACTGCACTCCAGCCTGGGCGACAGAGCAAGAGCCTACCTCAAGAAACAAAAACAAACTCACACACAGCTTCGTTGAAGTATAATTTAAATGCTATAAAATTCACTTGTTGCAAGTGTATAAGGCTTTTATGTATTTATACAGTTGCACAACCATTACAACAATGCTGTTTGAGAATATTTTCATCACTCCAAAGTTCACTCATACTATATATATATAAATATATATTTTTATATAATAGATTTTATTTATAATATAAATATATAATGTATTATGTATTATATATTTATATATAACTGTATATTTTATATTTATATATTTAGCTATAATATAATTATATAGTTAAGTATATATAGTATATATAATATATAGTTAGCACACTCTATATACATATATGCGCGCGCGCGCACACACACACACACACACACACACACACACACACACACACGAGACCTCTGTAATTCTCACAAATCCTGGACGTTCAGATTGAAAATGATCCAAGGCATGGTTCCTATATATATATGTATATATATGTATATATGTGTATATATATGTATATATGTGTATATATATGTATATACACATATATACATATATACACTGTATACATACACTAGTATATATGTATATAGTATATGTATAATGTATATGATATACAATATACATACATACCTATGTATATTGTATATCATATACAATATACAGATATATCTGTATATATGTATATGATATACAATATACATATATACACATATACTGTATATATACTATGTAGTATATATGTATACATATGTATATATGTGTATATACATGTATATATGTATATGTGTGTATATGTGTATATATGTGTGTGTGTGTGTGTGTGTGTGTATATATATATATATATATGTATATATATGGAGGAACCATGCCTCAGATCATTTTCAATCTGAACGTCCAGGATTTGTGAGAAGTACAGAGGTCTCTAATGTGTGTATATGTGTGTGTATGTGTGTATATATACATATGTATATTGAGAGAGTTAACTATATATTATATATACTATATATACTTAACTATATAATTATAGTTAAATATATAAATATAAAATATACAGTTTTATACAGTATATATAAAATATACAATATATAATACATAATACATTAGTTATATATACTATATATACTATATATACTACACGTATAGTATATATATGAAACTATATATATACTATACGTGTAGTATATATATGAAACTATATATATACTATACGTGTAGTATATATATGAAACTATATACTATACGTATAGTATATATATGAAACTATATATACTATATATACTTAACTATAATTGTATATAGTTAAAAATATAAATATAAAATATACAGTTAAATATATTAATATATAATAGTAATACATTACAGTTACATATAATATATAAATAAAATATATAAATATATCTTATATATTTATATATATACACTATGAGTGAACTTTGGGGTGTATATATATATATTTTGGGTGTGTGTGTGTGTGTGTGTGTGTGTGTTTTTGGAGACAGGGTGTTGCTCTGTCGGCCATACTGCATGATCACCACTCACTGCAGCCTTGACCTCCCAGGCTGAAGCAATCCTCCCAAGTAGCTGGGACTACAGGCATGTGCCACCATGACAAGCTAATTTTTACATTTTTTTGTAGAGATAAGGTTGCACCGTGTTGCCCAGGCTAGTCTGGAACTCCTGGCCTCAAGCAATCCTTTCAGCTTGGCCTCCCAAAGTGCTGGAATTACAGACATGAGCCACTGTGCCTAGTCCAATTTAACTATAAACACCAGAAGTTTCTTCAGTACTTAGTTTCTGAGGCATAGAGATAGATTGGGGAAAATGAAGGATATTAATCTGAGAATCCTTTGTCACGGCCATATCCAATGAAAAATAAACGAAGTTTAATCAGGATGGCTCTGAAGAAGGTACCAGTGCATGAGAAATCACTGTGGACAGTGATGGGATGTTAAAGAGAAAAGCATAAAAAGAGTCATAATTCATGTGGGCCTCCTCCTTACATAAGAGAATATGCTGCCACTTTCTAGCATGGTCTTCCATGCTCTCTCCTGGACACAATTTGTAGGGTTCAAGGTTTCCTTCTCTCACTGCCCAGATGCAGCCTGGGTGCAGATAAATATCTTTTGAGGGAGAGAGTTAGTACTTGTCTGGGGCTCACTGCCGTTTGTGTGCTTTTAACTGTTGGTCCTTTTTAAAATCATTGCTCCACGATTGAAGCAAATGACCTTTAACTGTTATATAAACTTGGAGAGCCAGTTGAGGACAGTGCTTTATGCTTGGCAGGAGTAAGTGCGGGTCATAATAGAAGCTTTTTAGCAGTGGATTCTGGGCTAAAGTTTCTCTAGGAAAGGCCCAGGATCACACAATCCCAAAATACTAGAGTTAGAAGAGACTTTAGAGAACTATCCAGCTCTCTTTCATTAGAAATAATGATAGTTTTTCATTGACATTCCTATTTTGTGGTCTTCTCTTTGCTTGGAAGGTAAATCCCTTGCTTTGCAAAACACTCTTATTAGTGCCATAAACTACTAAGGAACAGGAAATTCCAAATTGCAGGCTAGTACAGACCCAGACGAGCCTTCCCAGAATCTCTGGGGAACTGGCTTCAGGCCGTACACCCCCAGAACTGCTGTGATGACTCTGTTGGACATTAGAGTATATGGAGGAGCCATGCCTGAGATCATTTTCAATCTGAACATCCAGGATTTGTGAGAATTACAGAGTTCTCTGGTGTATGGGGAAAACTGGGATTACTCTTCTACCATACGGAGAACTTCGAATGATAGGGACAAACATTTGTGTAGTGTTTGATGATATAGATAGGCATGATTATCCTCATTCTCTTTTATTTTTTTAGATAAGCAAACCAAGACTCAGGAAATACTTGTTTACTCACATAGTTGGTTGGTAAAATGACAAAGCTGATGTTGAGACCTGGGCCCTGGAATTTCCGATCCTATGCATTTCCTGTAGCATTACATTTTCTCTGGGAAATCCATTCAATGTTGGGGAACACCTTGTTATTCTGAAGCCAAGGAAATTGCCAGGAGAGGATAGAAGAGGTGGTGGAGGAATGACACCTCTTGGTGGGGTCAGTGGTATTGAGATCCTGTGGAAAATCTAGGAGATGCTGCTACTTATTTCCTGTATATTCACTTGATACCTATTGCCCTTTACATCTTCTTCAGTATGAGCCAGACTAACCCATGGCTCCACTTCATCCCAGACTCTAGAGCCTACACTCTATTCCCGAGGAGTGGTCACCTTCTCCCCCTGTACTTGGCATGGTGTCCCATTGGGGTAGTGCTACTGAAGGACAGTCTCTGAAGAAGAGTATCTTCCTTATTCTTGGGGTAGAAACTCTTAACATAGATGGGGTGATAAAATGCAAGAGATTTATAACAGCTTGCCATTAGAGCTAGAGTATATTATTTATCACCATTGATTATTTTGCCAAATGTTTTTGTTTAAAAAGCTTCTTAGTTTCTGGATGCCTCAGGGTAATTTGTCACCTGCACTATTCAATATCCGTGCCATTACAGCTGAGAGGAGTGTGCTGGCCTCTAATGTTCAGAGCGCAGCTGGCAACCAGCCTGACAAAAGTACATGACATGACGCTCTCAGGAGGCGGCCAGACACCCTGGTCACTAGGGGAGGTGTGCTCTTTAGGTAAGGGACACACAAACCATTGTTGAATAGCTCCTGTGTGCAGAGAGGGACCAGGAGCATAATCATTATCTGGAAGCTTATTGAAGATGTAGAATCTTGGGCCCTATCTATCTCAGACCTACCAAATCCGGATCTGTGTTGTAGTGAGATCCTCTGGGAGTTCATGTGCATTAAAGTTTGAGAAACACAGGAATAGTGGACAGTGCTGGCTGCCTATCAGCATCCATTTCCTTTGTCTTTCCTAATAACGAGATGCACATTTTCTTCGGTTACTTCCCCTTCACCCTTAGCCATGAGAATCCATTCTTTAAGTAGGTGAGAGCATGGTTTTCCCGTGGTGACTGTTTATGGTCTAGAGGTATCCACATGATCTGGGTTGCCTCAGTCATAAGGAAAGACTTTATTTTTTGAGGGGGGAGGGGGAAGCATTTTCCTTCACATCCAGAATGAGAGAGCAAATAATGAAGCATAGCTGTGACCGTATTTCCACTGGCAGCCATTCTGTGACCTTGAGGGGATCAGTCTTGAGGTGAGTCTGACACTGAAGTTGTCAGAGCAGAAAGACAGAAGGAACCTGCATTTTTGGTTCTGGCACTCACCTGCTGGTCACAGGATCCAGGCCTGGATCTCCCTCTGCCTCTCATCTCATAGTTCTGTGTGATAATAAATTTTCCCATGGTTTATGCCAGTTTGACTTTGGGTTTTCTGATTTCCTGCAGCTGGAAGCATCCTAGTCTGCTTTGGTAATGAGCACTCTGAGCACAAAGTGCTGTGTGCGTGGTCCTCTTGTGAAAGGCCTACATTCTCAGGTGCTCCTAGGCTTTTCTCCTAGTCTTGTGAATTGTGCTTTTACCCTGTGGTGATTATTCCACTGTTCACATGAAAGTTGGTGGAGGGAGAGGAAAGCTATAAGGGCAGAGAGTAGAATTGGGAGGCTGTCCTGAGGGAAGGCAGGCTTGCACTCAGAAGTGCTGTGTGCTGGACTGTGGGGTGAGCCAGGCTGCAGTTGGCTGGCTGTGGAGCCCACTGGCTGGAGTGCTGGTCCATGCTTTGCTCCTCATTTGGTGTTTGAACCTCAGTTTCCTTATCTGTAAAATAGAATCCTAATGAAATAGTGGAGGTAGATTGGAAATGCTTTGAAAACTTGACTCTTTTTTGCCCGGTTTAATTATCCTGGTTTTTTTTTTCCTTTTTTGCTATAGCAAAATATAAATAACACAAAATTTACCATCATAATCATTTTTAAGTGTATAATTCAGTGACAGTAACTTCACATTCACAATGCGATTAAACAATAACTCCCATTCTGCCTTGCCCCCAGCCCCTAGTAACTTCTGTTCTACTTTTTGTCTCTATGAATTTGCCTACTCTAGGTACGTCATATAAGTAGAATCATATATTTTTATCCTTTTGTGTCTTGCTAATTTTACTTGGCATAATGTCCCCAAGGTTCATCCATGTTGTAGCTATATCAGAATTTTGTTCCTTTTTATGGCTGAATAATATTCCATTGTATGTATATACTGTACTTGTTTATCCATTTATCTGTTGATGGACACGGGTGATTTTCACCTTTTGGCTATTGTGAGTAATGTCACTTATGAACACTTGAGTACTGTGAGCACTGGTGTACAAATATCTGTTTGAGTCCCTGCTTTTAATTCTTTTGGGCATATACCTAGGAGTGGAGTTGCTGGATCATATGGTAATTCTGTGTTTACCTTTTAGGACCTGTCAAACTGTTGAAAAGTTAACTCTTATGTTATTTATATTTTCAGACATAGATTGGAAGATGGACTTATGCTTTTTCTCTTTCTCTCCTTTCCTTCCCTCCCTTCCTTTGTTGGAGGCTGAAAGAATGAGGGTCAGTGATCAACTCAGTATACCACTGGAGGCTATATGAGTAAACAGCAAACTGTTCTCATGAATGCAGAATGTTAGCAAGCTGACAACTGCGTCTGCTGCCCAGAAGGAATGCTGAGGGCAGTCATGCCCCAGGCACAGTGTTGCTTGTGATTAGGCAAATCTGAAGCCTGTTAGCAATAATGTGAACCTGTGATCAGTCAAGCAGCTGACCAATCGTTACCTACTCCTCCCTGCTCTTTCTACCCAATAAATACAAAGGCTGTAGAAGCTCAGGGCTGCCTTTGCTCACTAGAAGCAGGGATCCCCCTGACCCCTTCTTTAAAACAGTTTCTTTTTTGTTTTCATTTCTGCGTTCATCCGCCTTCGTTCAGTCCTGTAGTAACTGTCACTACCTACCTACCTTTGTTCCTTCCTTCCTTCTCCCCTACCCTTGACATATAGGGTCTCACTGTGTCTCCCAGGCTAGAGTGCAGTAGAGCCATCACAGCTCACTGCAGCCTCAACCTCCTGAGCTTAAGCGATCCTCCCACCTCAGCCTCCTGAGTAGCTGGGACCACAGGCGCACACTACCGTGCCTGGCTAATTTTTCATTTTTTGTAGAGACGGTGTCTCTCTATGTTGCCCAGACTGGTCTTGAACTCCTGGGCTCAAGTGTTGCTCCTGCCTCAGCCTCCCAAAATGTTGAGATTACAAGTGTGAGCCAACACGCCCAGCCTTTTTTTCTTAAGACTATAGATTTTCATTGGTTGAGAGGACTTGGTAATTTTAACATGGAACTTCTGAACTGACCATTTTATAAGATATCGAACATATGATCAGATTCATATTTTACCCTCATTAATCAAAAAATAGTAGGAACTTTTTTTTTTTTGAGAGACCTAGTCTTGCTCTGTTGCCCTGGCTAGAGTGCAGTGGCACAATCTGGGCTCACTGCAACCTCTACCTCCCATGTTCAAGCAGTTCTCCTGCCTCAGCCTCCCTAGTAGCTGGGACTACAGGTACGTGCCACCACGCCCAGCTAATTTTTGTATTTTGATAGAGATGGGGTTTCACCATGTTGCCCAGGCTGGTCTCAAACTCCTGACCTCAGGTGATCCACCTGCCTCAGCCTCCCAAAGCGCTAGAATTACAGGCATAGGCCACCATGCCCAGTTGGAATTTTCTGTAAAGTTTCAAAGATTTAAGTGAACATGATTCTTGAAGTTGTTGATTTGAAGGTACCCAACTTTGTGTGTGAGAACAAATTGGTTTATTTCTACTAATAAGTACAATGTTATCTCTATGATCTGTGAAAAACAAAAGGCTGAATGTATGAAGGGGAAATTATGGATATAAAATACAAGATCTCACAGTTCTATTAATACTTTCTAGCAAACAGACTATTTAATACCTAAAAATTTTAAGTATAGGACTATGAAGAAAGCCATTATGAGAATTCCTGTTACAGTATCTTTGAAACATACTAGAAGGTAATTATAGATTTAAAATGGATTGCCCCTTCTTTCCTTGAACTTGTAGTATCGGTTATATCAGCCCACCTGAAGATTTGTGCATTTTTTTCTTTTTTTTTTTTTGAGACGGAGTCTTGTTCTGTCGCCCAGGCTGGAGTGCAGTGGCACAATCTTGGCTCACTGCAAGCTCCACCTCGTGGGTTCACGCCATTCTCCTGCCTCAAACTCCCAAGTAGCTGGGACTACAGGTGCCTGCCACCATGCCTGGCTAATTTTTTAGTAGAGATGGGGTTTCACTGTGTTAGCCAGGATGGTCTCGATCTCCTGACCTCGTGATCCGCCTGCCTCAGCCTCCCAAAGTGCTGGGATTACAGGTGTGAGCCACCACACCGGGACGATTTGTGCGTTTTTATAGTACTCTAAATGCCTTTGTTGCACTGGCATTTCTCGTCTTTTGTTAGATGTGAATAAATTGACAGTCTATAGAGTGCATTGGAGACAAATATCCTTTTACATCAACTGTGAGAAAACTTTTAAGAATATATTTATTTATTTATTTTTAATTTTTTTTTTTTTGAGATGGAGTCTTACTCTGTCACCCAGGCTGGAATGCAGTGGTGCGATCTCGGCTCACTGCAACCTCCGCCTCCTGGGTTCAAGCAATTCTCTTGCCTCAGCCTCTCGAGTAGCTGGGCCTACAGTTGTATGCCACCACACCTGGCTAATTTTTTTGTTTTTGGTAGAGACGGGGTTTCACCATGTTGGCCAGGCTGGTCCCAAACTCCTGACCTCAGGTGATCCACCCGCCTTGGTCTCCCAAAGTGCTGGGATTACAGGTGTGAGCCACTGTGCCCGGCCAAGAACATATTTAAATGTACAAAAATAACTCTTCAGAAACTGCCAAGGCGCCGGGGGCAGCTTCTGATTCCCACCGTTAGGGCAGGCTGAGCAAGGAGCTAAGCCTTGCTTAGCTAAGCCTCACACTAATATCACTTCCACGAAATTATTCTGTATGGGATAATTTATATACCCTTAGACACTGGCTTTAATTCAGAGTTTGCACATAAAGTTCTCTGTAGAAGGCTATGAAGATACATAATCACAATATCCCTTGACATCCATGGATGTGAGAAATGCTAGCCTGGAAAATGTGAGAATTGGTTCCTGAGAATTGTTAAATGTCCTCAGCGACATTAAAACACTTCAAAATAACTTGTAAAAATGTGTTGTTCTAGAGTGATTTGCATTACATGTAATTTTAAAAGTTTATTAGTCTGTAAATATGAGTTGATTTTAATTGCCTGTGATACATAATTACTTATGTTCCATAAGGAGTAAGAAAATAAGACTTTCTCATTGCGGTCTTATAATCAACTCTCTTAATTTTTAAAAACTATTACTTTTAGTTTGCAGCACAGTGCTAGGTTTATATTAGAAACTATAATTATGAAGAAGCATGATAAAAATCTAATCTCTTTATAGGATCACATTCTTCACATTTAAAAGACATTTTTCTATTACCCTCTCCCTCAAATGAAACCTCTGTGAAATTGGAAATATTCTGTCTTCGATGTGCTTGTTATAGAATCTATATCAGTCTTCAACATACATTTGTGGGAAGTGTGTGGCGTGTGTAGGTATGTGGGTGTGTGTCCTTTCATAATATTTTTAGTGAGTTGATCAACATTTAAACTGGCAAACAATTATAAACTGGTTTGACACTAAAGCAGCCTTAAAAACTGTTATCTGAAAGTCACTCTGAGCACAAATATTTATACCACGGACTGTCGTAGGTGCTGGGGAGTCAGCAGTGAACAAGTGGAGCCCACCCGCCAGCCCCACCACCTCCCATGGAGTCCTGGGTTCTCCCCACGTTGGAGCATCCTTTGCTCCCTCATTTCCTGCCTGAGGAAGAGGTGGTGGAGAATGCCTTCCTGGTGCCTTTCCTGCGGGGAGTTGTTCAGCTGTGTATTCTCAGGGCCAGCAGATGATGGGCCACAGGGTGGGTGTCCACAGGTATTTTTTGAGTGGATGATGAGGTTGCTGTCACCTCTCAACTGGACTGTTTTATTAGCTTCCTAACGAGTTTCCCTCACTGCCCCTCGCCAGCTCCAGTCTATTCTTAACACAGCAGCCAAAGTGATCTTGTTAAAATTTACTAAGTCAGATCCTGTCAGTCTGGTTCAAAGCCCTCCAGTGGATCTCCATTTTACCCTAAGGAAAAGCCGTAGTCTTTAGAGAGACCCATGAGGCCCCACAGTGTTTGGCCCCCTGCTGCCCTCTGATCTCATCTCCTACTATTCTTCCCCTCATTCATTCCCCTTTATCCACGTCTGTCCCCTAGGTGTTTCTCAAACTCACCAGCGGGGCTTCCATCCCAGAGGCTTTCACCAGCTGTTCCTACCCAAAGACTGTGGCAGAGCTCACTCCTTCACCTCCTCTGGGAGGTCCTCCGTAACTGTCCTATCAAAAATTGCCCTGACACTCCTGATTGCCCCCTCCCTGCTTGCTTTTCTCCTGACACTTAGAATATAAATGTCTCTTTGTTCACTGCTAAACACAAACACACACACACAGCTTCGATGGATGGATGGATGGATTTTAATTTTGTTGTCATGTCTGTCCTTACTATAAGCCTCACCATGGCAAGAGTTTTTCTGTTTTGTTCATCGTATCCACAACAGCTGGAAGAGTGCCTGTTAGTGTACCCAGTTAATATTTGTCAAATTAATTTTAAAAACTCTTAACCAGCATTTCTGCCTGAAGTATACTTTTAGTAGGGTCAGAATGATGCCTTCTGTGTGTCTGTGTGTGCTTTGATAAATAACCATTGGTTTTGCCACACTAGCTCAATGCTAATTGGTCTGATTCTGTTACCAATGGGTCAGAAGAAAGGTTGAGCCCCTGTCTTTCCTGATAAACCCAGTAGCTCAGTGAAAAAAATCAGCTGCATTTGTCATTTGGCTGCAAAGTGCAAACACCAGTACAGACCTTACTCTCAGTTGTGTTGGTATTTGTCACTTAACCTGCTGTTGGAATCTCTCACTCTGTGGGTATTTTGTTTGAGAAATCTCCAAACTGCTTTCCACAGTGGCTGAACTAATTTCCATTCCCACCAGCAGTGTATAGTGTTCCTTTTCTCTGCAGCCTCACCAGCATCTGTTATTTTCTGACTGTGCTTAATCTGTTTGAATCTCTGTTTAACACAGTGTATCTTCATAAGTGGCCTATGAAGTAGGTACTATTATTAGCCCATCTGACAGATAAGAAACCCGAGGTTTAGAAAGGCTAAGCAGTGTGATCAAGGTCATGTGGTAAATTAATAATAATTTGTATTGAGGCAGAACCAATGCAGTGTATGTGTGTGTGTGTTAGGGGTGGGGGTGTATGCATCTATGTGTGTGTAGATGGAGAAAGATATACCTCATTTTATTGCACTTCACAGATACTGCATATTTTACAAATTGAAGGATTGTAAAACCCTACGTCAAGCAAGTCTGTTGGTGCCATTTTTCCAACAGCATGTGCTCACTTCATGTCTGTGTGTCACACTTTGGTAATTCTCACAATATTTCAAACTTCTTTGTTATGATTATATGTTGTGGTTCTCTGTGATCAGCAGTGTTTTTTTTTGTTTTTTTTTTTTTTGAGGCGGAGTCTCACTCTGTTGCCAGGCTGGAGTGCAGTGGCGTGATCTTGGCTCAACTGCAACCTCTGCCTCCCGGGTTCAAGCAACTCTCATGCCTCAGCCTCCTGAGTAGCTGGGACTACAGGCTCATGCCACCATGCCCAGCTAATTTTTGTACTTTGTAGTAGAGACAGGGTTTCACCATGTTGGCCAGAATGGTCTCAATCTCTTGACCTCGTGATCCACCCACCTTGGCTTCCCGAAGTGCTGGGATTACAGGCATGAGCCACCATGCCCGGCCAGTGATCAGCAGTCTTTTATGTTACCATTGTAATTGTTTTGAGATACCACAAAAATGCACCCAAATAAGATATCACACTCAATTGATAAATGTTGTATGTGTTCTAACTGCTATACTTACTGGCCATTTGCCGATCTCTCACCCTCTCCTTGGGCCTCCCTATTCCCTGAGACACAACAATATTGAAATTAGACCAATTAATAACCCTATAATAATCTTTTAAGTGTTACAGTGAAAGGAAGAATCACACATCTCTCACTTTAAATCAAAAGCGAGAAACAAGTAAGCTTAGTGAGGAAGGCATGTTGAAAGCCAAGACAGGCTGAAAGCTAAGCCTCTTGCACCAGTTAGCCAAGTTGGGAATACAAAGGAAAAGTTCTTGAAAAAGTGCTACTCCAGTGAAAACACAAATGATAAGACAGCAAAACAGCTTTATTGCTGATACAGGGAAAGTTTTAGTGGTTTGAATGGGACATAAAACCAGCCACAACATTCCCTTAAGTCAAAACCTAATCCAAAGCAAGGCCCTAACTCTTCAATTCTATGAAGGTGGAGAGAGGTGAGGAAGCTGCAGAAGAAAAGTTGGAAAGTTAGTAGAAGTTCATTCATGAAGCTTGAGGAAAGATCTCCGAAACATAAAAGTGCAAGGTGAAGCAGCAGGTGCTGATGTAGAAGGTGCACCAAGTTATCCAGAAGATCTAGCTAAGATAATTAATGAAGGTGGCTACACCAAACAACAGATTGTCAGTGTAGACAAAATAGCCTTCTGTTGGGAGAAGATGCCATCTAGGACTCAAGGCTGGAGAGGGGAAGTGAATGCCTGGCTTCACTGTTTCAAAGCCTCAAAGGGCAGGTTGACTCTCTTGTTAGGAGATAATGTACCTAGTGACTTTAAATTGAAGCCAGTGCTCATTTACTATTCCAAAAAAGCCAGAGCCCTTAAGAATTATGCTAAATCTACTCTGCCTCTGCTCTATAAATGGAACACTGAAGTCTGGATGACCACATATGTGTGTGCAGCATGGTTTCCTGAATATTTTAAGCCCACTGTTGAGACCTGCTCAGAAAAAAGGATTCCTTTTAAAACATTGTTCATTGACAATGCATCTGATCACCTAAGAACTCTGATGGAGAGATGTGTAAGGAGATTAATGTTATTTCCATGCCTATTAACACAGCATCCATTCTGCAGCGCAGGGATCAAGGAGTAACTTCATTCTTATTATTTAAGAAATAAATTGCATAGGCTATATAGCTGCTGCAGATGGTGATTCCTCTAATGGATCTGGGCAAGTAAAATGAAAACCTTCTGAAAAAGATTCACCATTCTTCTTGCCATTAAGAACATTCATGATTTATGGCAGGTGGTCAAAATACCAACATTAGTAGGAGTTTGGAAGAAGTTGATTCCAGCCTTCATGGATGACTTTCGGGGGCTCAAGACTTCAGTGGAAGAAGTAACTGCAGATGTGGTGGAAATCACAAGATAACTAGAATTAGAAGTGGAGTCTTAAGTTGTGACTTGAATTATTGCAATTTCATGATAAAACTTGAACAGATGAGGGGTTGCTTCTTATGGATGAACAAAGAAAGTGATTTCTTGAAATGTAGTCTACTCCTGATGAACTTCCTGTGAACATTATTGAAATGATAACAAAGGATTTAGAATAATACATAAACTTAGTAAAGCAATGGCAGGGTTTGAGAGAATTGACTTCAATTTCGAATGTTCTAGTGGCCAGGCGCATAGCTCATGCCTGTAAATCCAGCACTTTGGGAGGCCAAGGTGGGAGGATTGCTTGAGCACAGGAATTTGAGATGTGCCTGGGCAATACAGCGAGATCCTGTCTCTACAAAAATAAAAATAATTAGCCAGGTGTGGTGGTGCACTATAATCCCAGCTACTTGGGAGGCTGAGGTGGAAGGATTGCTTAAGTCCAGGAGTTCAAGGCTACAGTGAGCTATGATCACACCTGGGTGACAGGCCAAGACCCTGTCTCAAAAAAAAAAAAAAAAAAAAAGGAAAAGGAAAGAAACATTGTTTGCCACAAGGAGGTTTTCTTCAATTGCCACAGCCACCCCAGGCTTCAGCAGCCACCATCCTGATCAGTCAGCAGTTGTCAACATCAAGGAAGACCCTGCAAAAGATAATGACTCGCTGAAGGCTCAGATGATTGCTAGCATTTTTGAGCAATAAAGTATTTTAAAATTAAGATCTGTACTTCTTTTTAGACATAATACTCTTGCACACTTTAGACATAATGCTCTTGCACACTTAATAGACTACAGTGTAGTGTGAACATAATTTTATATGCACTGAGAAACCAAAAAACTTGTGACTCGCTTTATTGTGATACGCACTCCATTGTGGTGGTCTGAAACTGAACCCTTAGTAGCTCCGAGGTATGCCTGTATAGAGATAGATAAAGAGATAGACTTATTTTGAGGAATAGGCTTGCAGGATTTTGGAGGCTGGCAAGTTTAAAATCCACAGAGACCCAATCCACTTGAGACCCAGGGAGGAGCCGGTGTTGCACTTCAAGTCTGAAGGCTGTCTAATGGCACAATTCAAACTCAGTTGTACTCCCCAGTTGCTTTTACCATTATGCTGTGCCTCTTATATAAACCCGTTAGCTCAGTGCTTGGCACGTCATACGATTTAGTATACAATTAAGTTCCACAAGAATGTTTGAAATGGAAGGTACGTAAGATTGCTGCAGCTATGTTGTCATGTTAGGGCTGAAGCTGGAATGGGGGTTGTCAAAGAGGGAAAGACAACACTGTAAAAAAAAAAAAGGTGTGGGTAACACTGTGTAGCCTAAGGGAACTTGTCTATTATAAACGTCCAAAATAAGCACTTTGTACTGTAGTCACTGTACCCCAAGGTTACAGGGAAGGAAAGGGCCAGCGCTCTGCCCTAGCTCTTTAAGAGAAACCCCTAGCTCTTTAAGAGAAACCCATAGTTCAGGAAGTGTTTGTGCTGGACAAAATCTCTGAGCTTTCTCCAAGTCGGTTTCTGTCAAAACTGAGAACTGCTCCATAACTGAGTTGACCTCTGGAATACTTGATTCTCTCAACTCAACTTTGTTACTTATGGCTGTTGTTAAAAGCCAGGAGGTAACTTTTTCCTTAGTTGGATACCGTCTTCGTTCCACAGAGTTTTTTAAATGGAATGTATGGAAAGGTTGCTAACAGCTATGTTGTCATGTTAGGACATAGCCAAGATGATACAATTTCTGGGAAGTTTATTACAGTGGCTACTGTAAAATTTGGTAGCACAAAGGTCTCTAATAAAATTTGGGAGGCACATAATTTAGTCGTCTACTAATCATAGATGGTGTTAAGTAACTCTTTTCTATCTTAGTTGGAGTAAGAAATAAAGTAACTTAAACTGCATTATGAATTAGAGTTATAATTCTATCTTGAAAGACAACTGAATATTAAAGTGAATGCTTAAGGAGGGAATGAACTTGTTTAAAAGGTAAGCAGGGAAATCATGACCTTTTAAACCATTCTTTGGAAATGTAAATTTTAAATATAAAATTGTTTTCCTTAATCTTATCTGATCATTAATTGACTTTTGAGACACAGTCCTTATGGTCTGTTTTATATATTGTGATCCTGTCTTAGTGCATTCCTGCTGCTATAACAAAATACCACAGACTGGGTAATTTTTAAATAACAGAAACTTACATTTCACAGTTTTCGAGGCTGGGAAGTCCTAAATGAAGGCACCAGCAGGTTCAGTGTCTGGTGAGGGCTGCCATCTTCTCCAGGATGGCACCTTGAAGGCTGTGGCTTCACATGACAGGAGGTGACAAAAGGACGTGGAAGTTCCCACCAGCCCTTCACAAAGCACTATTCTCATCTGTGACACAGAGCCCTCCATGCCTATCACCTCCTAAAGGCCTCACTTAATACTGTTGCATTGGGGATTAAGTTTCAACATGAATTTTGGAGGGAACACAAACATTCACACCATAGCAGCTCCTTTTTGAGTTTTGTGTTTTGCTGTCAGTTTCATTTTCTGTGTTGCTAGCTCTGTTTCATGTCTCTGTGAAGTAAAATGAAGCAGGCTCCGTCACTTACTGTGTTGTCTGGGCAGGTTAGGCCACTTCTCTGCTTTGCTTTCCTCATCAGCAAAGTGGGGATTACAGTCTTCCCTACTTTCCTTTCTGCAAGTATTAAATGTGGTTCCTGGCATATCACGCAGAGCAGTGCAAGACTCAGTAAGGCTTTAATTCATGTAAGCTGCTTTGATGAGGGTGATGCATTGATGCAATCCCCAGAAGAAGAATTAAGGAATCCAGCTGTGAGTGTCTTCTATGTCAGCAGTTCTCATCTACTCTTCAGATCACTTTTAAGATATATATTATTTATACCCTCATTTATATAGATGAGGAAACTGATTCTCAGAGGGTAAATTGCCCAGGGCCACACAGTAGGTGGCAGAGCTGTTAGAGTTTCAAATTTGAGTCTGTAAAACCCAAACCCTACTCTTTCCAGTGTATCATGCTGCTGTTGTCGTAAAATGCCAACATAAAATTTACCATCTTAAACATTTTTTTTTTTGAGATGGAGTTTCGCTCTTGTCACCCAGGCTGGAGTGCAGTGGCATGATCTCAGCTTACTGCAACCTCTGCCTCCTGGGTTCAAGCGATTCTCCTGCCTCGGCCTCCCGAGTAGCTGGGATTACAGATGCCCAGCACCATGCCCAGCTAATTTTTGTATTTTTAGTAGAGATGGGGTTTCGCCATGTTGGCCAGGCTGGTCTCAAACTCCTGACCTCAGGTGATGCTCCCGCCTCAGCCTTCCAACGTGCTGGGATTACAGGTGTGAGCTACTGCACCTGGCCCATCGTAACACTTTTTAAGTGTGTAGTTCAGTGGTGTTAAGTATGTTTATATTGTTGTGAAATAGCTCTCCAGAACTTTTTCATCTTGCAGAACTGAAACTCTATATCCATTGAATAGCAACTCCTGCTTTATCCCCAGCTCCTGGCAACCACTGTTCTACTTTCAATGTCTATAAATTTGAATACAGCAGATTCTCAAATAATGTTGTTTTATTCAACATGATTTTGTTATAATGTTGATGAGAACAAAAAATTGATTCCCAGTTGGGACCAGTGTCTGTGTGGGGTTTACGTGTTTCTCCCATGTCTGCTTGGGTTTTCTCCTGGTACTACAGTTTCCTCCCGCATCCCAAAGATGTACATGTTAGGTTAATTGATGTTAAAATCGTCGCAGTGTGAGTGGGTGTGGCTGTATGCCCTGTGACGGGATGGAGTCTCGTCCAGGGTTGGTTCCCATCTTGCTCCCTGAGCTGCTGGGATAGGCTCCAGCCACCTGCAACCCTGAACTAGAATAAGCAGGGTGGAAAATGAATGAATAAATGGACACACATTATTGTAAAATAAAAATTTGTAAAGTATATGATCATCATACAATAAATGATGATCAATAAAACACGACAGTAAACGATGTGGTACAAAAGCACTCAATGAAGATGCCCTGTTTTCCTTTTCTTTGCTTGTTTTTTGTTTTTTGAGATGGAGTCTCGCTCTGTCATCCAGGCTGGAGTGCAATGTCGTGATCTTGGCTTACTACAACCTCTGCTTCCTGGGTTCAAGCGATTCTCCTGCTTCAGCCTCCCAAGTAGCTGGAATTACAGGCATGCGTCACCATGCCTGGCTAATTTTTGTATTTTTAGTAGAGGCGGGGTTTCTCCATGCCGTTCAGGCTGGTTTTGAACTCCTGACCTCAAATGATCCTCCCACCTTGGCCTCCCAAAATGCTAGGATTACAGGCGTGAGCCACCTCACCCAGCCTGCCCTATGTTCTTGTTTGTTTCCAAATAACGTGGTGGCAGGAGGTGCTACTTGCAATTTTCACTTTGCAAACATTGATTCATTGATTTAACCACCATTTTGACCTCTGTCACTCACTGATTCACCAAAAATTGGGTAAATGGTTATTTTTATTCATCTGTCTTAAATGTCTGTATAACTCGTATTTATTTCAGTGCTTAATATTAGAAGTGTTTTGGGTATTTCGAAGTTTGGTGATATTTTTGTGACCAGAAATATGCCATAGGAACTTAACTCTTGTTTGTATCAATTAGCCTGCAGAAAAATTGGTTTCATTATATGTCCCTTCACTTAAAGTCATAGTTTCTGAGAACCAATTGTTAATATTGAAGATTTCCTATACTTTAGATACCTCCTATAGGTGGAATCATGCAATATTTGTTCTTTTGTGACTGGCTTTCTATTTCACTTCACATAATGTCCTCAAGCTTCATCCATGTTGTAGCTTATAACAAGATTTCCTTCGGGTTCATAGTATTCTACTGTTATGTATACCACATTTTATTTATCTATTAATCTGTTAGTGGGCACTTGAGTTCTTCCACATTTTGGCTATTGTGAATAGTGCTACTATGAACATGGGTTACAAATACCTCTTCAATACCCTGCTTTAGATTGTTCTGGATATTTACTCAGAAGTAGGATTGCTGGATCAAATGGTAGTTCTATTTTTAGTTTTTGAAGAACCACCTTACTGTTTTCCATAATACCCACACCATTTTACACCAACAACACACAAAGGTTCCAATTTCTCCACATCCCCACCTACATTTGTTATTCTTTGTTGTTTTGTTTTGTTTTAATAGTAGCCATTGTAATGGGTGTGAGGTGATGTTTCATTGTGATTTTGATTTGCATTTCTGATGATCAGTGATGTTGAACACCTTTTTATATGCTTGTTAGCTATTTGTATGTCATCTTTGGAAAAAAGTCTGTTAAATTCTTTGCCCATGTTGTAACCAGGCTATTTGATTTTTTTTGGCGTTGTTCTTTTTTTTTGAGATGGAGTCTCACTCTGTTGCCCAGGTTAGAGTGCAGTGGCACAATCTCAGCTCACTGCAACCTCCGCCTCCCAGGTTCCAGCGATTCTCCTGCCTCAGCCTCCCGGGAAGCTGAGACTACAGGCACGCACCACCATGCCCAGCCAATTTTTTGCATTTTTAGTAGAGATGGGGTTTCACTGTGTTGGCCAGGCTGGTCTCGAACTCTTGACCTCATGATCTGCCTACCTCATCCTCCCAAAGTGCTGGGATTACAGGCGTGAGCCACCGCACCTGGCCGTGTTGTTGTTCTTCAGGTACAGCAGTTCTTCATATATTCTGGATATTAAAGCCTCATCCATTCATGATTTGCAAATATTTTCTCCTGTTTCATATTTTGCCTTTTCACTCTGATTGGGTCCTTTGATGCACAAAAGTTTTAAAGTTTGATATAGTTCCATTTGTCTGTTTTTGCTTTTGTTGCCTGTGCTTTTAGTTTTGGATTGGGAAACCGTTGCCTAGTCCAATGTCATGCCTTTCTCCTTGTATTTTCTTCTAGGAGTTTTATACTTTGGGGACTTATGTTTAGGTTTTTAGTCCATTTTGAGTTAATTTTTGTATATAATTCATTCTTTTGAATGTGGATGTCCGGTTTTCCTAGCATCATTTGTTGAAGAAACTGTTCTTTCCCATCTTGCTGAGGTTTTTGTTGTTTGTTGTTTTTGAGACAGGGTCTCTCTGTGTCATCCATGCTGAAGTGCAGTGGTATAATCCTACTTCACTATGGCATGAACACCTAGGCTCAAGGAATCCTCCTACCTTAGCCTGCCAAGTAGCTATTATAGCATTACAAACACTCACCGCCATATCTGGCTTTTTTTTTTTTTTTTTTTAGTGATGAGGTCTTGCTATGTTGCCCAGGCTGATCTTGAACTCCTGGCCTCAGGTGATCCTCCCACCTTGGCCTCCCAAAGTGCTGGGATTACAGACATGAGCCACTGTGCTCAGCCATCATGCTGTTTTTTAAGGGTAGAGGAGGGAGAGTGAAGAGAAGGGATATTTATTTTGGGAGAAAAATAATGCAAAAGTATTTTTTAGCTTGTTTGCCACTACATAAATGGAGAAAAGTATACAAAAATCTTTGATAGGATAATATATTTACAGGAATTATGGAGAACTTATTTGACAGATATAGAGGAGTTTATTATTAATATTTGTTTGTATGGGGAAAGGAAATCAAGACATTATAGTAATACTAGGCCGGGAATGGTGGCTCACGCCTGTAATCCCAGCACTTTGGGAGGCCAAGGCGGACAGATCACTTGAGGTTAGGAGTTCAAGACCAGTCTGGTCAACATGGTGAAACCCCATCTCTATTAAAAATACAAACATTAGCCAGCATGGTGGCGCGTGCCTGTAATCCCAGCTACTCGGGTGGCTGAAGTAGGAGAATCTCTTGAACCCAGGAGGTGGAGGTTGCAGTGAGCCGAGATCTCACCACTGCATTCCAGCCTGGGCAGCAGAGCAAGACTCCATCTCAAAAAAATAAAGTAATACTATATTCTCTTTGGCTATGAAGAGACCAGCTTTCCAGAAACCCAGGGTTTTCTGGAATCCAGAAGTTGCTGGCAGGTTGGTCGTGGGGGAGGAAACCTTTTTAATGCCAAACTAATGAGTCTGAACTCCCACAAGCAAACAAACAGAAGATAAAAAAAGCTGAACTCTAAGGGGTTGTCTCCTGTATACTGTGATGGCCTGATTCACAGAGGGAGTGGCCGCATCTCAGAGGGAACGTGGCCATCCTGGGAGGCGGTGGAGAAGAGCGGGAGGAGTTAGCAAGGGAGAGCCCTGGAGGTCCGCAGTGCTGAGAGTGGTTGTGAGCAGCGACCTTGAGGAAGACCAGACTGAAGGTACTGGCTCTGCAGTCCTGCCCTGGAGGGGAAAGGGAGGCCAAGACCGCTCCTCCATCCCCTAAGTGTTAGCCGTCAGCTAGCTAATCCCAGCCTCTGGGAGCTCTTAATAGCTAACTGAAGAAAAATAACATAGCTTTTGGTCTAATGTGGTAACATTTCTCAAAGTTGCTAAAAACATTTCAAATGTCTGAATCTTCTTTTAAAATCTCTGGGCATTAATCAGTTACAGAAATCTTATTTGTATCTTTATTTCCTTTCCTTTCTGCATCAGATATTATTACGTATACTGTTTATTGGGAGGGATGTAAATATTATGCACCCTTCCCTCAAGAAGCTTAGAGTGCAGTAGAGAAGACAGAGTGTTTATAAATAATGGTAAATATTTATGATACCAGTGGTAATAGTAGTAATCATAAGATATAAGGTTGTCTTTCTAGATAACCATTTGAGGTTATCTGGAGGGAGAAGGAAGATCTTTTTAAGGGTGGAGAAATTGAGAGCTAAAGATTATGTAAACTTTACAGGTGTGAGTCTTCCACACATTGCATCTGACATGTAAATAGCAAGAGGCTCCATGAAAATGACTCTGTTAGTCATGTTAGTGTGAACAGTGATCGTGGATGTTTTGAGCCACAGTCCACTACTGTTCCCAGTGTGCTGGACATTCTCCTTGAGCTATTTATAAACAGGAAATATACCTCTTTGAAAATAAACATTGGCGTACATAATTGCACGGAATCCTGTTACTCATCTAAGGTGGGACAATAAATAGCCTTAAAAAATGTTGTAATACCTTACATTGGAATAGCATTTTATTGTGAACAAGGCAGTCTGTTTTATGAATAGTACAAAAGCTTACTAATGCTGTGATAGAAGTAGGAATGAGTGTTTTAGACAGTGAATCTTAAACGTTTAATCTTTTCTTTCGTTGAAGACTATCACTTTTCAGTTTCTGACAATTTAGCACATAATTCTGTATGATAAGAAAATACAGATGGGGACATGGGCTTAATGCTATTGAGGAAAACTGTTCAATGTAGGGACAGGCACCTGAGAAACTGTCTTCAAATGTGTCTCATTGAGCCCCAGCTGCTCTTCCAGAGCTCAACTGGACCTGACAACAGCTGTCTCTAAGCCAGGAACCATGGGCCCTTATATTTTAAAAAGGATGGGTAAGGGGATGTTCTGTTGGAAAATATGCATTTAGTGTAGCAATGCCAAAACTGTAATAATATACATGAATGCATGTTGAGCTTATGTCTAAATACTGGTTGTGTCATGAGTGGCCTATTATAAAGCCACTAGAAAAGTTATTTTGAAAGAGGATTTGAGGGACTGGGCTTTTTTTTTTATCATGGAATTTATATCCTAATCCTGACTTTGTGTACATTTCTGTTGTGTCTTACTGTTCTCTCCCTTACTTAAACTTCCCTTCACTGAAATACAACTTACATACAATAAGCTACTTGTATTCAATTTTACAATATAAGTTCTGACCCATGAGGTTGTTACCACAGTCAAGAAAATGAGCATAACCCTTTGTAATCCTTCTCTCCCTTGGTCTCTGGGACTCTTGCTTTTTTTTTTTTTTTTTTTTGAGGCAGAGTCTTGCTCTATTGCCCAGGCTGGAGTGCAGTGGCGCAGTCTCAGCTCACTGCAACCTCTGCCTCCCAGATTCATGTGATTCTCCTGCCTCAGCCTCCTGAGTATCTGGGATTACAGGCAGGAGGATTACCCCACCCAGCTAATTTTTTGTATTTTTAGTACAGACAGGGTTTCACTATGTTGGCCAGGTGGGTCTCGAACTCCTGACCTTGTGTTCCACCCGCCTCGGCCTCCCAAAGTGCTGGGATTACATGCATGAGCCACTACGCCCGGCCTGACTCTTTTGCTCTTGATGTGTATAGGAGGAATAAGCTACAGAAAGGTGTAGGGGACGGTAGGCAACGATTACACTTTGAAGTCGGGTGGTCTTGGAAGTGTAGGAAAACATTTTGAGAAACACTGTCTTAGAGAATTCTCTAACATTCTGGAACTGGCCGCTGAACCTGCCTCCCCACCCTTCTGTCATCCAGGTCTCTCTTGTCCTAGAACCCACATAAATTGCAGTAGTAAACTTGTATTGTGTGTTAGCTTTGTTGCTGTTCCGCAGCTTCCTGGGCCACATCAGACTGAGTGTATGCTTGTCGGTGCTTCCCAAACTGGTGAAGAATAAGGATTTTAAAAAATACTTTCTAGTCTATTGTTAAGTGACACTTCTGTAAAAGACAATTAAAATGGGATGCTAGAAAAATAAAAAAGGTCATATGAATGCAAGTCCCAGTTGTTTCTCTTTATATTCAGCAGATGTAAAATTTCTATGTCACATTGGTAAGTTTCTAAATACTTACTCTCAATTTCTGCACTTATTTTATTGCAGAGTGATTACAACATTTTGTGATTCATGGGCCACACTGAGCAATACTGATCAGCAGTCCTGCTTCTCCCGTTTTCTTTTCTTTTCTTTTTTTTTTTTTTCTACTGGGTACAGTGATCTTTTGGCCATGCTTTTAGAGTTTCCCACTTGGAATGTTCTGCAGCTTTTAGCCAGTTATTTTGGCGTAAGAAATGAAAGGAAACTAACAGTTGCTCTTGAATACTTAACGATACACCAGCTGATGGGAAAAGCATTTTTATTTTTTATTTCTAGGTGATCCTCAAAACAACCCTGCAAAGTAAGTGGTATTAGCCCCACTGCAGGGATGAATTACCTCACTTGTAATCATGTGTTATTTAACAAATATTGCTGCGTGCCTGGTAGAGACCAGGTGTATGCTTGGCTCTAGGGATACAGCAGAAAGCAGAGCAGACAGAACTCTCTGTCTTCATGGTGCTCATGTCCTTGTTGGGGATGGTAGAGACACATCATAAACAAATAAAGCGTATAGTGTATCAGATGGTGATGAACAGTATGGAGGAATGAGCTAGAGAAGGGTGTAGGGGACAGTAGGCAACGATTACACATTGAAGTCAGTTGATCTTGGAAGTCTTCTCTGAGGTGACCTTGGGCCAAGATCAGGCTGAGGAAGAGAAGACTTGGAGCAGCAGAGGTGAGGTCCTGCAGTTTTGAGGAACTCACTGAGGTTAGGGACTCTTCTCATGCCATTCAGCTAGGGAATGGCTGATAATAAATGTATGCTTTATAGTCTTTACTCACTCTCCATGTTCTTGGTTTAAAAGATGCCTGAATCCCCCCTCCCCCCCACCAAAAAAAAGTGGAAATCAGTCTGGGAATGGGAAGGTGGAATTTATGTGTGGATTTTGCTTTTGATGATTAGGTCTGGATATTTTTCAAGGCTTTAAGTATCTTTTTCCTAAGGGTATGAAGTACATGAGTTTTGTAATGGAGTTTCCATTTTTAAGTGGATGAAATTTCTCTAGGGGACATGAAAAGCTAGACAAGATCAGGGAAGGGGCTTTCAAAAAAGAAGAGATTAAAGCTTTGGGAAAAAGGCATTGCTTTTGTTTAAGCACTTTGAAGTTAAGGATGTGTAGGTTATTCCCTGCTTATGAATGACCTGGTGCTTAGAGACAGCTCTCCTTGTATTTGACAGCAGCATTTGCTGGGGCTTTTTTCTCATCTGGCTGCTCTCCACTGCCCAAGACTTACCTTCTGCAAACTCCGAGAGCTCTGACCCAAACCTTTCACTCGAGGTCATGGCTCCCAAACCTCCCACTGCTTCTGTGCTCTCTCACCTCCTCCACCAGCCTTCAATTGGGTTAGAGAGGAGGAGGAGTAGGGATGATGACTGTTTATAACTAGTAAGTATTCTAGTCTCATTTGAGCTTGTGCACTACATAAAATTGGTAGGCAGGTATTACTATACCTGTTTTACAGATGAGAAATGTGAAGCTCACAGATGTTAAATAATTTGTCCAAGGTCATCATTCCCGGTAAACCAGAGTAAAGACCTGAAGCAAACTCTTTGGTTTTCCTGTCCCTGATTGCTGCTACCCCATCTCCTTTTTCAGCTACGTTTTTTTGGTGAAGGAAGCTTTTGGAGATTGGTCATGGTTTTATTTTTATGGAATTTACTATATGGTTTTATGGAAAATGTGTTCCAGGGTTGGAAACTTAATATAGATCCTACTTCAGATTTTTGGTCATTGGGTTGGGGACTAACTAAATATCATTTTGATTTTTACCGTGCCTTGCTATTTTTTAGGTTGAAATTTAATAATTCATATAAGTGTCCTTTGAAATTTGGCAGGATACTCTTCTTTTGAAGTATTACCTGCTGTTTCTCATTGTAGGTTATATTTCTTAGTAACACGCCTCAACACTCTTGGGGTTCTCAATCTTACAAATAACTTCTCTCACCCTTTTTTTTTCCTAGCTAGTTTGTTTAATCATTTGTAACTTCCCCTCCAAGGTTGGGGAGGATGGAGGTGGGGTTTTTCAGCTTGGGGTTATATGGTTTTTGATCCTCTTACAAACATAGTTATATGCTCGTTAGAATGTGAGCTAATCATTCTTCAAAAAAATGCAAAAGAGTTAGCCAACGTGGTGTTGATGGCTGTGAAACCTGAGTCCTCTCAGTTAGCTGAAATAGTAGAGATTTGCTGCCCTTACGGCTCACAGAGCTGCAGCCTAGCAGGTGCTGTTACTTCTTTGTTTAAAGCGTGTTAGCCATCCAGATGTTTCTAGCTCTTTCTCTTTCATCAGAGAACATTCTTCTTGAAATTTAATGTGGAGGCCCTTTTGCTCTGGTGCATTTTCTTACTCCAAATTCCTGCATTTGTCACCACTTAGTCACAGTCAGGCTATTGGGCTAAGTGGTCTGGGTGAACACTGATGTTAGAGTTGCAGGGTTTGCTGCAGCCCACCTCTTGTTCTCCAGCTTCCTTTTAGGCATCGTTTATTTTTATTCTTTAAAGTATTTTATGTTTTGATTTGTTATAACTATTGCAGAAATCAATCCTGAGTCATCAGGGTTGTTTAGTCTTTCTCCTTTTGTGCGTTTGTGTGTGTGTGGTATTATTCATTTTGGCTGTTTGGATGGCATGTGATACAGCATTTTTTATTTTGTAGCCAAAACCAAACCAAGAGGTTGCCAACAGGACAGAAAAAAGCAGCAAGATAATATTAATAGGCACGTGTGCTTGCACCTGATCAGGAAGCAGGCACCTGGGGCCAGGATTTGAAGTCTTTCTATACCTGGGAGTGGGGAAAGGCCTGGTCTTCATGTCAGTGTTAGTCTGGAAGTAGTGACAGAGACTTAGCAGTTACTGGGTTTTCCTACTCATTTTAGTACTGTTCTTGATAAGGTTTTAGTATTTATGTATGTGAAAATAACTTTTGAAGTCTTTAAGATCATCACCTTGACTGAACGAGAGCTAATAGGTTTTATTCATTCCTGCAAAAGGAATAGAATAGAACTTGTCATACTGGGTCAGTACCAGTTATGGGTCAACTAAGCAAGTTTTGTTTTGTTTTGTTTTGTTTTGTTGAGACAGGGTCTGTATTGCCCAGGCTGGTCTTGATCCTGGGCTCAAGCAATCCTCCTGCCTCAGCCTTCTGAGTAGCTGGAATTACAGGCATGCACCTCATTGGCTAACAAGTTGTTTTTCTTTTTGAGATGGAGTCTCGCCCTCTCACCCAGGCTGGAGTGCAGTGGCATGATCTTGGCTCACTGCGACCTCTGCCTCCCGGGTTCAAGCGATTCTTCTGCCTCAGCCTCCCGAGTAGCTGGGATTACAAGCACGTGCCACCACACCTGGCTAATTTTTGTATTTTTAGTAGAGACAGAGTTTCACCATATTGGCCAGGCTGGTCTCAAACTCCTGACCTCATGATCTGCCTGCCTTGGCCTCCCAGACTGCTGGGATTACAGGTGTGAGCCACCGTGCCTGGCCACAAGTTAAAGTGCCCTTTAGAGTGAGCCTTATGCCTCACATTACAGTGGCTAAGAAGCTAAGGGACAAAGTTCCCAGTCTCAGAGGTTATAATCTAGTAGGGAAGAGTAAATAAGTCTCAGATTTATCTTGATACATGGCAACATTTGGTAAATATCCTAAAAAGAGGTACAGAGCAATCAGGATTCAAGGACAGGGAGAACTCCCTGAGGTAGGAGGGAACGTGCCAACAGGAGTTTCTGGCCATCCCAAACAGGGATGCTCATGGCTGCCACAGCTTCACATTTCCTTATACCATTGTTTGATTTTCACTAGTATGTCCAAATTCCTTGAAAATGGGTTTTAAACTTCCAGAAAACAGTACGATCTCTCAGAACTGTGAGTGCACTCAACATGTTTTATGATTGACCTTTTCTTGTGTCTCCCTTGAACTATAAGCTCATTTGAAACTAGTTAACTGAGTCTTATTGCTGTTGCCTGAGAAGCTAGCACAGTGCCTGACACACTGTTAAGTCAGTGCTCTTTCAAGTTACTCCCTGAGAATTCCCTTTCCCTCTCCCACTTCGTGAACCACAGCTAATACAGACTCACTTCCGTGATGAACCCGGTAAGGCCTAGGCCTTTCTTGCTGCTGCTGCATTTCGCAGCGCTTTGCAGATGCTGCCTCTGCTGTGTCACGACAGAATATTGCAATATGTTTTGTGTGTACATCGCAGTCTAGGAAGTTACTCCGGGCTCTGCCTTAGTTATCCTTATGTGCCCCGTACCTATAGCAGTTAGTGATATGGTAGTCATTGGGTAAATATTCACTGAAATGAAAATGGAAGTTTTCAATGTGTATGTATTTGTTTTCTACTTACCCCTATTTTAATGGTACAGAGTGGGTAAGGGTAGGTTAACACTTGCATTTGCTCAAAAGTTAATTTTTACAATAACTAAATGTTTTTACATTCTTAAAATGTATTTTACATTCTTAACAAACATGAATCTATATTGTAGTACTTTATTTTTTAAGAGAGAGAGAAAAAAGGTGCTTCAGATGTTCTTACAAAGCTGTTTAGCATTTCTGGGAACTTAATAAAGTATTTTGGCTCAGCAGTTAAAAAATGAAAATCTATTTTTTCTGAGAAATAAAGTCTTGCCCATCTGTTCTCTCCTCTTACCGTGTGACTGTTAAATGCTATTCTGAGATTGTATGTTTTGTTTTGTTTTGTTTTGTTTTTTGAGACGGAGTCTTGTCTTGTTCTGTCGCCCGATCTAGAGTGCAGTGGCACAGTCTCGGCTCACTGCAACCTTCACCTCCCAGGTTCAAGTGATTCTCCTGCCTCAGCCTCCCGAGTAGCTGGGATTATAGATGTCCGCCACTGCGCCTGGCTAATTTTTGTATTTTTTAGTAGAGATGGGGTTTCACCATCTTGGCCAGGCTGGTCTCGAACTCCTGACCTCGTGATCCACCCGCCTTGGCCTCCCAAAGTGCTGGGATTACAGGCATGAGCCACCGCGCCCAGCCTGTATGTTTTGATACTATAGAGAGGTATACAATAAAATTGCCTGTTAGTCACCATTTCTAATTATGGTTCATTTTATCATTCAATTATTTTTAAGAGCTTATTAGCATGTGTATATGTAAAGATGTGTTTCATATATTTTTAATCTCTACATCCTTTCATATTTTGTTATACTCTCTTTAAATGCAAGCACTTATTTTGAAGTAGTTTTAAATGTTATAATATCTCCACCATATGAAATAAGGAATATCTGCACTTTCCTCCACCCCCTTCTCTGAGATTACTGCAGCCAGAAGGTTAATGCCTTAGCTGAACTCTTAAAAGCATTTCCGTTATCATAAGCTTAAGAAATGTTTGTCTTAGTTCATGGAATGTAAATAATTTTTTTTTTTTTTTTTTTTTTTGGAGACGGAGTCTCTCACTGTGGCCCAGGCTAGAATGCAGTGGCACGATCTCAGCTCACTGCAAGCTCCACCTCCCAGGTTCACGCCATTCTCCTGCCTCAGCCTCCCAAGTAGCTGGGACTACAGGTGCCCACCACCACGCCTGGCTAATTTTTTTGTATTTTTAGTAGAGATGGGGTTTCACTGTGTTAGCCAGGATGGTCTCAATCTCCTGACCTCGTGATCTGTCTGCCTCAGCCTCCCAAAGTGCTGGGATTACAGGCGTGAGCCATTGCTCCTGGTCATGAAATGTAAATAATTTTTAAATCTAGTTTACAAAGAAAAATGATGATGTAGGGATATCATTTTTTTGTTCCTCAAGAATAAATTTAGTCTTAAATTTCAGGTTAGCATCCTGGATTCATTATCCTATATCACTTTTTGGTATGCATTCATGGGATTTTGTAGGCAGTTTCATGCCAAAGTGTTGTGTTTTCCAAAGTCCAATTTTTTTTGACTGGTTTAACTAACATTCATTTTGAGATGATTCCAAATTTTGTAACAAAAACAACTTATATTTGAATTTTCACCTTTATAATTTTAAAAAATCTATTCTGTAGCCCTGAGATTTGGACAAAATGGTAATTATGTTATTTTATGGATATTAAAGCTGAATATAAAGAATTTTTATCGAACCAAGATGTCACAGCTCTTATAGTAAGTGGCATGATTAAGACTATAATTTTACTTGTACTCAGTGTACCTTCTACCACTATATAATGTTTCCAAGCATATGAACTTATTACTAGTCTGTATCTATGGTTTTCAGTGATGTTAAATGTGTTTTTAAAAATTTTATTAATATGTAATACACAAGAGTGCAAAAATCTTAAGTGCACAACTTAGGAATTTTCACAAAGCAAAAGCATGGTCAAATGATTTGGACTATGAATTAATATTAAAATACAATGAATTTAATATTGGATGCCTAGAGTCTCTTGATTCCAGAGAAATACATTTATTTTTAAACTTGTGTTACACTTCCCTGAATACTCATTTGAAGTGTTTCTGATTTCCTCATTTGCTCATTTGTTTGACAGTATTCACAGCGAGCCTGCCCTCTGCCAGGCATGACTGGCATGGGGCACAGCTGTGAACAGGAATCATCACTTGTAACTTGAGGTCAGACTAAAGGACACAGGCAAATTCCTGTGGAGCAAGAGGGCCTTCCGGAGAACTTCCCAGAGGAAGCGACCTCTTGACTGAGTCCGAGTGTGAATGGGAATCATCCCAAGAAGAGTTTAGGGAGGAAGGCAAGAGGCACCAGGCCAGGAGGGCTGTTGAGATGTGACAGGCAGATCCGCAGGGCTGCAGCCTGTGCAGTGAGGGCTGGAGCTGGGGGATGCCGGGTGGGAGCAAGGACAGCCAGGTCCGTTTTTACTGGCACTGTAGTTTCCTTGATTATCAACAACAGGAATAGACTCAGGCAAACAGAAGCTTCAAAGAAATTTACTGGAAAAATACTGGGGTTGCTCCCAGAATTGAAGAATGGGCTGAACTTACAGGTCTCTGAGAAGGGCAAACAACTAGGGCTTTCCCGGTGTCTCTGCAGAACTTGTGGGATGTCTCTATAGAGCAGTGCTCTGAGTTGACTTCCTCTAACTGCAGGGTGTTAGTCTCTACTCAGATTTCTAGTCTTTGAGAAATAGTATCTGATTAACTTAGTTCAAGTCCATAGTCCAAATGGACCAGGACCAGTCATTGTGGCCAGAGGATAGGAAGAAGCACCATGCCTAGTCAATCAAGGTAGGTGACTGTTAGGTGGTCAGGACAACTAGATCTGTTACCTGAAACAGAGAGTGGACGACATGGGTACCCATGTGGATGACATGACCACCCAGAAGGCAGTGTTACGGTAGCTCAGAGAAGAGGTGGTTTGGGAACAGTGATTAGGAAAGAGGGATGTTCAGAGGCCAGTTACAAGGCTGTTGCATTAATCCACATAGGAGGTGATGGTGCCAGAAGTAGATGCAGCCTGTACAGATATAAAGTAGTAAATCGATTCAGAAACAGTTAAGAGGCAGAGAAGAAAGGACTTTGCAGCTGGACATTGGGAGGTGTGTGAGGATGATTAAGTTGTTGAAGATGACTCTCAGGTTTCTCGCTTGGACTAGAACCATTGTGTTCATAGTGGTCCCTTGCATGGAGGAGAGAGAGTTTCAGGAGGGGGATGGGGCTTTCATTCAGTTATGAAGTAATAAGTTGGAGTATCTAAGCAGACCACATTTAATTTAAGAACACTTGGGTATGAACAACACTTCCCCATTAAATTACTTGTGGGGTTCCAGCTCTGCCATCAGGGCCCTCTCACTCCAGCATCGTGGCCTCTGCCAAGGTTGTTACTCTCTTTTTGTGTCCCTGGGCTGCTGAAATCTTCTCACCGTATTGCCATGGAATTTGTAACGTGCTTCCTTCTGCTTCCCTACCTTAGGCAGGTTTGGGTCTGAGTGGGTTTTGGAATGAGTATTGTTAAAGGAAGTTAAAATGAAGACCAGGCCTGTGAAATCTCTGAGCGCACAAAACCAGTTAGGCCTTATATGTTACCTCAGCCTTGCTTAAATTGCAGACATAAGCAGAACAAGTAGAGTCATTTTGATAAATGTTTATGTTAGAAGTAAAACTTAACCCCCGCCAGTCGTAAGCTGCCAACTAACATATGACTAAGTGACTAGGGGCTTTCCAACAAGGTACCTAAAAAAAGGCAATTCTGTAATTTCAAATCAATCAAATAATTTCTTTATTTTGCTTCTACGTTTCCCAGTAAATACTTGTCTCTGACTTTTTGTCATTGGGACACTAAAACTTTTTTCGTCTGGTGTTCCCCAATTCATGAATTGCTTCTTACTCAAATAAACTCTTTAAAATTGTATTGTTCCTCAGATTTTTCTTTTATAGTAACTTTCCCAAACTCAGAAAGGCCCCCAGAGCTTAGGGGCTTTTAGGACTAAGTGCTGCTATTTAGGGCTCTTTCTTAGATGTTATTATGTTTAGAAGAGGCTTGCTATAGGCTGGGCACGGTGGCTCATGCCTGTAATCCTAGCACTTTGGGAGGCCGAGGCAGGCAGATCACCTGAGGTCAGGAGTTCAAGACCAGCCTGACCAACGTGGTGAAACCCCATCGCTACTAAAAATACAAAATTACTCGGGAGTGGTGGCGCATGCCTGTAATCCCAGCTACTAGGGAGGCTGAGGCAAGAGAATTGCTTGAACCCAGGAGGCAGAGGTTGCAGTGAGCCAAGATTGTGCCATTGGACTCCAGCCTGGGCAACAAGAGTGAAACTCCATCTCAAAAAAAAAAAAAACAAACAAAAAATACTTGCTATATGATGACACTGTTTTCTTGATATAGTCAGAGTTTGAAAATATTTCAAGTTGGGGACTTCTTTGATTAAAATGTAAAGTTGATAAATGAATTTAGTTACAGTGCTTTAGTTTTACTAGTATTCAATGTTGTGTGATATTGATGAGTTAAGTCAAACCCTGACAAGCGGTTCCCTTAGGTAC
Organism: Homo sapiens; assembly: GCF_000001405.40. Lineage (NCBI taxonomy): Eukaryota > Metazoa > Chordata > Mammalia > Primates > Hominidae > Homo > Homo sapiens. The sequence continues at coordinate 108,582,154 of NC_000002.12, forward strand.
TTCAGTGAGTACTTCTAGCATTAATGCTTAATGGCCTCAGAAATCCTCTGGGTCTGTCGTCCTCAGCAGATCTGAAACTGTTCCCTAAGGAGCAAGTGGGAACTTGTGGAGCATTTTTAGTTTATCTCGATGGTTTCAGGAAAGGGGTACCATAGGCACTAAATGGCCTGAGGCCAGAGATGCTGAATGTCATGAAGTATGCATCCACAGGACTTTGATGCTGGTTAAAAACGTAAGAAAGAAAAACACCTTTGTATAATGATGAACATAGAACCTAACTGTGTTTAGGTTGACATCATCAGGTTTAGGTTGATATCTGTTTCAGATATCATCGGCTGGGCGCAGTGGCTCACACATGTAATCCCAGCACTTTGGGAGGCCAAGGTCGGTGGATCACTTGAGTCCAGGAGTTCGAGACCAGCCTGGCCACATGTTGAAACCCCATTTCTACTAAAAATATGAAAATTTGCTAGGTGTGGTGGCATGTGCCTGCAGTCCCAGCTACTTGGGAGGCTAAGGTGGAAGGATTGTTTGAATCCAGGAGGCAGAGGTTGCAGTGAGCCAAGATCATACCACTGCCTGGGCACTCAAGCCTGGGCAACAGAACAAGATGTTGTCTCAAAATAAAAATAAAAAAGATACCATCATGAAGTACTTTTCAACAGTTTCAATAAGCACTAAGTTTTCTGGGAATGCCATGAAATTATAAATTGAGTGAAGGATGAAATTTGCTTGGACTTTATGCTTTATTTTCATAGGTGGTACTAACATTACCACCTATGAACATTTTGCCCTTAATTGTTCCTTTATATTCTATTTAGAAACTCAAATCCTTTAAGACAATGGTTAGAATATATTAAAAAGGGGTGTTTTTTGTTGTTTTTTTGTTTTGTTTTGTTTTTTAGATGGAGTTTCATTCTTATTGCCCAGGCTGGAGTGCAGTGGCGTGATCTCAGCTCACTCCAACCTCTGCCTCCCGAGTTCAAGCAATGCCTCAGCCTCATGAGTAGCTGGGATTACAGGCGCGCACCACCACGCCTGGCTAATGTTTGTATTTTTTTTTTTTTTTTAGTAGAGAGGGGTCTCACCATGTTAGGCAGGCTGGTCTCGAACTCCTGACCTCAGATGATCTGCCCGCCTAGGCCTCCCAAAGTGCTGGGACCACAGGCGTAAATCACCACGCCTGGCCCAAAGGGTTTTGTTTTTAAATGAGAGATGGTTAGTAAACTAATGTTTTCCTGAGTGACATAGGGCATATACATAGAGATGAGCATATACATAGAGATGAGTATGATGAACATTTGGGGTTATAAATGACTTTCATAACAAGGACCTATGAAGAGTATATAAAGGTGGAGACACTGATTAGCACTTGATAGATTGGGTAAATCAAGTTAGGTGAAATTATCCCAGATTTTTTTAAAGTCCCGGGAGGAAAAGATACGCAAGTGTATTGGGCATTGAACAAATTTTTTAAATAAAGATCTATGTCCATTCAGAATAGTCTGTGGAAAGCATTTATCCTGTTATTTTGTTGTTGCTGTTTCTTTTTTTTTTTTTTGAGATGGAGTCTTACTCTCGCTCAGGCTGGAGTGCAGTGGTGTGATCTCAGCTTACTGCAACCTCTGCCTCCTGGGTTCAAGCGATTGTCCTGCCTCAGCCTCCCGGGTAACTGGGACCACAGGCGCCCACCACCACGCCTGGCTAACTTGTATTTTTTAGTAGAGATGAGGTTTCACCATGTTGGCCAGGCTGATTTTGAACTCCTGACCTCAAGTGATCTGACCGCCTCGGCCTCCCAAAGTGCTGAGATTACAGGCGTGAACCACTGCACCTGGCTGTTGTTGCTGTTTCTATGTGAGACTGATAAAGGACAAAAAGAAGATGGCAAGGGATGGATGGAAAAGGCTGGTTCTTCTCTCAGGGTTCCCAGACCATAGCTGGAGATAACCCAGGGTTGTAGCTCCATCTGCTGGAGAGAAGCAAACCCACTCTTACATAGTCTATAAATGAAAGTGATCTCTCCACAATCACAGTGAGCCAGCCTGTGTTTGCTAAGCACTTGCTGTGCACTGTGTAACACTTTGTCAGGCTTAGGGTAACAGAGGAAAAACATAGACATGTTCCCTGTTCCCACCATGCTTAGCTCTGAGAGGCCTTCTGCTGTCAAGAAGACTTATTTTAGCTGGTGTGCTTTTGCATTCTAGGTTTCCCCCTAGACTTTTCCTTGGGTGACTTTTAAAGCCACGTAACCTCATTCTGAGCTTCCTGTTCCTTATTAGAGGTAAGGAATAACAGTGCCCCTCCTATAGGCCTCAGTTTAGCTAAACTTTATTAAGTATCTAGTGTGTCTGCTAGGCAGAGGCCCAAGGAGCATAAAGATGAGTAGGAATCTAGTCCCTGCCCTCCACAAGGTTAGAAACAGGAGCTCATAAAATGATCCTCGCGGAGTAAATGAGAATGTATAACGGGATCCCTGAGGAGGAGTGCGGGATCCAGGCAGGAGAGTCGACTAGGAAGGTATGGACAGGTTTTCTGAGTTGTTTGAGGATGTGAGCATTAGCGAAGGGAAGCCCTTCCCAGCCGAGGTCAGCGTGAGCAGCAGCATGGAGATGAGGGCCTGTGTGGTATGTGTATGTCCCTCTTAGGCTGTGTAAAGTGAGCGGCAGGAAGTGTCCAGGGATGAGGGTTTGGGGACATAGATGGAGCCAGGTAGGGCCTGGAGCAGTAGCTCACGCTTGTAATCCCAGCACTTCGGGAGGCCAAGATGGGCAGATCATTTGAGGTCAGGAGTTCGACACCAGCCTGGCAACATGGTGAAACCCTGTCTCTACCAAAAATACAAAAATTAGCCGAGCGTGGTGGCACGTGCCTGTTGACCCAGCTACTTGGGAGGCTGAGGCAGGAAAATGACTTGAACGTAGGAAGTGGAGGCTGCAACGAGCTGAGATCACTCCATTGCCCACCAGCCTGGGCAACAGAGCATGACTCCGTCTCAAAAAAAAAAAAAAAAAAAAAGGCGGGGCCAGGCGATATAGGGTTTTGTGTGTTACCTTAAGGGATGCTGACTGTCCTCAGTGCAGTAGAGAATTTAAGCAGGGTAGTGATAGCAGGTTCCTTAGACCGCTTGCTGGCTGTGTCTGTTGGATTTGATTGAAGGGGACCAGGCTGGAGACAGGGACTCCATCTAGGAGGCTGCGGCATGCCTGCTTGGATAACGTCGCCATGCCTGAGAGAGGGCACATTAAGATGAAGAATTGGATTTAGGCATGGTGGGGAGGGGAGTTTATTTTAGGCATCATGAGTTTGAGTTGCCTGTGACGATATCTGTATGGAGACATCAGCAGACAATTTGATGTATGATTGCGAAGTTTAAGAAGGTCCAGCCAGTGCCACTAACAGGGAGGAAGTAGTTGAGCCATGAGATTTGTTGAAGTCATCAGGGAGAATGTGCGCAATGAGAGGAGCAGAAAGCCAAGGTCAGGCTGGGGAGTAGCCATACCTACAGCCAGGCAGAGGCTCTTGCAAAAGAGATGGTGATGGGATGACAAGAGGGATAAAAGTACGGTGGTCTGGAAGCCAAGGGAATAGAAAATTCCCAGGAAAGCATCATTTAAAAATGTCAAATGTAAGATAAGGACTGAAAAATGCCTTCTGGATTTGGCTTTTAAGAGCTGTGACTGTAAGAGGTGTTTCCAGATTGCAGTAGGTTGATGAGTAAATAGGAGTTGAGATAACTTTTAGAAAATGGTGTCTGAGGCCGGGCGTGGTGGCTCATGCCTGTAATCCCAGCACTTTGGGAGGCCGAGGCAGGCGAATCATGAGGTCAGGAGATCGAGACCATCCTGGCTAACACGGTGAAACCCCATCTTACTAAAAATACAAAAAATTAGCCGGGTGTTGTGGAGGGTGCCTGTAGTCCCAGCTACTCCGGGGGCTGAGGCAGGAGAATGGCGTGAACCCAGGAGGCGGAGCTTGCAGTGAGCTGAGATTGCGCCACTGCACTCCAGCCTGGACGACAGAGCGAGACTCCGTCTCAAAACACAAAAAAAAACAAAAAAACAAACAAAAAAAGAAAATGGTGTCTGAAAAGAGAGAGCTGTGATGGTAGCTGGAGAGTGACTCAAGATAGACTCATTTTAACGTAGCAGAAACTGGAGCCTATTTACAAACTCTTCGGGGGAAAGAGCCCAAAAAGAAGGAAAGTGGCTGTCTGGATGTGAGTTTATGGACTGACATCAAACAGACCTTGTTGGGACTGAAGGCCTGAAGAGTAAGCATATAGGTGGGAGGTAGTTGAAAGAGAACTTTCCAGATAAACTGTTTTCTTCATGAATAAGTAATAAAGTAATATCTGCTGAGAGAAGAAAGGGATGAGGTCGATTACGAGAAGACCTTCAAGCATGGTACGTCCTTATGCGAGTGGCGCATGGCTTCAAGAGGAGGGTTGATGGGACCCATCCATGAGTAGAGAAGTTAACAACAATGCCAGTCTGCCCAGGATGTTCTGCTGGGACTCAGAAAAACATCCAGTTTCCTTCCTTTAGATTTTAACTGCAGCATCACGAGCTGCCTTCCTAGAGGGAATTTTGTATTTTGGGGCTGTAGCTCAGAAGACTTCCATTCTCTTTTCCCTCTCCCAAGAGAGATCGCAGCTGCTTCCCGGGGTTTATGTCCATGACATAGGACTGTCCCTGCTGGGAATGGGGGAGGGAACTGCTTCCCACTCGAAAGCAGCCTTTTCACTTCCAGCTTCCATCTGCCTTCCACTCCCACCTCCCAAAATAAAGTAAATAAATCAAAGCCAGAAAAACATTCTGGCTGGAATTTTATTACATTCAGTATTGTGTGAGAGCTCCCAAACTAGCTGGGACCGTTGGATTTCAGAGTACGTGAAGGTGAAGCCTGTGAGGTTCCCCCAGGAGTGCTGGGCAGAACCCTGAGTTTTAGAACTCCCTCTGCCTTTAGCTTGTCTTGGATGTGCTTTTCCACTCTTTCAAGCACTAAACCCTTCCCTGTAAATAGTCACCTGCCAGGGTGCCCTCAGGTTATAGCTTGTCACCAGCTCTAAGAGTGGCTAGTACCCAGTCTCAGTGTTGGATAACAAGCAAAAGTGATGAGTTGTTTTCTTGGGGTTTGTGTGTGTGTGTGTGTGTGTGTGTGTGTGTGTGTGTGTGTGTGTGTGTGTTTGGTTTGTTGTGGTGGTATGTTTTTGTTTTTGTTTTTTCAGAGACATGGTCTCCCTATGTTGCCTAGTCTGGGCCTGAACTCCTGGGCTCAAGTGATCTCCTATGTCGGCCTCCCAGAGCACTGAGATTACAGGCAAGTGTAAGCCACTGCACCTGGCCGTTTTCTTGTTTTTAAAGATTAACCTCAGGCCCTAGTTATGTTACCATCCTAGAAATGCAGTTATCCTAAAAATGATTCCTCTATAATAAAGGAATTGGGTAAAGGAGCTTTCTTGCTGTATTTTCAGTGAATTCAGGCAAGGACACCCTCATTCATGGAAGGGGAAGGCTGAATTAATTGCTCTCAAGTTCTTTCTTACCTTCAACTAAATTAGATCCCTTTATTCTCCAGTGGAAACTTGGCACTGAGGAGTCCCAGGAGGTGACTCAGTCGGATATGTGAGGCCTTAGCACCACTGGCCTTGCTGCTTCTGCACTGTGTCTGTCAGGGATATCTGGGACAGAAAGAATAATTTCCGCTGCTGGGGCAGCCAGAGCCTGGCGTGCCCGTCCCTAAGCTGGCCTGCACCTTGCCACCGGAAGATGTAGTGTAGAGTAGCTGCTTGACCCCAGAGTAGCATTCAGAGGGCACATAAAGAAGCTCCGTTAATTCAAACATGTAGTTATTATAGAGATCCAGAGGGCCAGAGGCTATCATTTTTTTAAAGTTACCTCTTTCTATGATGATCAGTTATTCATTTTTCTAAATATTTGTCTGCATGTTATATGTGCTTTCAGTAAGTTTTTGGGTGAATTTCTTAACTTCATAAAGTATATAAAACAACTTAGCAGGATATGAGTTATGACATTTAGGGGTGTTGTCCTATTGCTTCAGAACAGTGGGGTTATCGTGTAACACACCATGTCACATGATTTGACTAAATACAGGAAAAAAAAAAACCCTGAACTTGGTTTCATTGGCTCAAATATAGTTCAAGACAACAGAGACAAAGCTAAGATGAGGAAGTTCTGTACAGTTTAGGAAATAGAGGCTTTCAAAGATAATTCGCAGTGATGTGAAACTGGCCTCCCAAGCCCTGATAAGTAAGTTAAATAAGAGTAGGAGCCAGGAGGGAGGTTCTTTACTCTTGAATTAAGAGAAGGGGAGCTGGAGGTGGCTCAGGTAGAGTGCGTAGGTTTGCAGAACTGGGCCTGTGTGTGTAAAGTGACTAAGGCAAAGGAGTGGAAGTTTGAGAGAAGTTTAAGAGAAGAAATGGACATGATTGCCTAAATCAGCCAAACACAGGGTATTGTTGTATTTCTGGATTTGTTTTCCTTATGACCTACCTTTCTCAGTTATTTAAGAAGCAAATCTAAAGGATATTTGTTGAAACTCTCTATGCAGAAAGGGTCTTGGGTGAGTTGTAGTAACCTTCAGCCATGCTGATTAAAATTTTCTCCCTGCTGCAGAGGTTATGATTGTGGTTCTTATATCTTGTAGATGTGTATTTAATTATTGAAATATGTGAAAACTTTGTTTTATTGGTTTCAAAGTAGGGTGGGTGTGGAAGGGAAACTATGCCTTTTGTTTGCAAAGAAAAATTTAAAAACAATTGATAAACAGTATTTAGTGTCATATGGTTTATATCCTGCAGAGCCTTCTATAAAAGACCTTAGTAATGCTTTTGGCATTTTATTACATTAATTTTTTAAAACATTATTTCTGCTGCCTAGGGTCTTTGGTGGGGAAATGTACTATTTAGCAATATGTTTAGTGAACTTTTGTCCTGTCATGGTAAGAAGAAAGCAGCTATAACTAAGTAAGGAGTTACTCTTATTCATTAACATGTAAAACGCTGTTTAAAAAAAAAAAACTGGTCATTTTTTTAAGTTTTATTTTTAATTGGCACATTTATTTATGGAGTACAATGTGATATTTTGGTTCATATGTACATTGTACAATGACCAAATCAGGGTAATTAGCCTATCAATCATCTCAAATATCACTTTTTCGTGGTAACAACACTTAAAATCCTCTTGAGGTATTTTGAGATATACAATACAGTATTATTAATTATAATCACTTTGCTGTACAATAGATCACCAGAACTTACTCTTCCTAATTTTGTACCTGTTGACAAACTCTTAGTTTCATTGATTCTGTTGTTTTTCTAGTCTCTTTTTCATTTACTTCTGTTCTGATCTTTGTTATTTCCTTCCTCCTGCTAACATTGGGCCTAGTTTGTTATTTTTCTAGTTCCATGAGGTGTAATATTAGGCTGTTATTTGAGATCTTTCTTTTTTGAAGTAGGTGTCTATTGCTGTAAACTTCCCTGTTAGCACTAACTTTTGCTGCATCCCATAAGTTTTAGTATGTTGTATTTCCATCTTCATTTGTCACAAGATTTTTTTATATATCTCCTTTATTTTCTTCTTTAATTTCCCCTTTAATTTTTTCTTTATCTCGATAGTTGTTTAGGAGCATATTGTTTAATTTCCACATATTTGTTAATTTTCCATGTCCTCCTGTTACTTTAGAAACTATTCTAGTTTCATACCATTGTGATCAGAAAAGATACGTGATGTAATTTCAGCCTTCTTGACCTGTCCTGGAGAATGTTCCATGTGCACTTGAGAAGAATATGTATTCTGTTGCTGTTGGGTGGAATTTCCCCCAGCAGGCCACTCTTAAAGGAACTGTAATGCCTCAGACCTACATTTGGAAAACATTTATTAAGGGGTGATTATTTACCCACAGAAGAATCTTTTGCTTTACTACATGACTTGCCTTATACAGTGGACTTCCTAGAGATTTAAATGTATTTGCAAAAGCATTGATTTTACAGTTAACCTTCAAGAACATTAAGAGTGATACCGATTGCATGTGTAAGGCAGTCTCTTATATAGATGTATGTTGTGTGTATGTACACGTGTGTATATATGTACATTCACATACATAATCAGGAAATAAGGAATAGTTATAATGAACAGGAGAACACAAGTATTTTTCATGGATAAGAAAGAAAACATTAAAAAGAGGATGATCATTTTAATTTGGTCTTTTAGTTGATAAAAAGGGTACATGCTTTTTAGTTTGCAAACAACAAGGCACTTTGCATAGCTGATAGAATGAAAATAGAATAAAATATTCTGAATGAACATAAACACTTGGTGGTAGTTTAAAAAATATACAAAAATAACTAAACATCAGGCCATCACAGGTAGTGTCAAGTTTTTGAGGCTAACCAAAAAGAGCGGGGAACCCCCTTCAATTCTAAGAGACGGCACCATGGAGGTAGTGACTTTTGAGTTGGGCTTTGAAGAATTTGACAAATGATGGAAAAGAGTGTTGTTCTAGGCACAGTTGGCAACAGCTCGAGCAAAGGTTTGCAGGTCAGTGTTACTTCTCTCTTCAGAGTCCTCCATTGCCTTTCCATCTCACCTAGAATAACATCCAGTTTTTATGCTGGGCTGCAAGTGCTTTCTGGATCTACCCCCTGCCCTATTCCTTTCTGTGCTGTGTTTTCCGCTTTAGCCTGGAAGATTTGTTAAACAGGGGCTTTGTTTCCTCTTGTTCACCTCTGTATTCCCAGTGCCCAGAGCAGTAAGTGCTCAGTAAATAAATGTTGAATGAATGAAAGAAATTCAAAAATTATCTACTGTGCTGGAATGTTTGAAGGATAAGAATGGCAGGGAGGGAGGGTGTATGTGGAGTATTGGTCTTGAGGGCAGTGTAAAGTTTGGGGACATTAGGGAAGCATCTGTGATGTTGCAGTGAAGTGTTTGCTAATATTACAGTGTAGAGAATGGATTAGAAGGACTAAAGAGCAAGATAGCAATACCATACGAAAGGATGTGTCAGTGGGTCTTTCATTCAGTTGACATTTGAGTGGTTGCCCCATGCTAAGCACTGTGTTAGGTTCTGGGGACACAAAGGTGACTGAGAAATGGTTTCCATGGGTAATGCCAGATGTGTGAACATCCTGTAGCAAAGGACTGAGCAAATGATGCGGTGGGGCCTGAACCTGGGCGTTGTCAGAGGCGTGGGAAGGAGTCTGAAGTCTCATTGATAGTTTCTTGATGTCAGTAGTTCCGCAAGTTCCCAGAAAAAAGAGGAAGCCTTCAGTGAAACTTTTTTTAAAAAAAAATTGATTGATTGACAAGGTCTTGCTCTGTCACCCAGGCTACAGTACAGTGGCACGATCATGGCTCACTGCAGCCTTGACCTCCTGGGCTCAAGAAATTCTCCTGCTCCCGCCTCCCAAATAGCTGTGACTACAGGCACACACCACCATGCCTGGCTAATTTTTAAAATTTTTATAAAAACAGAGTCTCACTGTGTTGCCCAGGCTTGTCTTGAACTCCTGGCCTCAAGAGATCTTCCTGCCTTGGCCTCTCAACATGCTGAGATTACAGACTTGAGCCACCATGCTTGGCCTTTTAAGGGAACTTTTAAAAATGTTTTTAGTTTTTTTTTTTGTTTTTTTTTTTGAGACAGAGTCTCGCCCTGTCATCCAGGCTGGAGTGCAGTGGCATGATCACAGCTCACTGCAACCTCCGCCTCCCAGGTTCAAGTGATTCTTCTGTCTCAGCCTCCCAAGTAGCTGGAATTACAGGCACGCACCACCATGCCCGGCTAATTTTTGTATCTTTGGTAGAGACGAAGTTTCACCATATTGGCCAGGCTGGTCTCGAACTCCTGACCTCAGGTGATCCACGTGCCTCGGCCTCCCAAAGTGCTTGGATTACAGGTGTGAGCCACCACGCCCAGCCTAGTTTTGTTTTTTTCATGCGGGGACTTACAGTGATTTTAAATTGGGTCTTGCCCAAAAGTTAGCCATATGTTGATTGACCCATTAGTTCCAGGAGAAGGAGGTATACAGGAGCAGTGTTTTAGCTCTGAGTCGGTGTGTCACTTCTGAGGCGCAGTTTGTCAGAACAGTTACAGGATGAAATGTTGATGTCCTGTAGAGTGCTTGATTAAAATAAGTGAAGTGGCAGGTGGGGAGGTATTTTATACCCCAAATGTTGCCACAAATGTATGATAATATTGTTGGGAGAAAAGGATACTTTATCAGCCCAGATGGGACATATAATACAGAATCTAAAAAAATTGAAAAATAACTTATACCAATTTTTGTGTGTGGGAGGGGGGTGTGTGGAGAACAGGCAGAGATTCCCTTATAGGGCTTTAAAATGTGCTATGCTGAAAGAAAGTTTGTTTGCAGCCTGGGAAGACATTTAGACTACCAAGTTCTTCGGGTTCAGCTGTTTATGGTCTTTCTTGTCACTTATTTAACAGTTTCAGACCATAAGGAGCGTATACTTTTCTCACTTGTTCTTTATTCATTGAGCCTATTTATCCTTGAAATACTGTGGTGTAAGTTGAAAGACCTTGGGTTTAAATTTTACTTCTGCCATTTGTGTGATTTTGAACAAATTATTTAATATCTGAGTTGCAGATTCCTCATCTGTAAATGGCAATAGTATTTAATCTGTGAGTAGTGTATGTAAAAGGATCCTAGCTTGATATTTGGTGGGATCTAGGTGAACAACAAATGTTCCCCTTTTTATTGTATTAATAGTAAAATGTATATAACATTCAGTTGTGGAGGACACTTGGGTTGTTTCCATACCTTGGATATTGTGAATAATGCTGCTGTAAACATGGGTGTACACATACCTGTTTGCATCCTTGTTTTCAATTCTTTTGGATATATACCCAGAACTGGAATTGCTGGGTCATGTGGTAATTCTATGTTTAGCTTTTTGAGGGACTTCCAATCATTCTCTGCTTTTGTTTTTTAGTTTACTCTGCATCATTTATGCATATCTCCTTTAAGATCCAGAATTACTAGAGTTCAGGGTTTGAAAGCAACTAAATTCACTTTAGTGCCTGATAGTCTCATGGTTTTTCTCTACTTCCAAACATATCTAAACCTTATCCAAGCCTCCCACTGTGTGACTTCTACTGTGAAAAAAGCCATTCTTCTCTTTCTTTTGCTTTTTTCTTTCTTAAATCTTCTCCCCTTCGATTGCCTTTTCTTTCCCTCACTAATTCTTTCCTTCTCACCGCCTGCCTTCTATAAAGGAATGCTGGGGAAAAGGTCTTGCCGGAGTTACTTCTCCATCCCCACTCTCAAGCCTACCCAGACCTGGAGTTGCTGTCTTTGTGAAAAGGGACATAGACACAGAATGATATCCAGATGCTAGATTACGTCAATTTACAATAAACTTTAATTTAAGCCAGACTTTCAGAACAATTAGCACCTGTATAATACTAAAAAATGCCAAGTATCTGGGAAAGGTTGGGTGGGGAAGGAGAAAATAGTATCATCCATGGGGATGATTCAACTCTTAGGGCTGCCAGCCTAGCACACTGCTAGCAACAGCTGGGAAGAAATCATAAAGTGAATTTTCCACAGATAAACCAGCCAGAAATAACACCAGACTGCCAAGTCAGATGTGATTTCTTAGTCATAAAAGGTACTTTTCATTCCTGTAATCCTGATTGGCCTGGTCAGTAATTAAAAGTCAACATTCAGTTTTATTTTACTTATTTCTAGGACCATTGTAGAATCCTTCAGTCATTACATATCTGGTGAGACCCTAGTGGTAAGTAAAGGATATCCATGCACTTGAGGGGAAGGAAGTGTTCACACATGAAATAGCTAGAATAGTAACAAAGCTCCCTTTAAATTCAGACAATAGCAGTGAGCTACTGGTAACAGCCCAAAGGAGAAAATGAGCAGCAGCCAGAATTTTGAGATTAATTTTAATAATTTATTAATGAATGCACCAGCAGAGAAGAGGTGGGAAGGATATGGTCGACAAGTGGTAGGAGTAAAAAATTCAGCTGTGGGGAAGGGGTAGCTTTTGCTTAGAAAGTTCACCACAGACCCCTGCCCTCTAAGTTATGGTGAATTCTGTGGAAGTGATTAGAGTGGAGAAAAAGGAACAAAGAGGGTTGGAATCCAGACGTTCCATGACTAACCCCAAGATGACTAAACCAGCTACTGAATGCACCCACAGAAAGGGAAGTGACATTTACTGAGAACACATTTAGTGTTGCTGAACGCTTAAAATGCTTTCTTTGTGTTCTCAGTCCTTACCAGTCTGTGAGGGGGGTTTATTTTGTCTACATTACAGATGAAGAATCTCACCTGCAAATGAAGAAAGTTGGCTGGCCGACAGGAGATCGTTTGAAATGAAAGGATTCCAGGGTTTCTTTCTACTGAGCGTATTCAATAAGCAGGGCTTATTATACTATCTAGAATGGTGCTATCCTGTAGAAATACAATGTAAGCAGCATGTGTAGTTTTAAGATTTTCTAGTAGCCATTTAAAACAGGAAAAAAGAGATAGGGAAGATTAATTTTAATAATATGTTTAATTTAACCCAGTATATCAAACTGTCATCATGTCCAAGCTATATACATATCATGTCATCAGCATTTTAAAGTTACCAGGAGAATTCAGTGGGTACTTTAAAGTCCATCTGAATTCAGACTAGCCACATTTCAAGTTGCTACATGTGACTACTGGCTACCAAAGTAGACAGCATAGCTCTAAAAAAAAGGTAGACAGACTCATCCTAAAAAAAAATCGAATGTAGAGGCCCTGCTTTGAAGTCATTGAGAGGAATTATGGTGGGGCAAGAAAGCAGCTTCACCTGAGATGGAAAGCTCTGTGGAAGGAAGGTACCATACATAAAAGCAGGGCTGCTCTTGAAAGAATGTGACCATATCATGCAAGGACATTACTGACTGAAGGGCTATTTATGGAGAGCAGTAAGGTCATACCGACCTTTATCACCACTGCCAGTCGTGACCACAGGAAGGCCCTGTGGTGTTGACTGCTAGATGCTGAACCGTATTTGGGTGGGGGTTGCGAGGATGCTGTGTCTTGGCAAATCTACTAACCATTAGGAGTGGAAACCACAGCCTTTAATGTATGTGTGGATGTCATTCCCAAAGAATCTTTTCTTCCAGTGCCTTTTTCAGATGAGGAGGTGTAATGTGTGCTTGAGGAAGTAAGCATGAACAAACTACCTTATATGGGAATTCCCAGACCTCAGCTCCACCCAGACCAAGATAAATGATGGTTTCAGACTGCTATTCCAGCAAAACAGGGACCATCCTATATTTATAATATTCAGTCATTTCTTCCATGCTTTCTTACTTTAAAAAATGTTCTTGAAATTTTCCCTTGGTCTTCTTTCTTCTTGTGATTCTGCCTACTTTGTTGCCTTTGTCCCACTTAACTATTTTCTTCAGTTTTTCCCATTGTACTTGGTTTATTTTGTTGTTGTTGTTGTTGTTCTGTAGTCAACTGTGTACTAGGAATCAGTGTACCCCCCAGGTCCTGTTCTTGGCTCTCAACTGTGGGACTTTCATTCTGTTCCTTCATCTGAAAAATGAAAAACATTAGAATTAGAGTCCTTTATAATCTTTTAGGGCCCTCATTTTGCAGCTCGTTTGGAGCCTCTTTTTTTTATTGTGGTAAAAAACACATAAAATCTACCACCTTAATCATTTTTAAACTCAACAGTTCAACAGTGTTAAGTACACAAGAAGTTGCACCTATGATAAAATGTGAAATAAGATCTAGAGGCTTGAGGAGAACCTGAGGTTATCTGTGGAGGGTGGAAGGCTTATGCTGAAGTGGCCCCCTGAGAGCAAAGATCAGGAGTAAGGGACGATCTCCTAGTATTCACTTGCAGAAGTGACTTAAAGCTGCTAAAAGGATGTGTGTCAGGGCTTTGGCATTCTGCCGCAGACATAGAAAGACCTGATACTGTTTTGACTTCATGTGTCCCTGTAGCCATTCAGCGGCCAACATTTGTATAGTACTTTATCTTTCTCAGCTTATTTCTAATTAGCGATAATTAATACTCTTAGTATTAATACGAGTTAATTTGTAATTCTTACAAAAGAGTGTGAGATAAATGAGCATGTGCTGTCTTTAATTTCCAAAGGAGGAAATGAAAGGGTCCGTGGAAGATGAGCTGTAGCTGTGGAAGGGGCAGAAAAGCCAGAGGGTGGCTCAGGAGTCTGGTGTTATATATGATAACATTTTAAAAATAAGAGGTGAGGAAAATGGGAGCACACTTTTTGGAAGATTAACATAAATGTAAAATGATTTACAGAACAGATCAATGGAATTCAGTTAGGTCTCAGATTTTACTTTCCCCATTAGGGATGTATGTAAAGAAAGGGCATGTTGGCCGGGCATGGCACACGCCTGTAATCCTAGCACTTTGGGAGGCCAAGATGGGCAGATCACCTGAGGTCAGGAGTTTGAGACCAGCCTGATCAACATGGAGAAACCTCATCTCAACTAAAAATACAAAATTAGCCAGGCGTGGTGGTGCATGCCTGTAATCCCAGCTACTCAGGAGGCTGAAGCAGGAGAATCGCTTGAACCTGGGAGGCAGAGGTTGCTGTGAACCGAGATCACGCCATTGCACAGCCTGGACAACAAGAGCAAAACTCCGTCTCAAAAAAAAATAAAAATAAAAAGGAGGGGGGCATGTTGAGGAAATAGGAACTTGAAGTACTTGGGATGGTTCATTAATTTCCCTACGAAACATCTGTTTTTTTTTTTTTTTTTTTTTTTGAGTCTTGCTCTGTTGCTGAGGTGCAGTGGCATGATCTTGGCTCACTGCAACTTCTGCCTCCTGGGTTCAAACGATTCTCCTGCCTCAGCCTCCCGAGAAGCTGGGATTACAGGCACGTACCACCACACCCAGCTGATTTTTGTATTTTTAGTAGAAGTGGAGTTTCCCCTTGTTGGCCAGGCTGATCTCGAACTCCTGACCTCAGGTGATCTGCCTGCCTCAGCCTCCAAAAGTGCTGAGATTACAGATGTGAGCCACCGTGCTTGGTCAAAACATCTTAATTTGACCTTTTTTTTTATTCACAGACCACTTTGAGACTCAACACTTAACGACATTCATAGAAGAAAATGCACAAAGGCACATGCATAGAAAGTTTTTGTATAACTTCCAGGAATTCATGCCCCCAGTGCAGCCACAGCAACACGTGATTGTAATGATGATTGCATTTCTGAAGACTTTTTAAAAGCATTTTTTTGGATAGAAGAGTTAAAATGTTGTGAATTCTTGATAAATTGAATAAGCAACAAATACACTAGCAGTCACTAGAGGGTGATGTTTTCTAGCATACAACATCAAGTTCTTTCCGGCAGGTTGCCATTGTAGGTTCCTGTGTATGTGCTTGCTTGTACGTATGTCTGTGTGAAAGAGACAGAGGCACACACACAGACTGTCTCTACCTGCATAACTAAAAGAATTTCTTTGTGCATGTTTCTTTTTTCTCCTTTTCACTTATCTATAATACAAGCAAAAATGCTTTTTTTTTTTTTTTTTTGCGACAGAGTCTTGCATGTTGCCCAGGCTGGAGTGCAGTGATGCAGTCTCAGCTCACTGCAACCTCTGCCTCCTAGGTTCAAGTGATTCTCCTGCCTCAGCCTCCCGAATAGCTGGGATTACAGGCGCCCGCTGCCACACCCGGCTATTTTTTGTATTTTTTAGTAGAGACGGGGTTTCACTATGTTGGCAAGGCTGGTCTTGAACTCCTGACCTGGTGATCCGCCCGCCTCAGCCTCCCAAAGTGGTGGGATTACAGGTGTGAGCCACCACACCTGGCCAGAAATGCTATTTTTTTAAAGCCTTCTCCCACCTGTTCTACAGATGAATTCTGAATGTTTTCTAATATATCCTTGTTTCTCATCATCCTAGGAATAGCTACCAATTATGAGCACCCACTGTGGTTGGCTGTGCACTGGGTGGCTTATGAACTTTACCCCTCATCCCTACAACTGCAGCGTGGGCTATTTCATAGATTAGGACATGATGTGTAAGTAGCTGGCTCAAAGCCCTCCATCTAGTAAGTTTGCCAGTATATCATCAGTTCATAGTAAACTAAAAAAATGTCTACTTTATCCAAACTTTTTCATTTATAAACGAATTTGTGTCACCTGGTATGTCTTAGATGTGATTTGAGACTTTTTGTTGTTGTTGACATAGCTTTAATAAAATTAACATAAACTGTGACTTTGTATAGGCTAGGAGGAAGGAGAGACTGAGGAGTACTATGTTTGGAAGGAAAGCTGAAGGTAGGGCAGCCGGATGGTTAGCTTTGCAGATATGAGGCCAGTGAGAAGAAAACAGCTAGTTCGATATTTTGCTTAGGATTAAGCCCTGATGGTTGGATACTAGCCATCTGGGGGGTGGTGGGTGGGGAATCCTTTTGGGAGAACGGACGGAGTGTGGGAATGAGGCCCTGGCCAGGCAGATGTGTGCCAGTCTGACACTGTTCATTTCTTCTGTTGTTTATGCCAGTTCAGGCAACACGGAAGCTGTGTCTGTTTCTCCTGTCATTGTAAACGTAGCCCTGGTCTTTCAAAAAGCTGTGGTTGTGTGGGTCTTTAAGGTATTCCTTCAGTAATTGTGGTGGCCACTATTTCATTTAAGGAGTTAGCATCTTATAAAGAAAAATCTGTTTTCTCAAGGCTCTATAGTAATGATATTTTGTTTAAGTTTGTCCAATATGGTATTTAGTTCTTCCTATTAAGGAGGAGTCTCTAAACTTCAGTCTGTGGGCCAAATCTACCTCCTGTTTCTGTTTAATTATTTTATTGGGGGGGTGATATTTATCCCCTCAAGCATTTATTCTTTATGTTACAAACAATCCAATTATATTATTTTAGTTATTTTTAAATGTCCAATCTAATTATTATTGACTGTAGTCACCCTGTTGTGCTATCAAATACTAGGTCTTATTCATTCTTTCTAACTAATGTTTTTGTACCCATTAACCATTCCCTTCCCATTCCCCATCTCACCACTACCCTTCACAGCCTCTGGTAATCATCTTTCTACTCTCTGTGTCCATGAGTTAAATTGTTTTGATTTTTAGATCCCAAAAATAAGTGAGAACAAATGATGTTTGTCTTTCTGTGCCTGGCTTATTTCACTTGACATAATGATCTCCAGTCCCATCCATGTTGTTGCAAATGGCTGGATCTCATTCTTTTTTATGGCTGAATAATACTCCATTGTATATAAGTACCACATTTTTTCTTTATCCACTCATCTGTTGATGGACATTTAGGTTCCTTCCAAATCTTGGCTATTGTGATCAGTGCTGCAGATATCTCTTTGATATACTGATTTCCTTTCTTTAGTTTATATCCCCAGCAGTGGGAGTGCTGGATCCTATGGTAGCTCTATTTTTAGTTTTTTGAAGAGCCTCCATACTGTTCTTCACAGTGATTGTACTCATTTACATTTCCACCAACAGGGTACAAGGGTTCCCTTTTCTCTACATCCTCACCAGTATTTGTTATTGCCTGTCTTTTGGTTATAAGCCATTTTAACTGGGGCGAGATGAGATCTCATTGTACTTTTGATTTGCATTTCTCTGATGATCAGTGGTATTGAGTACCTTTTCATAGGCCTGTTTGCCATTTGTACGTTTTCTTTTGAGAAATATCTTTTCATATATTTTGCCCATTTTCTGATCAGATTATTATATTTGATTTTTTTACTATAGAGTTGTTTAAGCCCCTTATATATTCTGGTTATTAACCCCTTGTCAGATGGTTAGTTTGCAGATATCTTCTCCCATTCTGTGGTTGTCTTTTCTCTTTGTTGACTGTTTTCCTTTGCTGTACAGAAGCTGTATTTGTTGTTTTTGTTGTTGTTGTTGTTGTCGTTTGAGATGGAGTCTCACTCACTCTGTCGCCAAGGCTGGAGTGCTGTGACGCAATCTCTGCTCACTGCAACCTCCGCCTTTTGGGCTCAAGCGATTCTCCTGCCCCAGCCTACCGAGTAGCTGGGGCTACAGGCACCCGCCACCACGCCCGGCTGATTTTTTGTATTTTTAGTAGAGATGGGGTTTCACCATTTTGGCCAGGCTGGTCTTGAACTCCTTACCTCAGGTGATCTGCCCACCTCGGCCTCCCAAAGTGTTGGGATTACAGGCATGAGCCACCACGCCTGGCCTTGCAGAAGCTTTTTAACTTAATGTGATCCCATTTGTGCATTTTTGCTTTGGTTGCCTGTGCTTGTGGGGTATTATTCAATAAATTTTTGCCCAGACCAATATCTTTGAGAGTTTGCCAGACATTTCCTTATACTAGTTTCATAGTTTAAGATCTTAGATTTAAGTCTTTAATTCATTTTGATTTGATTTTTGTTTATGGTGAGAGGTAGGGGTCTAGTTTCATTCTTCTGCATTATGGATATTCAGTTTTCCCAGCACCATTTGTTGAAGAGACTGTCTTTTCCTCAGTGTACGTTCTTGGCACCTTTATGGAAAATGACTTCACTGTAGGTGTGTGGATTTTGTTTCTGGGTTCTCTATTCCGTTCCATTGGTCTATATGTGTGTTTTTATGCCAATACCATGCTGTTTTGGTTACTATAGCTCTCCAGTATAATTGGAAATCCAGTAATGTGATTCCCCCAGTTTTGTTCTTTTTGCTTAAGATAGCTTTGGCTATTCAGCTGTTTTGTGAATCCACATAAATTTTAGAATTGTTCGTTCTTCTCTTCTCTTCTCTTCTCTTCTCTTCTCTTCTCTTCTCTTTTTTCTTCACTTTTCTTTCACAGAGTCTTACTCTGTCACCCAGGCTGGAGTGCACTGATGCAGTCTCTGCTCACTGCAACTTCTGCCTCCTGGGTTCAAGCGATTCTCCTGCCTCAAGCCTCCTGAGTAGCTGGGATTACAGGCACCCGCCACCATGCTGTTCTGTGCGGGAGATGCCTGAGGGGGGAAGAAAAACACACACACAATACCTTTAAGGGTAAACAAGCTTTATCCCACGTAAATGGCAATGCAGATATAATAAACAAATGATATAATAAACAAATTGCAATGAAAAGGGGAGAAGGGAAAAGATATATATATATATTTTCTTACACTCACCAAACTATGGAGGATTCATCACCAGACCGGGAAGCAACAGCCTGGGCTCCAGAGTCAGACACTTGTCCGTGCACAGCGAGGGAAGGTCTCATGAAGTTTCGGTGCAGTCTGGGACTCTAGCTGTTTTCGTAACAAGTTGTTTGGCATGAGACCCAGTCACGAGTGCCCTTCGTGACTGGGCTTAAGGAACACAAAAAGGTCACAACTTGTTTTTGCGATTGTCTATTGTTTTTTAATAACTAACGTGTAAGAATAGATTGAAATAGAGATTTCTCTGAAACAGCGATGGATGAATGCCTCAAGGGGCTCACTCAACCTGTTTCAGGACTTAGTGACCATTGTTTGTGTCCATGTTCAATTGAGTTCAAATTTAATATTTAACTTTTCCTCCACACACATGCCTGGCTAATTTTTGTATTTTTGGTAGAGACAGGGTTTCGCCATGTTGGCCAGGCTGGTCTCGAACTCCTGAACTCAGGTGATCCACCCACCTTGGCCTCCCAGAGTGCTGGGATTATAGGTGTGAGCCACTGCACCCAGCCTAGAATTGTTTATTCTATTTCTGTGAAGAATGTCATTGGTATTTTGATAAGGATTTTATTGAATCTATAAATTGCTTTGAGTAGTATGGACATATTAACAATATTGATTCTTTCAACCCATGGAATGTCTTTCCATTTTTTGGTGTTCTATTCAATTTTCTTTATCAGTGTTTTATAGTTTTCATTGTAGAGATGTTTCACTTCTTCGGTTAAATTAATTCCTGGGTATTTTATTTTATTTGTGTCTATTGTAAATGGGAGTACTTTTTAAATTTCTTTTTCAGGTCATTCACTATTGGCATATAGAAATGGTACTGACTTTTGTATGTTGATTTTGTGTACTCCAACTTTACTGAATTTATCAACTCTAATAGTTTTTTGGTGAAGTCCTTAGGTTTTTCCAAATATAAAATCATATCATCTGCAAACAAGGATAATTTGAAGACTTCTTTCCAATTTGGATGCCCTTTATTTCTCTTCTCTGATTGCCCTAGCTAGCACTTCCAGTACTGTGTTGATAACAGTGGTGAAAGTGGGCATCCTTGTCGTGTTCCAGATTTTAGAGCAAAGGCTTTCAGTTTTTCCCCGCAGTATGATACTAGCTGTAGGTCTGTCATACATGGCTTTTATTATGTTGAGGTATGCTTTTATACCCAGTTTTTTGAGGGTTTTTTAAAATCATGAAGTGATGTCAAATTTTATCAAATGCTTTTTTAGCATCAGTTGAAATGATCATAAGGTTTTTATCCTTCATTCTGTTGATATGATGTATCACATTGATTGATTTATCACACTGATTGATTTGCATGTGTTGAACCATCCTTGCATCCTAGGGATAAATCCCACTTGATTATAATGAATGATTGTGTTGTTGAATTCTGTTTTGTAGTATTTTGTTGAAGAATTTTGCATCAAAATTCATCAGAGATATTGACCTGTAGTTTTCTTTTATTATTATTTTTGTTATTGAGACAGGGTCTTGCTGTGTCACCCAGGCTGGAGTGAGTAGTGCAATCATGGTTCACTGAAACCTCAACCTACTGAGTTCAAGCAATCCTCCCATCTCATCCTCCTGAGCAGCTGGGAGTATAGGCATGTGCCACCATGCCTGGCTAATTTTTTGTATTTTTTTGCAGGGACTTATTTGTATTTTTAGGGTTTCGTCATGGTACCCAGCCAGGCTGGTCTGGAACACCTGGGTTCAAATGATCTGCCTGCCTTGGCCTCCCAAAATGCTGAGATTTACAGGCACGAGCCACTCGCCTGACCAGGTTTTCTTTTTTTCGATGTGTCTTTTTCTGGTTTTGTTATCAGGGTAACACTGGCCTTGTAGAATGAGTTTGGAAGTATTCCCCTCTCCTCTATTTTTCAGAATAGTTTCAGTAGGATTAGTAGTAGTTCTTCTTTAAATGTCTGGTATAATTCAGCAGTGAAGCCGTCAGGTCCTGGCCTTTTCTTTACTGGGAGACTTTTTATTATGGCTTTGATCTCGTTACTTGTTATTGGTCTGTTCAGGTTTTGGATTTCTTCATGATTCAATCTTGGTAGGTTGTATGTATCTAGGAATTTTTCCATTCCTTCTAGATTTTCCGATTTATTGGCATATAGTTGCTCATAGTAGCCACTAATGATCCTTTGAATTTCTGCAGTATCAGTTGTAATGTCTCCTTTTCATCGCCTTTTTTTTTTTTTTTTTTTTTCCACTTGAGACAGAGTCTTGCTCTGTCACCTAGGCTGGAGTTATCTTGGCTCACTACAACCTCCACCTCCTGGGTTCAAGTGATTCTCCTGCCTCAGCCTCCTGGCTAGCTGGGATTACATTTGACAGAGTTTTAGCTCTTGGTCAGGCTGGTCTTGAGCTCCTGACCTCAAATGATCTGCCTGCTTTGGCCTCCCAAAGTACTGTGAGCCACCATGCCTGGCCTCCTTTTAATCTCTGATTTTATTTATTTAGGTCCTCTATTTTTCTCAGTCTGACTAAAGGTTTATCAATTTTGTTTAACTTTTTAAAAAAACTTTTTATTGAACTTTATTATTTCTTTTCTTCTATTATTAATTTTGGATTTGGTTTGCTCTTGCCTTTCTAGTTCCTTAAGATGCATTGTTAGGTTATTTATTTGAAGGGTTTTTTGTTGTTGATGTAGACATTTAGAGCTATAAACCTCCCTATTAGTACTGCTTTCCCTATATCTCATAGGTTTTAGTATGTTATGTTTCCATTATCATGTGTTTCAAGAAATTTTTCATTTTCCTTAATTTCTTCACTGGCCCACTAGTCATTCAGGAGCATATTGTTTCCTTTCCATGTATTTATATAGTTTCCAAAATTCCTCTTGTTATTTATTTCTAGTTTTATTCTGGCCTCCTATTTTTTTTACAGCGTGTGAGCTAAGAATATTTTGACCTTTTTTAATGGTTGAGAAAAAAATAAAAGGATGATATGAAAATTATATGAAATTCAAATTTCAGTGTTCATAACTAAAGTTTTCTTGGGACACAGCCACATTTACTTCTTTACTATTGTTTGTGGCTGCTTTTGAACCACGAGGGCAGGGTTGACTAGTCACCACAAAGACTTTATAGCCTGCAAGGCCTAAAATATTTACTATCTGGCCTTTTACAGAAGTTTGATGATTCGTGCCATAGAGGAGTTGTAGCAATTTTTGAAAACTTAACATTTTCAAATTTTAGACGGTTACTGCATTCAGATCTTTTATCCTTAGCCTCTCAAATTAAATTTTGTTCTAATAGAAATGACTGGATATTAACATATTTTAATTACCTTAAAACAAGTCTTGCTCCTCATCCCCCTTCCTCAAGATGGGTTTCTTGTAACTAGCATTAGTTAGCTTCCGTTCTTTCTGTCCTGGAAGAGCACTAGAGAGTTGTCTAAGACCACCCCCACTGCCCCTGCTCCTCTGAGTTGGATGAAGGATGAAACAGGGGACCAGCAGGAGTAGAGTCTGTTGGACAGACAGTAAGGCAGCATCTCAACTGTACAGAGCACTTGGTAGTCTGAAATTTGATCTCCGCCAGGTAAGAGCAATTTACCTGCAGGAAGGATTGATGGGTCAGGGATTAATGCCACATAGTTCCTTTTTCACTGGAATCCAGTTGTCTGATGATTCCCCACCTTGTGAGTCTGAACAGGATACTGAAGCTTGCTCCCTCTTGAGAATCTGGAAGGGCCAGATGACTGCCTTCCTAGCCTCACCTGCAGCTGCAGCTGAGGCACAGGAATGTGTCTTGGGCTCTGGCCATTAGGTACACCTGTATTGGACTGTGACCTGAGAGCTAGAGATGCAAAGAAATAGGGATTGCCTGGAATCATTTCTGGAGAGCACGGTTGTAACAGCACTCATGACACCCATTGTTTAGGGGCAGCAATAGAACCTGGTGTGAGCAGCACAGCCCAGTACCCAGCATTGGTCCATGTGGTACACTGTGTCCAAAGGTGTAGGGCTGGGGACAGACTTCCCCTGCTGGGCAAGGTGTTGTTATAAGCTCGGTTCTTTGTTAATCCTGCAGAGTCTGTGAGCATTCAAATATCATTTATTAAATATCTCTTCTACTTAAAATTAACCCAAGGTGGTTTCTGTTGCTTGCATCTTAGAAACCTACATGTGTCAAGCTAAAGAGCTCACTCAAAATACCTAATTTTTTATAAAATTTTTTAAAATTTTCCATATTTTGAAACTTACTGAAATTTATTCCTTTCAGCATCTTATGCTGTCCCCATTTTCCTCTTTATTCATTCCAAAAATGTCTGCCCAGTACCTACTACATGCCCAGCACATGGCTTCACATAAGCAGAAACACAAGCAGAAGAATGTGTCAGTGTTTGGACTTAGTGATGCCCCACTTAGAGAATGCCATCCAGTGTAGTCTTCATCCTTATAACCAAGTTCATTTTATCTGTGTATTGTGGGCCATATTAGACTACAGTGAGGGACCCAAGAGCAACTTGGAAAGAAAAGAAGTCAGATTATCCTCTGAGAGTGAAACTTCAAACTTGACACAGGAGTAGAGCTCTGTAGTCTCCTAAAGGGGATGGAGTGGCTCTGGATGTGTATGTAAAGAAAGGACATGACCATCTGAAAGGCCCGGTGAGCATGGAAGCAGCAGTTGTATGGGCAGTCACAGAGGTGAAGCTGGCAACCAGGCCTGGGGGCCAGGCAGCGTGGCCCTCGGGCCCAAGTACCAGGTTCCTGCTGCCAGCTCTGCCCCCAGTTTGGGGGAGGTGAATCTGGCTGTTGTAGTCACTGAGTATTCAGACTGTATAACTATTTTTATGAATTCAGGCACACCAGACAACCTTCTAATTATAACTTAGGTTTTCATTTGACCTGTGTCTAGGAGAGAACACATTACTTATGAAAGCTAGATATTTTAGTTTGCAAGTTGGAGTTGTGGTTTTACACGTCAGTTCTAAAAGTTGGTGAATGAGGATGCTTGAGTGGCAGGTCTACCTTAGGGTGCTGACAACATTCATTGCTCAGCTTCAGAAGCTGAAGGTCAGACTTTACATTTTTAAAAATTCACCAAGGTGGGATTCTTCACCAAGGTGAAGCCAGCTGGATTCACCAGCAAACTCTGTCACTGAACCGAGGACTTTTTTTGGAAGGGGGGCGGATTTCAGTATATGTGCATGTGTGTATACGTTAGTAAGAAAAAATCACAATTTGTAAGGTACTTTTACAATTTTATTAGCACTATCATGTTTGTATGAAGCTTCTGAACTGAATTCAACCATTCAAGAAGCATTTCTTAGGTACCTACTGTTGCCAGGCTTGAAGAGCTCACATTTCAGTGAGGAAGAGCAACCAACGTATAAACAACACACAATACAGCAAGTGCAACAAAATAGATTTGTCTAAAGTTCAGTAGGATCCCAGAGGAGAAAACAGCTTCCACTGCCTCCCTGGGGGAGCTCTGGAAGGCTCCACCAAATGGGAATATTGTGGGAGTCCTATGTGAGGAGAGAGGCTGGAGGTTCATCCACATAGAGAAATGGTAGATCCTGGAAACACAAGAGTGTGCTGAGTCTAGGGAAGTGGTTGGGAAATTAAAATATAGCACAATTAGTTGTTAGAAGGGGAAAAGTGATTGGAATGAGGCCACACAGGTGAGTATGCAGTAAAGGGTATGTCTCATGTACCATGCTGCTGTGGTCTGAATGTGTCTCCCCAAAATTCATATGTTGAACTTCTAACCCCAAAGTAAGAGTATTAGGAGGTGGAGCCTTTGGAGAGATGATTAGGTCACGAGAACAGAGCTTTCATGAATGAGATTACTGCCCTTATAAAATAGGCCCAAGGGAGCCTGCTTGCCCCTTCCTGCATGTGAGGACACAGTGAGAGGGTGCCATCTATGAGCATGGAGAGCTTAGCTTGGACAGCCAGCTGATGAGGGACACATCGAATCAAGATACATGACATGGTGAGTGCTGCTGCACAATATTGAGCTGTTCCCCCTCCAAATGAAACACAAATAGAACATAATTGAGCACACCAGTTGTCTGGTATCTTCATCACATAAATAGTACATGTGTGCACATATAGAAGTGATTTTTACACAAGGGTGTATTTTTGTGCATCTAGTAGGATTCACTATGGTTTCATTTTTAGGTATTTCTCTCTAACCTGGATATAACCAGAAAAGAGGTATTGATCTCTCTAATAAATTTGCCTATTAAAAGTACTAAGTTTTACAAGTGAAATTATTAATACCATGGGCGGAGTTCCATTTTACTGTATTCTTTTTGCTTATTTACTTCTGGGTCTTAAAGTCAATTCACAGGTCCTCATTTACCTGTTAATTGTGCCTGAAACCCAGTCTTTCCCATCTGTTTTTACTAGTCTTATAGTTTATATCCCTTAACTTTTCTCGTCTTCCTTTGAGTGGGCTCCTAGCATAATGTTTTATGTCTTCTGTTTTATTAAGCATTATTTGGAAATGGATATGATTTTAATATTGGTTATGTATCAAGTAGGGGCTCCTTGGGCTTTCACTGTGGGTAACATTCATGTGATATTGGTCTCAGAGTTAATGCCCCTTTTGTCCTCTGAAAATTGTGTGCCTGTAACATCTTCAGGAGCCACATGGTGGCAGGCGCAGTGCTTTGAAACTTTGTGGACTTACATACTCAGAGTGTTTGCTTTGCATCTTCATCTTTCCTTCTTTTAAAAATAATGAAGATATTGAAATTAATAAAAGGAACCTCCAAATATCTACCACCCACCTCAAGAAATAACACCTTACAGAGTTGAGGTCTCTTGGTTCAGTTTCCTCTTCCAATCACATTCCCTCCTCCTGTTTTCCTCCACGAAGAAGCCCTTTCCTTAATGGAGTTTGGCTCACTTTTGTGCATATCTTTATACTTTCATTACACATTTATGTATTCTTAACAGTGCATGGGATTCCGTCTTTCCTTTAGGTTTTCCTTGGTGTATACTGTTTGTGTCACTGTGCAAGTTGCCTTTTTCACTCACTTTTTTTTTTTTTTTTGAGACGGTGTCTCGCTCTGTCACTCAGGCTGGAGTGCAATGGCGTGATCTCGGCTCACTGAAACCTCCGCCTCCCGGGTTCAAGCTATTCTCCTGCCTCAGCCTCCCGAGTAGCTGGGACTATAGGCGCCCGCCACCACACCCAGCTAATTTTTATATTTTTAATAGAGACGAGGTTTCACCATGTTGGCCATGATGGTCTCTATCTCTTGACCTCATGATCTGCCCTCCTCGGCCTCCCAAAGTGCTGGAATTACAGGCGTGAGCCACCGCGCCCGGCCCACTCACATTTTTAAAACATTTATTTGTGTAGATGTGTGCTTCAGTGAATTTTCTTTTACAGCTATACAGCATTTCATTGAAGACATCACTATTTTAGAAATCTGTTTTCTTGATCTTGAGAGAAGCAGGGTAGTAGAGTGATCATAGATGGGGCCCCTGATGCCCATTCCAGTCCCCATTCTGTCACTCACCAGTTGGGAGCCCAGTTTCTACTTCCGAGAAATAGGGATACCGCTCATTTCACAGGGTGTTAGGGGGATCAAATGAAATAGTATGTGAAGCATTAACACCATGATTATTACCGTCATTACTGCCACTAGAACGAGATGACAGTAATGCAGACTCAGGGCAGGACTAATTTTGTGCTATATTTTAACTTGCAGTTGGACGGAGGGCACTCTGAAAGAAGTAGGGACAATAGCTTGGAGACAGCTGAGGTGGCGTCTTTCTGAAGACTTCTGTTTTCTCTAACATAGGTGGGGTTATCTCCCAAGAGTAATAGAAAAAGAGGGTGGGATCGGTGATTCGAGAGTACTGAGGGTTTGAAGTGTTCTCATTTGGGGCATGATCTGGCTAAATACATGCAAAATAATTTCCTGTGTTGGTGTGTGTGCTAATCTTGTTTGATTTTTTTCTTAGCAACCTGTTTACCTGGCAAAGCATAAAGGCTTCTCCTCTGGAGTCTTCTCTTCCCTCCCCCATGGCAGGTGTTGCTGCCTGGAGCTGCTTCCACAACTGGTTGTCTCCAGGATTGCACCCCTCCCCACCCGGAATTCTAACCTTGTGTGGCTTATCACCTGTCACATAAACCCATCAGCCTGGCTCTCACTCTTCAAAAGCTGACTCTAAACTGCCCGGCTCCCCGCAGTCATTGCTCCTACTGTTTCCAGAGTGAGGCGCCCACTGTTCCCTGGCTCACTTCTCCACCTTCCCATGCCTTTGCATTCTCCTCTCCATCTAGAATATTCTCTCCTCCCTTTTCCTGGTGCCATTCTTTCACAATGTAACATATCCCTTAATGTATTTCATATGATCTTGGGCAATCTATTTAACATCCTCAGATATGATACTTCAGATCTCTCATTAGAGGAAGCACCCAGAAAACCCAGGAGTCCTGACCTGATGCCTTCTGCTGTGCTGTCGGTGCATCACACTGCACACATATACAGCAGTGTATGACCTTCTGGCTTTAAGGAAGTTATGCTTGTTTTCATCCCCACGGTTGAAGTTTTTTTTTAACTTAAAAATATTTTATTGGCCGGGCGCGGTGGCTCATGCCTGTAATCCCAGCACTTTGGGAGGCCGAGGTGGGCGGATCACGAGGTCAGGAGGTCAAGACTATCCTGGCTAACATGGTGAAACCCTGTCTCTACTAAAAATACAAAAAAATTTGCCAGGTGTGGTGGCAGGCGCCTGTAGTCCCAGCTACTTGGGAGGCTGAGGCAGGAGAATGGCGTGAACCTGGGAGGTGGAGCTTGCAGTGAGCCCAGATCGTGCCACTGCACTCCAGACTGGGCGACAAAGTGAGACTCTGTTACAAAAAATGTGTGTGTGTGTGTGTGTGTGTGTGTGTGTGTGTGTGTGTGTGTGTATTATTATAAAACTATTCTTTTTTATTTTCTAAAAATAGAGATGGGGTCTCACTATGTTGGTCAGGGTGGTCTCAACTCCTGGCCTCAAGCAGTTCTTCTGCCTTGGCCTCCCAAAGTGCTGGAATTACAGGTGTGAGCCACTGCACCTAGCCTGAAAATTTTCATTCTAATATAAAAATAGAAGAAACAATCCTTATACTCATCACCCACACTTCTTGCCATATTTGCTTCACATATTCTTTTTTCTTTTCTTTTCTTTCTTAATTATTTAAAAGCAAATCCCAGACATCAGGTCATTTCATCCCAAAATACCTCAGGGCTGGTCCCTGAGGAGATGGACATTTTCTTTTATAAGCTGGTCTCTGAGAAGATGGACATGCTATTACCATATCTAACAAACGAGTGATAATTCTTTATCACCATCCAGTACCCCACCCATAATCAAATGTCCTCACTTGTCCCAAGAGTAGCATTCTACATTTGTTTTCTTTAAACCAAGATCTAAACAAAGGCCATAGTTTAATAATACATTTGATTGATATGTCTGTTAAGTCTCTCTTAATCTGCAGGAAAACCCCTTCTCTGTTTTTCCTCCAGTCATTGACAGAGATACCAGCTCTGTTGTCATGTAGAATTAAAGTTTTGAATTTTTAAAATAAACCTTATTTTGGAATAATTTTAGATTTATAGAAAAGTTGCAGAGGTCAGGAGCTCAGATAATCCTCACATAGTCCTCACCTAGCTTCCCCTCTTGTCAGCACCTTCCATTATCTTCATCATGTCTTTTTTCTATGCCATCAATCAGTCGAGGATACCACATTGTGTTTAGCCGTGGTTGAATTTTTAAATGATTTCTGATTATAAGTTCTCATCTACTGCTGAGAAAAATAACCATTTTCTGACTAGCAGGCAGTACACCGTTATGGTTTAAAACCAGGCTGAGGCCAGGTTTCAGTTTTTCACTCAATTACGTAATAACTGTATAGTAAGTTACACTTTCTATGTCTTGTCTCATCACCTTTGAAATGGGAATAATAATAGTACTGTTTCATTAGATTATTGTAAAAACTAAATTTGGTAAGTGTATGCAAAGTGCTTATCACAGTTCTGGGCGCATAAGAAGCACTCAATACATCTAGCTCTTGACCAAGGTGCTATTTCCTAAATTATATTGAGCCCCGGGGAAGGAATAATCAGAGCCTTTATTTCTTCCCCAAGGCTCTGATTTAAAAAATAACCTATCAATGTTTTTTTTCACTTTCCTTAGAAATAGTGCACTTGCTTTGGTTCTATATAGTGGTCTCATTACATTTTGAGGTATTTCACTTCTATTTTGGGAATTTTTGTTCAGTAGAACATAGTTCCCTAGAGTGTTTTGATCAATCAAAAATATTGGCTCTAGGCTGGGTGCAGTAGCTCACGCCTGTAATCCCAGCTCTGTGGGAGGCCGGGGCGTGGGGATCGCTTGAGCTCAGGAGTTCGAGACCAGCCTGGGCAATGTGGCAAAACCCTGTCTCTACAAAAATACAGAAATTAGCTGGGCGTGGTGGCATGAGCCTGTAGTCTCAGCTACTAGGAGGCTGAGGTGGGAGGATTGCTTGAGCCAGGGAGGCAGAAGTTGCTGTGAACCATGATCTAAAATATATATATATATATATACACACATATATATACACATATATATAAAATATATACACACATATATAAAATATACACACATATAAAATATATATATACATATATAAAATATATATACATATATTATATATACACATATATAAAATATATATACATATATTATATATACACACATATATATATACACACACATATACACACACACACACACACACACACATATATATATATATATACATATATATATGCCCTAAGAGTGAGTTTTTTCTCTTGGCAGGGGTTCTTGAGATCAGGATTGGAGGATTAAAACTTCAGGCCTTTCTTTTATTAGTCTCACAGAGTGACTGGTTTGATTTGTGTTTTAGAATTAGAATCACCTTCTTCACCAGACTTCCTTTGCATGAAGCAGTAGGAGCAAGTGGCTGCTTGACCAGCTTGAGCTCTAAAGTGTGTTTGTGGTATGAAGTGTTCTCAGAGGAACCGAAATCGGTGTGGTCACACATCATCAGTGCCTCTTCATACACCCACGCTCTCCTGAAGTTTGCTGTTTGTATTGCTTCCAGTGCGTGTTGCTGTTCAACAGTACCCTTGGTTTCAGCGTAGTTGCTATGATGAAGAAAACCTGTTAGAATCTGCCTTTTTTTTTTTTCCAGAACTGTTGGAAACATTGAATAATTCCATGTACTCTAAAAGGAAATAAAGTCTTTTGGGTAATTTGGACCCAAAGACTCCTAAGGAATCTAGGAATTCAGTTACATAGAAGGTCACTTCTTTCACTAGCTTTTGCCTCCAAACCTGCAGGAGAAAACCAGCTGAAGAGGAATACTCATATGAGTGGGGACTGCACCTGAGCACCTCACGAGGCTCCTTTCAGAACCCTCAAACCGACCATTCACAATATTCACGTGGACTAGGTCTGGGTCATTTGGAGAGAGAGAAGGTGTGGGCTGGCTGAGGTGTCTGGGTGGTTTCTAGTCAGTGTTTACACTCCGGGGCTTGCGCTGCGGCTCCTGCGCCTGTCATGCACCCAGTTTCCCAGAAGCTTCCGGGGTTAGGTTGTCAGTGTTGAGAGGCAGTGCTAGTTCAGACTTGACCTTGTGATGGTCTGTGGGGGAGAATGTTTTAGGCCCTGGGACAGTGCAGTTTAATGACTGAAACAGGAATCTTTGAGTCAAATCAACTTGGGTTGGATCCACACACTCTTATTGGTTGTATTGTTTGGTCAAGTCGTTTAACTGCTTTAAGACTCAGTTTCCCCATCTGTAAATGGGTATAATCACAATACATGCCTCATAGGGTTGAGATGGAGGTTAATAACACATAATGTGCTGGGTAGGTACTCCAACGTCAGTTGTTAGTAATAATTATATTACATAAATAGTTGAGAGACTGAGCTTTACAATACAAGCAAACATTTTTATGTCCTAGCTTTTTTCTTTTGTAAACTCGTAAAAGTCTTTATTATTAGAGTCAAAGTAGGTTTAAAACGCTTACGTTTCTGTGGACAAGATTAAGGCAACATGAAGTACATCTGGCTCATGCTGTAGTTCACCAGGTCTGTTTGTTGCTATGTCCACAAAAGAATGTGGGGAGAAACGTTAGCAGTGTGGGTGCTTCCTGCCTCCCTCCCTGGCCCTCTGTGTCCAGTCTGCCCTTCTGCCCTCCCTCCCTACACATCTCTGTGTCCACTCTCCTTGCTGTTCTCTCTGTCACCACCCTGGCTAGCTCAAGCTGCTGTCTGTTCCATGGACTGCCATGTGGCTCTGCACAGCTGTGCTGGTCCTTACCCTGGGGCCTTTGCTGCCTCAGAGAGAGGGGTCCTCAGCAAACAGGTGGGATCTTGTCAGTACCCTGCTTAAGACACGGGCGGCCCTTGGCTCTCAGGGTGAAGAACACCAGGTCCTTCGAAACATGCCACCACCCATGTCTCTTGTCTCATTTCACCTCCTAGCCCTCCCCTCAGCCACAGGGTCAGGCCCTCTTGCTTTTGAGCCTGGTTTCTTGGATCAGATCCAGTGTTTCTGTCTCAGGAAGCTTGCCCCTGCTGTCCTGCTCCCCTCCCTGCTGTCAGCATCCACTCTGCACCCTACTTTCTACTACTTGACATGTTTTAAATTGTGATTATATGGTTGATACCAGTGTCCCCTACTCGACTGCAGGCTCCACGAGGCCACTGAGTCTCTGCTGCTAAGAGCAGACCCCAGCCTAGGTTAGACGCTCACTAAAGGTGTGTGAGGTGCACAGCTGGGTTGGGGGCACACCAGGCACCCTTCTGTGTTGTTTCTTATACTTGGCTGATGACAGACTCTCCGCATGTGACTTTTGCTTTTTTCTCATCCGCTTTAAACCTGTGTTCCCGGTTTGGAAGGCCCATGCCTCTGGCAGTCTCATCCCCTTGACAGGTCCTCACCATGCTCGGGCGCCTCCTCCACGCGAACTGCCCTGAACTTGCTCTCTCACCACCCAGACCCTGCCTAGGCTTCCAGTCTCTGCCAACCAGAGATGTCCTGGTAGACACTCTTCCAGATGCTGGGGAGGGTGTGGACACATACAATGTATGTACATATGTGGTCTTTGCATGTGAAATAGAATCTCTTAGCTTGTATCCTATGGTCTTTTTTTCATTCAGTGGTAGATCATGAACACACATTTTTATGCCAAATACATGTTTACATTATCATTTTCAGTTGCCATCAGTCACTCTGGCATAGTAACACTACATAGGAAATAAAAGTTTTTGGAAAACTTTTGTCTTTAGGGCTAGATACCCTTAAATTTCTAAATTAGATTTGTGTCATTGAATTGAACTTTTATATCGGAGTTAGGAAAAAATAATAAATAAAGGGATAATACAGATATCAGAAACGTGGCCACACAGCTTGTTATGTGTGTTGTTGCCTTTAAGATTAGACTGCACACAAAACCTGGGGAGTATTTTGATAACCTGGTAAAAACAATTTTGAAGTGAAAGTTG
Source organism: Homo sapiens (assembly GCF_000001405.40). Taxonomy (NCBI): domain Eukaryota; kingdom Metazoa; phylum Chordata; class Mammalia; order Primates; family Hominidae; genus Homo; species Homo sapiens. The sequence goes on from NC_000002.12 coordinate 108,614,809, forward strand.
ATGTGTTGACAATATTGGCTATAGTCATGAACCTATACTGGGGTGGGGCAGGAATTGTGGTTTATTTTTTAAGACACACCCCTTGAATTCCAGGGCAGGGAGAAGAACCGTTTTTGTTCTTTCTGGTCTTCAGAATATCGGAACTGTTAGCTTGCAAGTAACTGTTACATTTCTCCTCTCACACAGAAGTATTTAACCTATTGGATTTTTTTGTAATGACGATTTAGTTTAGAAATATGCTGAGCAGATATAGATACGCTAGAATCTATAGCGTATAGTTGTATGTATAGTTGGTGGTCAGGCAGAACGGATAGAAACAATATCTAAAAAGTGATTTCAATACATATATATGTATCTAGTTTTAAGTCAAATTATGGGAAAATCTGGATTTGTGGAAAGCTCTCATTTGTGAAGAGTACCACTAGAATTCCTTTTAAAAATAAGTTCATTTAGGGAAAGAAAAATTATTCTATGTGCTAAAGTTTTAGCTTTATATGTAGTTTTCCAGAAGCAAGTTTACTACATTGAGTGAGATACCCTCTATTTTGCCCTCAGGGAGGAAAAGTGCAGTCCTGCTGCAAGCTTCTGTCTGTGTTCCTTCCCTGAAAGGTCAGCGCTCTGTTGAGGAGGACCCTCTGTTCTCTTTGGGTCGGGTGGGGGGTATGGTGGGGCTAGGGTGATCAGCATGCCTTTTTGTGGTCCTTATCTACTCTAGAGCTCTTATCCTCAAGCAGCTTTGTGACCAAAGAAAAGGTGTTCATGGAGAAGGATCTGGGGAGCCCAGAGGCTGTTCAGGGTTCTCCTCCACACCCCAAAGGCCTGGCACACTGATGCCTTTGGGAAATTGCTGAATGTGCAGAGCCTGCCCATGTGTACCTGCTTTATTCAGGAATGAGATTTCTGACTATATGAAGAAGGAGAAAAGTGTGCTTAGTCAGGGAGTCATGTTGCACAGGTCCTGTCTGAAAACCAAGTAATGTTAGCCTGCAGAGAAGACCATGGAGGTCACCTAATTCAGCCACTTCTGATTCAAGTGGAACAATGGAGGACTGTGATAGTTAAATGACTTCCTGTGTACTTATAAGGTAGTCACAGCAAGGGAGTTTCCAAACGTGGAACTGTCAGCTAAATGTCTACTGGTCACCTCTTGTATCCTTCCACTAACCTACCTTGTACTCTCCCTTGGCCCCTTGAAAACGTGGGATTGGATAGGTTACTTAGAATTTCATTCTAAATTATTTGGAAATATACCTGGAAAATTTGCATATTGTATCAGTGGCTTTTGAGAACATTTGATAATGGTCTAAATTGAAGACTGTTGATGGCCCCATGTTGCTGGTTGTGGAAGAGGCTGCTGTATGAGAATGACACAGGCAAGTTTGCATGGGCTTTTTTTTTTTTTTTTTTTTTTTTGGATATAGGGGTCTTACTCTGTCACCCAGGCTGGAGTGCAGTGGTGTGACCATAGCTCACTGCAGCCTCGACCTTCCAGGCTCAAGTGATCATGATCCCCCCATCTCAGTCTCCCTCGTAGTTGGGACTACAGGCACTCGCCACCACGCCCAGCTAATTTTGTATTACTTGCAAAGATAAGGTCTCACTGTGTTGCCCAGGCTGGTCTCAAACTCCTGGGCTCAAGCTGTCTGTTCACCTCGGCCTCCCACATTGCTGGGATCCCAGGCGTGAGCCACCACACTGGCCTCACATGAGCTTTAATGACAGCTCAGCCTGTCCAGTCAGATGTGTCAGAGGTCCAGGAAGCCTGATTAAGGAGAAAGTTCAGAGGGGCTTGTAGACAGTTGCAATATTATCTGCTTGTGAGTGGGACCATATTTTCATGATTTTTTTTTTCCACACAGTGAACAGTTTTTGTGGACAGATGCTTCTGCCTTCTCATACTCTCTGCTCCAGTTAGCTTGACCTTGAGCCTACTCGCAATGGTACATCGTTGAACCCTTTTCTGCAGCAGATATATAGCCCTGTTCTTCCTTCAAATTTATAGCCTAGAGCAGTCTTGAGAGGCCTCACTTAGGAAGACAGCTTGGCTGGCAAATAAATGTTTGCCAGATGAATGTGTGTTGGACATAGTATGGAGGGATATTCTTGCTTTATTAGATAAAATTTGATTTTCCCTGTAAATGATTATTTATGAGATAAAACATAAACTAAAAATGATTCATTTCCATCAAGTGCAAAGTTAGCTGCAAAACATAACATTCTTCCTTTATGTCACACAGGGAAATTAATGGCCTGGAAATGTACAGCTGCTCAACCAGTTTACGAGCCATTAGTACCTAGTGTACTGGCAGTGAGCCCCAGTTAGCCATGGAAACCAGCTTGCAGCTTTCTTAACTCTGTATAGGAGAAATAATTGATGATTCAGTAACATTAATGATCATATTTACAGCTTGATGTTTAATTAGGTTTCTTTACCCTCTTATATCTGAAGGGGTTAATTGCAACAGGATGCTAAAAGCTGGACTATGACAAGTTTAGGCAAAAATCCAGGCTAATTTTTTATTCTTATCACAAATGGAAAATGTTTATACTTGTGGAAGGTACTGTTCAACTCCACAAATATGAAAGCTTCAGAGTTTTAGTCTCACCAAGAAAGTAAATTTTTCCAATACTGTAGAAGAAGTGTGTCTTTTAAAATCTCATTTAGGTAACATTGAGTGTTACATGCAGAAATGAAAAAGCTTCAAAACTCTGGAGATTTCTTCTCAAACATGACATTGTAAAATGATTAGGCTCTCAAAATTAATTGGTTGAACAACTAAAACATAAAGCTTGTTTAACAAACGTGACTGTCTTCCATGTCCCTGGCCCTATAGATGCAGCGGTAAGTGGGATATGGGGTTTAGAAAGGTTTCTCGGAAGAGATGATCCTTGTAGTGAGTCTTAGTGGGATGATCAGGAGCTAGTCCTGCCAGTGATCCTTCTTCCAGTCTTACCAAGCCATATGTGCAAAGGCTAGAAAGTGAGAGGAAGCACAGTCTGTCTGGGAAACTCCTGGAGTCCAGTCCTCTCAGCTGGGATGGGGGTGTGAGATCTGCTGGAGTCAAAGTACAGATTCAAGGAGAACCCAGCAGTTTGGAAAAAAGGACAGAAAGTTGTAATTAGGGCCAGACCAATTGTTAAGGCAAATGTCTTATTCCCAGTTTTTGTGAACTGTTGTTCCTCAAGAACCACTGGGCATGTGGGGGAAAGCCCCAGGAGTTTTATGAGGTAGTAATTTCCCCATCACTGCAAGTGTCCATGAAGAGACAAACTCCCAGGTCATAGATATTGTATAGGGATGAGGCCATGGGGAAAATGACGGTGGGGAATTCTGCATTGAATGAGAGTCTGGACTGACCTTCAAAGATTTTTTTAGAGTGCTAAAATGAAAAATATCTCTATTTGGAAACCCGCAGAAAATGCATTTATACAGGCCTCCCTCTGTACTGTCAAAATCATGCTAAGACAGTTATTTGAAATTTGAAACCCTTTTAAATAGGGCCTGATCTGAGAATTCAGGCATAATTAATAATTCCATCTCCATGGGAAAGTACATTTGAAAGGAAAAATAGATGGGGACTCCTCCCTGTCTTTGTCATGGCCCTGCTGTGTGTCCTGGGTGTTTGCCCATCTGACCCCCTTCCCTGTGCTGATGTGCTGCTGTCTGAAGGGTGCTGGGGAGGGAAAGCAGTCCTCTCTCTCTCTCTCTCTATCTTCAGTGAAAAGATCCTGGTTAGGCGGGGCACGGTGGCTCACGCCTGTAATCCCAGCCCGTTGGGAGGCTGAGGCGGGCAGATCACAAGGTCAGGAGATCAAGACCATCTTGGCCAACATGGTGAAACCCCATCTCTACTAAAATACAAAAAATTAGCCAGGCGTGGTTGCGCGTGCCTATAATCCCAGCTACTTGGGAGGCTGAGGCAGGGGAATCGCTTGAACTCGGGAGGTGGAGGTTGCAGTGAGCTGAGATCGTGCCACTGCACTCCAGCCTGGCGACAGAGCAAGACTCCGTCTCAAAAAAAAAAAAAAAAAAAAAGATCCTGGTTAAAAAGGCCTTCCCCAAAGGCCCAGAATTTAATTTTACTCAGCTGTGGCAGTTTCATCAGAACATAAGCATTGATTTGCTGAAGTTCCTGTTTGTCAGTACAGCCTTTTTAAAAGTCAGAGGGCAAGAATTGTTTCAGCTCGTTTGTTTTATGGCTTGGTAACTGTCCCTGTTACTGCTCTCCCCCGCCCCGTCTAACCCCCTGCACATCCTTTTAACACTAGTCTCATCAAATGCAGGATTCATCCTACACAGTTAGGTGTTTCCTGTCTGGTTAACCTTTAGTAGTCACCAAGTTGTTTTCCCTTGTCAGCAAGCTGCATTAATTTTTAAAAACTCTTTTAAAAATAAGCAATTATTTACATTTCCTATGGAGACAGGTCATATTTAATGTTGGGATTTCTGTATTTACAATGAATATACAATTGATTTGTGTTTTATTCATTAGGCGTCTATTCTGTGTTGATGGTGGGGGAAAACAAGGAAGATTAGTGGTTGTTTCTGTTCTTTTTTTTTTTTTTTAACTTGTCTTGATTTTAAAAAACGAAGGCTGGGCACGGTGGCACACGCCTGTAATCCCAGCAATTTGGGAGGCCGAGGCAGTTCGATCACTTGAGGCTTGGAGTTCGAGACCAGCCTGGCCAACATGGCAAAACCCCATCTCTACTAAAAATTCAAAAATTAGCTGGGCGTGGTGGCGCAAACCTGTAATCCCAGCTACTGGGGAGGCTGAGGCACGAGAATCACTTGAACCCGGGAGGCGGAGGTTACAGTGAGCCGAGATTATGCCACTGCACTCTAGCCTGGGTGACAGAGGGAGACTCTGTCTCAAAAAACAAAACAAAACAAAACAAAAAGAATTGGATACTTCAGGAGTTCTAAATTGAAATGTTTCTATTACTGTAAACTAAATTGTTTGGTATTTAAATCTTCTACATTCTATTTGTTTTTGAGTGGCAATATATTCAAAGTTCAGAAGGTGTAGAGTGGTGTGTGTAGTGGAAATGCTTCCTTCTGCTTCTGTCTCCCCAGGTCCCTCAGAAGCAGCCAGTATTACCGGTTTTTTGTATACCCTCCCGGAGACAGATGTAACTGTCAACTGATTTTTTAAAACGTGTTTCATCACTCATTAAATCTAGTGTAGTGACAAAAATGGTAAATTTTTTCCCTGCATCTTTAAAAACATATGCTGTGTTTGAATGGCAATTATGAAAAGTCATTTGTTTTTCCTGGGGCCGTGGACCTAGCGTAACAAATGGTAGCCCTCAGGGGAACTAGCATCTGTGTCCTAAGTGAAGGAATAAGATGTAGACTTCCCTTTCCTATGGGTTGCCTTAATTTTTGTATATATAGAGCAGATTCTCTCAGAGATGGGAATAACTCTCTAGCTCTTAGTGTAAAAATATTATCAGACCCATTTCTCTGTGTTCTTGTCGAGAAGGTTCTAAAAGGAAAAGAGGCTGGTATAAATTGCCCAGAGAAAAATTCCTAGAACCATTTAGTCAAACTACTGGCTAAGATCTTGCTGGGAGGTAGCCTGTATTTGTGGTGTGGTCCTGTGTTCCCAGTGGGACTGAAGTGGATTGGAGGGCCGTGCTGTGCCTGCTGTTGGGTAGCATCACTTTGAGCTGGATGACGAAGGACTTTCCCCAAACCTGTCCTCTGTTGTACACATCCCCACACCCAAAACCTTCCTAACATTGTCACTTTCCGAGGTCAAATGTACAGATAAATACAGGGTATATAGGACCCATTCCACCTTAAAGCCAACAGCATTGTGTCAGCCGGGGTGGCCTTTCCTACGAGAGGGCATTATTCACAGCCAGTAATTACAATGAATGAAGGAAGAAACCATCTTCCTTTCAGTTATGAATTCTTCAGTAATATTTAATGAGGGGTGGGTGGACCAAAGACACTTCCTTCCCTTCTGAAGAGGATTTAGAGTGGAGTGGTAAGGGGGAGGAATTGGACTGCTTCCCTTTAGAATTCTGCCCCTCCTCTCCTTTTTAAGGAAAATGTCCCTAAGGAGCTCACTATAACCAGGCGGTTCTTTAAACTGACAACTGCCTGTGAAGTGTTGATGGATTTCCTGGCAAATAAAACAGCAGGACCCTTCTTTAGCGACTACCTTACTGGAGCTTTTTAGCCCAATTTTAGTTCAGAGTGGTCCTGGCAAGGTTTTTAAAGGAATTGGTGTGATTATTCATAACAATTAAATTTTGCTTATTAATAAACAAGTAAGTAACCTGCCTTCTTGGTCACCGCTTCCCCCCTCCCCAAGGTGCGAGGCCCAGAGATAAGGCAAGTTGTGCCTTGCTGAGGAGGGTGTGTACCAGTGAGAAACAGGAAGCTGTGCTTCAGCAGCTTGGTCTGCCTGGAGGTTTCTAAGGCTGAGTCAGGTGTGCTGAGGTCCCTCGGCAAGGGACGCTGCTTTCCCCTGGCAGCCACACTGCTGAGCATAAATGCTTTAAAGTGTCAGCAATTGATGTGTGGAGAGAAGTATGACTGCATTACAGCTTAAAGAGCTTTCACATTCAGGTCTCTACAGGAGAAGACGAGATCGCCCCGATAGTTTGAGAGTAAATGGGTTACCAGAGGAAGAGCTAAGGTGAGTGCAAAGTCATGGTTGGCTAAAGGTCAAGACATCTAATCTAGTAAGTGCAGTGGGGATTCATGCCTAAGTGGATGCAGCGTTGGGAAGTACTCATTGAAAAGTAGCCTCTTAGTCTGTAATTAAAAACTGAACACAATATCAAGATTGTACTGATTGGAACTGTGCAAAACCAGAATACTTTTGCCCATTTCTTCACAAATCCTTTAAGTTGTTTTACCCCTTCTCCAAACCTACAGTGTTGTTATGTCTTTAAAAATTATATAATCACCAGAAATATTTTAAATTGAAAACAACTGATTTTTCCACTTAGTTTAAAGAGAGTTTTCTTTGGCTGATTGGAACATGTTTTTGTCTGTGTTTTGATGAAGGTGGGTAGTTTGTGGTGGTTTGGGGTTGGGGGAGGGGTGCCATGGAGATTGTTACTGAAATGGTGTAACAAAGGAATGCAGTGGAACTATTCAATGTAGCCTAGGAAGGAAGGACATCAAAAACCTGGAAACCTTTTTAACTAAAAAGGTTAGAGTTCTTGGCTTTCAAAGTGAATTTCCCTAAAACAACACAATTTTATTTTTTTGTTGCAACTACTGAAAATTTCTTAGATTTGAGGTTCTGAAAGCCTCTACAACATTAAGCCTATGTGTTAAAATACTGCATTAACTGAAGGGTTTAGATTTTCCCTGTTCCTGGGATGTTCCTGTTTTACTGATGACAGAAGGCTGCAGTAAAGAGAGACTTCCTTTTTTTAAATTACATTTACTGTTTAGTACTTTAATTTGGAGGTCTTGATTTAAGTGTTTGAATATTCTGATTAGATGGCGGGAAGGCTATCTATACTTTGTGTACTATTGTTCTTTTTCCTACAAACTAACTTCCAGAGTTTATTTTAAATTCTCTATTTAAATGTAACAAGGACAAATTGACAAGCTTCAACTTCTCTATTAAATTTGTATTTGTCACAGACAGCTATACTACAGTAACTGTAATTTGCTAAAGAAACATTTATTTTAAAATTGTTGACTCACCAATTTTTGAAGAGGGTAGCATTAAAGGACTATTATTGACACTAACATTATTAGAACTTATCGCTTACTATGTCAGGTGTCTCTTAGCTACATTTAATGTATTAACTTTGAATTGACTGGATTAAACAATTTAAAAGTCTCAGAGTTTAAATTGTTAAGAAGTTTGTATGTGAGGTTAGTGAAAATATTGAGCTCTATATTGCTAACCAGATAGACAATTGGAAGTGACCTCTGAAACCAACATTTATTGGTAGACTCCAGTCTACAATGGATCCAAGAGTGAAGTTACCAAAAACAGTTTTAATTTCAGATTTCGGGGTTTGGAGGAATTTCCTTTTTTAAAAAAATTAAGTTATATAAAAAAAATTCTAAACCAACCTTTTCTTTATTTTCAGACAATAGCCAAAGTACTCATGAGTAAAATAACGTATATGCCAAGGAAGTAGTTATTTACATAGTTACAATGCTCTTTCAAACAACTAGATTTTTTTTTTTTTTTTTTTGCTTAGAATTTAATTAAAAGAGGAAGAATAATTCTTAAGTATTGCCTGTTCTAGTTGTTTAAAGAGAAATATTTTGTCACCCATTCTGGTGATGTAGTTATCTGGTCATAGAAGGGACTTGTATTTCTGCCACTTTTGTCTCCTAATGTAGAGAAAATGATCATTTTCCTTATTCAGAAGTATAGGTTAGCCAAGAAAGGTAAACCATTGTCTGTTTATGCCTGGATTTTTTTTTTAATCAGCTTAGGTGTATTTTTTTTTACCCTAGTTATACTAAGCCTATTTTCAGGATTAAATGAGGTTTCTGAGCTAATAGGAATCAAAGAGAGTAAGGACTTTGAAGTTAGGTACACCAGAGTTTCAGTACCACTCAGTTGGACAAGTTATATAATTTTTTTAAGTCTTGGTTTATTCTTTTTTTAAAAAAATAAGGATAAAAATAACTACTATTATTGAACATTATTTACTCTCTCACAGAACTCAAACCACCAATTCAGTGAGGCAGGTGGCATTGTTATCTTGCGAATAGTGCCATACAGTTAATTCATTGTTTAATTGTTATTGAGTGCCTACTATTTGCAAAGTAAAGATACAGTGAGGAATAAGACACAGGCCTCGCCACAGGAACACCCACCTAGGTTTGGGCATATTTAATATGACCACAGATTTTCTCTCCATGAACAATTATTTGATTTTGAATACCTGTGCTATCAAACATCTTTCATACTGTCTCAAGTATTGCATAAGACCCATTCCAGCTCTCATTCCTTCTTACTCAAGTGTTCATTTCTTACGTTTGTGGACTCTTAACAGAAAAACTTTCAGAGACTAAAATTGGCCATGGCCACTGCCAGAAAACATTTTTTGCTCTTAAAGTTTAAATAAAAGGCTGTGCTCTGAAACACGAGATGCACGTGCTTAAAGAGCACTGTAATACACATGAAAATAGTTCCGGCGTCAAACTTGAAATTGTTCAAAACCGAAGCAGGTAAAAGGTGGCATGACAAACACTGGGCTTCCTAGACTTTTGTTTTAAAGTATTAAATATGACTTGAAACTGACTTTATTCACATACTTTGTACAGTGGAGCATTACCCACTGTGTTTGTGGTTACAGTTAGAGTGAAGTGACACAAGTGACATGCTTGTTCCAGTGGGTCGGAAGCCCCAGACCTTCACAAGGCATTGACCCTTTTTTCCCTGAAGTTTTTGGTGTCCCAAAATAACATCTAAGATATACCCATGTACCTACACTTACTCCTTTAGCTATTCTATCTTTTAAATTATGTTGCATTCAAACATAGTTGTTTTTTGACAATACCTGAATGACAAACACACCTGAGAAATTCCTGCCCTTTAAAAATTCTCAAAGTTACTTTTTCTCTGCCTCAGATAGAAGGGATCTATAAATAACTGATTAGAAACAGTACAAAATTGAAGTTTCTCCTGGTTGGGTTCAAAACAGCTTAATATAGGGGCTGGTGGCTGGATGCAGTGGCTGACGCCTATAATCCCAGTACTTTGGGAGGCCGAGGCAGGCGGATCACTTGAGGTCAGAAGTTCAAGACCAGTCTGGCCAACGTGGTGAAACCCCATCTCTACTAAAAATACAAAGATTAGCTGGACGTGGTGGCAAGCGCCTGTAGTCCCAGCTACTGTGGAGGCTGAGGCAGGAGAATCGTTTGAACCCAGGAGACAGAGGTTGCAGTGAGCCGAGATCGCGCCACTGCACTCTAGCCTGGGTGACCAAGCAAGACTATGTCTCTAAATAAATAAATAAATAAATAACAATATAGGGGCTGGTAGGCCGGGTGCGGTGGCTCACGCCTATAATCCCAGCACTTTGGGAGGCCGAGGCAGGCAGATCACCTGAGCTCAGGAGTTCAAGACCACTCTGGGCAACATGGGGAAACCCAGCCTCTACTAAAATATAAAAAATTAGCCAGGTGTGGTGGCGCACACCTATGGTCCCAGCTAGTGAGGATGCTGAGGCACGAGAATTGTTTGAGCCTGGAAGGCGGAGGTTGCAGTGAGCCGAGATCACGCCGTTGCACTGCAGCTTGGGCTACAGAGTGAGACTCTCTCAAACAAACAAACAAAAAATATATATAGGGGCAGGTGAACTTATGACCCTCAGGCCAAATCTGGCCTGCTGCCTTTTTGTGTATGGCCCATGAGCTTGGGATGGGTTTTACATTTTTGAATGGTTGAAAAAATAATAAAAATATTTTTCACATGTGAAATATATGAAATTCAAATTTCAGTGTCCACAAATGAAGTTTTACTGGAACACAGCCATGCTTATTTGTATGTGTTGCCTGTGGTGGTTTTCTGCTACGCTGGCAAAGTTGAGTTGTGACACAGACCAATGTGGCCCACAAAGACAAAAATTATTTACCTTCAGGCCCTTCACAGAAAACCTGGGCTGACCCCTGGTCTAGTGCTGAGATAAGAACTCCTAGAGCTTTCCCTTTTCCCTGTTCCTTCGGCCATGCTTCTGCCCTCCTCACTCTCTCACCTCCCAGTTAGGTTTATCTTGCCTGGATAAAATCAGGGCTACGTCAGCCATTTGAAAAGAATATGAATCCCCCCCCCCAAAAAAATGCAGTTTGAAATTTGTATCCCTAATAGTTTAGGAGTAAAGTGAAAATGGGAAGTTGCCACACAGCAGCAGTGAGCTCTTCGCTTCTTAGACCTCCTTTCCTCCTTTCCTGCAGCGTTGACCTTGAAGTAGTACCCTTCTCCTGATTCCTGGATGGATCAGGTTAACCAAGAATGGAAGTGCAAAGAAATGTAACCTTTACTTTCTGGTTATAGAATAAACCTTCCAAGCTCATATTTTTATAGATATAGCATATAAAATCATTTTTAAGTGGTGGGAATGTCCTTGCTTTGGTTTGAGAGTGAAAACTCAGATCATGTGTTCCTGACTAGTACATAACCATTAATTGAACCCCTGTTATAGGCCAGGCACTGCATTAAGTAAGGGCTTTTGTGTGTGTGGGCCCACCATGTCTCATGATCCCGTAAGAGAGAAAGAACTGAAGGCTATAAAGGTGGTCATTGTTATGAAACCAGTTTCTGTCCTTGATTCAAATAAGTTAGTGCTTAGAATTCAGTCAACGTTGGAGTAGCTCAGCCTAGGCTGTGTGTTTCTTGCATACCTCTTTTGCAGTTTGCTGATCACTTTTTGGCCCAACTTTTAACTGAAAAATTATGTTTGTATTTTAGTTTTAGAAATGTAGTCTGTTAGACAATAGGGATAAAATTGCAGTTTTGCCATTATCTTATTATCTGATATTATCTGTTCTTATTATTTGGTGGTTCAGTGAGGGTACATTTAGTCTTCCCAACAATGAGCAAACACATGGGACAATTAATAAGAAATATTTTTCTCTTTGCTATAGGAAAGAGAAAAACCACTTGCTAGTGTTGCTTTTTAAAAGTTCATAGTGCTTACTCCTATATGTTTGATTGTAACCTACAAGTACTTATATTGTAATAACTGGTTTTACAGACCCCCTCTTCACCCACTCTCACCTCCCACCCCCATATAATAGAGAGGGGATTCTTCAAGGCAAGAGACTTTACCATATTTCCTGTGCATCTAGCACGTACTGCAGTTCAGAATCTGTTTCTCATTGAATGAGTAAAGGAATGAGAAACTAAACTGGCCTAAAGGTACCTCTTTTATTCTAGATTAAACTCTTTACACTCTACTTTTTAAGTCTTAATTATTAACTTTTTATTTATGTACAGTATCACACTGAGAGAAGCCTAAGAGACGGATGTATCTATCAGAGTATAGATCATGATTATTTTGCTTTTCTCTTTCAGTAGTTTTGGAAAGCTTAGTTTCCAAAGGGAAATGTATTTTTCAGTCATCTAAAATATTTCTGCATATAGTCATGTGCTGCATAAAACGTTTCAGTCAACGAGAGACTACAAACATGACAGTGGTCTCTTAAGATTACAAGGAAGTTGCCCTATGCAGATGTACCATTTTAATCTTTTAAACCGTATTTTTACTATACTATAATATTTTTAGCTATTTTATATATACACTTAACTGTTGTGTTACAGTTGCCTACAGTATTCAATACAGTCCTGTGCTGTACAGGTTTGTGGCCTTGGAGCAACAGGCTATACCACGTAGCCTAGGCATGTAATAGGCTGTACTGTCTAGGTTTGTGTATGTTTATGTGAACATTTGTATATTTATGATGTTCACACATGACTAAATCACCTGATGATGCATTTCTCAGATCATATCCTTGTCATTAAGCAATGTATGACTAGTAGAGGGAGTTTATGCTGAAATTAAAAATAGCAGTGTTGATGCTTAAAAATCAGGTCTGTTAAAGGAATGATAAGAAGTAAAAAGTTATTGAATAATGATCCCTTTCTGGTTTTTTTTTTTTTTTTTTTTGCACTGCTATAGGAGACATTTAGGAACGAACCGTCAACTTTAACAGAATCAATCTGTAATTTTGTTGTCAGTACGCATCATATTATCTAAATTATTTATTGTGACAATTAAATCCCAAAATTTCAATAATTTGGTTGCTTTCCTGTTGGTTTTTAAAAAAGCAAACAAAATCTTGAAGTCTCAGGTATAAATTACTTATAAAAGTCAGAAAAGATAGTTGTCCAAAACTTGTGCTTTACCTACCTGACTTTGGATAGATGTTATTAAAAGGAAACAGTACTATTTATTCTACATGTATGTATCTTAGAGACACAGCAACTGATTATATGTCTGTGCTACTCATTGGCTATTCTGTGACTAAAACAAACTTTGGACGTGAATATTTTCTTATTTAAAAAAATCTTCTTTTAGAAGTAATTATTAAATATGTTTCACATAAATATGAACCTCCTTAAGTTTTTTTAAATGGTTATATCTGTTTCCTAGGGCTGCCATCACCAAGTACCATAAACTGTGTAGCTTCAAACTACAGAAATTTGTTGTCGTAGATTTCTGGACACCAGAAGTCAGAAACCAGCGTGTCAGCAGGGCCATGCCCCCTCTGACCCCTGAAGGGAGATGCTTCCTTTCCTCTCCAAGCACCAGGCTTTGCCTGCAGTGCTGAGTGTTCTTGACTTGCAGGTGCCTTGCTCCTGTTTCTGCCCTTGTGGTCATAAGGCCATCTTCTCAGTGTGTCTGTCTTCACCACAGCTCTGGTCACTTTCCCTTGACTTCTTGAAGTTTGACAGCAGTAATACTTTCTTCTTAAAATTGTCTCCTCCATTGTCTCCTCAGCCCTGCCTTTTCCTAGTTTTCCTACTGGTTACTTCTTTTCAGTTTTTCCTTTGTCTTTCAGTGTCTCCCATGGCTCTTGAGTATGTATGGCTCAGATACCATCCATGTGCAGTCACTGTCAAATCAGGCCAAGAGTCATTTCTAGCTCTCACTTAATGACTAGCACCAGTTTAAACTAGGGATTTCCAGTTAATATTTGTGAATCGATAAATGAATGAAATGAGCTATGAAAGCAGTTTATTGGATCATTTATTGAAGAGGCAGTGAAATCAATGTTGCCTAGGCTGCAGTGAGCCTTCGCCTCCCAGGCTCAAGCAATTCTCCCACCTCAGCCTCCCGAGTAGCTGGAATTACAGGCGCACCACCACGCCCAGCTAATTTTTGTATTTTTAGTAGAGACGGGGTTTCACCATGTTGGCCAGGCTGGTCTCGAACTCCTGACCTCAGGTGATCCACCCTCCTTGGCTCCCAAATCGCTGGGATTACAGGCGTGAGCCACCGCACCCAGCCTCAGTGCATTAATTTTTGAAGAGAAATATGACAGTAATGAGTTTTATGAAGGTTCTTGTTTTTTCTGAGACAGGGTCTTGCTCTATCACCCAGGCTGGAGTGCAGTGGCACAATCTTTGCTCCCTGGCTAAAGTGATCCTCAGCCTTCCGAGTAGCTGAGACTGCATTGAAATATTTTTTTAAAAAGCAGAATACTTATTTGACCATCTATGCTTAAAGCAATATCAGTAGGTTTGGTGTCCATCATAAGCAGCTGTGCAATTCAACAGAAACGTATTGCCATCACCTTTGTCTATCTATGTTGCCATCTGCTATTATAGCTGTTTAAAGGAAGACTGTTGTGTGGTATTGGGAGGAAATGGTACATTTTATTGTCAGAATTCTAATTGATCGGGGTAATGAGAATGAAAAAATGGCAGTGTTATAGGGAAGAAGTATTCGTATGCGTGGAACTAGAAACGGATCACAACTTACATGTTGGCTTCTAATTTGTAATGTTTCAACCATGTTCGGATGGAAAGAAGATGTATAGGATTGTTTCCAAAAAAGTTTCTTCTCTATGAATGAACTTAGGATGGTCTTCAGAGATATATATAAAGAAAGAGAGGAGACAGAGACTGAAATTGACTGCTTCAACTGTAGTGAGTTAACTTTCACTCATAATAGAAATAGCTAGAGGTTGGATTATTTCAAAAAGCCAGTCAGTGTTTTTAGAGCTTCTGATTCTCACAAGAACAGATGAAAAAATGCAAGTATCAGTTATAGAGAAGACTTTCCATTTGAGACTCTCAGAAAAGGTGTGGGTGGTTACTGTGTTTGTTTGACATTGCATCCTTTAATGAGCTTGTTTAGTACGTGAGGAAGTGGAACTTTACCTTGGGCCTCTCTGAAGCCCAGTTTCCTCCAAATATAAAAAGAAAGGCTTGGTCCATTCAGAAGCTTTAAAGAGTCATTTTTTTCCCAGACAGGATTTCCCTGTGGATTGTGGTATGTGAAACAAAGTCAGTGATTCTCCATGGAGGTGATGTGAGGAGAGAAGGCTATGTGGCCTAGACTGCAGATTCCTTTCCTGAGGTCCTTCCTTTGTCCCATGGCAGCTGCAGAGGCGTCTTGGTTTAGGAGATCAAGATTTGAAAACCAGGTGAAGGCCAGGCACTGTCGCTCATGCCTGTAATCCCAGCACTTTGGGAGGCCAAGCCGGGTGGATCACTTGAGTCCAGGAGTTCAAGACCAGACTGGGCAACATGGTGAAACCATATTTCCACAAAGAAATACAAAAATTAGCCAAGCGTGGTGGCGTGCACCTGTAGTCCTGGCAACTTGGGAGGCTGAGGCTGGAGGATTGCTTGAGCCTGGGAGGTTAGGCTATAGTGAGGTGAGATCATACCATTGTACTCCAGCCTGGGCAACAGAGTGAGACCCTGTCTCAAAAAAAAAAAAAAAAAAAAAAAGAAAGAAAAGAAAACCAGAAGACAGCCTGCCTCACTTAAAATTGTGATTTTAAAAACAGTGAAATTCAGGCATCCCTGTAGTGAGCCTCCTTCGAAATTCACTGCACTGCTATAGGAAATCAGAGCTTAATTATGTCACACTTACATGCTGAAGAACTCAGGGATCCAATGATACAATGTAGGGAATTTGTTTCAAAATATTTTATGGTTGATGAGTAGATAAATTGATCACGACTTGATGACTGTTGGAGTTGGATAATGGTTCAGAGGGATTCGTTATACTCACTCGTTTAATATATGTTTGAAATCTTCAGTAATCAAAGGTTTTAAATTTTTTGAAATACGTATCATGACGAATGGCACAGTTTTAACGTTTCCCTTATGTGTAACTAACACATTATACTTTTTCATTTATTTAGGGCTTATCTGATGAGTGGTTGTGTCCCATCCAAACATCTATCCCAGTAGTCAGGAATATAACAAAGCCCCTGAGATTCCCTCTGCTGTCAGCTACCTGTGTGTCTGTTGGGATATAAGCCACACCAGGATTTCACCACCCATGGCTCTAGCATGAGTAATTTGGAGGTTGAGTGGGACGAGGAGGAAAAATGTAGGATTCTTTACCTTAATCTAGGCTGTCGTTCTATGGTAATCATTAAGCTTTCATATTTTGTGTTGGAAAAAAACAGTATTTCTTAATGTTAGAAAGTGAAAATGGTAATGTAGGGGTAAAAGATTAGATTCAGAAAAATGAACATCTCAAGTTACTGCTTTTACATCTGTGGAGCAGGGATGGAATTGTTTGATTTTTCAGACAATTAAAATTTATTATGACAGGATGAAGTTGGCTTACAGAGTGTGGGACACTTAATGAGTCAGCTTCTAGCCTCTGGCTTAAGAATGGGGTAGACTAGCCTCTGGCTTAAAGAATGGGGTAGACTGACTTGGACTCTCATTTAACTGAAGATTTTATTTTCTATACCTTTACTTGATAATATATACCTCCGCCCTTCCCTTCCTAGTTTTGAGTGTAAATACACTTGTTTTAAGTTGCTGAGTGAGAGTGGGTGAGGAGTCTGGGTATAGCCCACTGGCCTGGGTCCAGTGTCTTGAATAACTACTTAGTAATTGACTTCTGCAAGTCAGTTATTTTTAGGAGCTTTGAGTTTCTCCCTTTGCTAGTTGAATATGATCTGTAAAAGAAGTGAATGTTCTTATATTAACAGATTTAGACCTACTCAAGGAGGATTTATTGTGTTTCATTTTAAATATCAAATGATTGTATGCTGTGGAACAAAAGGGACTCTGTCTTGGATGCTAATCTACCGTGTTGCCTTTTTTTTTTTTTTCTAAGACATCTGTTATAGCATGCCATGTTGACTTCTGATTAGCCTCCTTTGAGACCTTTGAATGGCTCCTGATTACTACTTTACTTACTGTCCCTAGTGGAAGAACATGTCAACCTGGATGTTGTCACACAGACTCCAGGCTGTGATGCGTACGGCATCCATGTTCTGGAGGGTTGTCTGCACACGTGCCCTTTCTTCATGGTCTGTAAGCCCTGGGTCTGGGAGCAGTGGTGCAGAGATCTGCCTGTTTTGTGGCTGACCAAGACCACACTTCTGTCTGTAAGTTCCCTCAGTAAATCACCCAATACCAACAAAATAGATTTGTCTTTCTCCTTCTTTAGTTTCTCAGCTCCTTCACATTTGGAACCGCTTTGCATATATGCCTCCTTCACAGAATAGGTACTTTCGTGTTTGTTTGTTTGTTGAGATGCAGTTTCCCTCTTGTCACCCAGGCTGGAGTGCAGTGGTGCAATCTTGGCTCACTGTAACCTCCACCTCCTGGGTCCAAGCAGTTCTCCTGCCTTAGCCTCCTGAGTAGCTGGGAGTACAGGCGCCTGCCACCATGCTTGGCTAATGTTTGCATTTTTAGTAGTGACGAGGTTTCCCATTTTGGCCAGGCTGGTCTCGAACTCCTGACCTCAGGTGATCCACCTGCCTTGGCCTCCCAAAGTGCTGGAATTACAGGCTTGAGTCACCGTGCCCAGCTGATACTTTCCCTTTTTACTCTTTGGGAAGCCACACATGTTTGAAAAGCAGAAAGTTAATTGCTTTTTACTTCCTAAGTACCTTGTGTCAGTGATTTCATCTGCTAAATTCAGCCATCTTCTCTGCCTTGAAAGACACCATGTTAAAAGTTAAGTGCTGATGCTGCATAGGATGTAGGGTCCAGGTGTCTCAAGGTCAGGCAACGCGCATTCTCAGAGTGTGATGAACAGTGAAGGAAAACTCAAGGGAGGATATGCCCAGAGTCCTGATGTTCTGGACACCTTGTTCTTTATCAGGCAGTGCTAGATCTTATTGCACAAAATGGTATTTGGGGCCAAATGAATGGTAAGCGAGCCAAAGAGAAGCCTCTCTGCCTCCTCAGCTTTGAAAATGTAAGAGGGAATGCAGATACTGCTATAGAATCAACATGTGAGTAGTGGCACTTCAGCAACTTCTACAGAGCTGTACATGAGTGCCTGGGATTGTGGCCTCAGAGAACTGGAATACTGGCTCAGGCTACTTAAATGTAGATGAAAATATTAAACCAAAAGGAAGGTAAATTGACCTTGAAAAGTCTGTTTATATAAGCAGTTTACTTACAGGCAATCTGTACCTGCATAGCAAGTGTACACATTGATTTCTGAATGAGAAAGCACTGACATTGCCTTATGAGCCATTATGATATTGTTCTTCTGATTATGTTTGTGCTCAGGTTAATAAAGTGTACCAGGTGACTCCCTTGTCCCCTTCCCCCTCCACTCCAGGAAGCATCCGTGTATCCCCTGCTCTGCTCTGAAATAGAACATTTAATGTTCATCATGACGGCAGTGGAAGATTTGGTTTTGCCTTTTGAATTATTCCTGCTCTTCTGTCCCTTTGTTTTTGCCAGCATCTTAATTCTTACTAATTGATTTGGTGAGGTTATTTTTATGTATTCTTTTAACACAGAATTATTTTTTGTGTTTCAGAGCAGTTTTATTTCAAAGGATAAAACTGTCTCTTGAAATAGTCATGTGGTGCTTTGTCTGTAATAGGTTAGAATATTGCCATCCATAGAAGAGTAAAAATGACTGCTGCTTTTAAATAGGCTTAAATTATTGACTTTTTATACAACCAGCATAGGCGCTGTCATTAGAGCGTCAGACCTCTTATATTCAGTCTGAACATAGTCCAAATAGTCACCATATTTATTAGTTTATTTGAACCACTCTCAATTTCACCATTTGATTTGCTTTCCTAATAGGTTCTAAACTCTTTGAAGCTCAGTTATTTTGTTCTGTTTTCTCAGCCTATGAATTTGGCCTCTTGCCAAGTTAGTTTTGATTACATTTTTGCTTTTTCATTTATGAGCTGCCATAAAAGAGATTGTTCTGTCTTATGCTTTACTAATAGTTGGTTAAAGGTTTGACTTAAAAGACTTGGTTGGCCCAGAGTCATACAAGTGCATGTTTGCCATTCTGAACTGAAATCCCTGGCGACAGTGCTGTTTATAAAAGGATTAGAGCAGGGAGTTTTGTTGCCCTAAAATCAGGAAAATTAAGTTTTATTTTATATTATTTAAGTAATTAAATGATAAGAAATTTACACACAGGTGTGTGTGTGTGTCCATCCTTGTGCCTCAATTGCAAAATTTCCTGAAATAATCTCCCTGAGCTCCATCGTGGTGTTTCTCCCACCAAGCTTTTCTTGTGATTCTGTCTTGCACACCACCGTTCTTTAGAAGTAGTATTTCTTGGAGGTTTGTGTTTGAGATGGGGACTGGATGCTGGCTGTAGCCTCTTTGTGGCTCCAAAGGAAAGAGGAGGGAGGATTGTCCTCAAAGACTCTTACAAGGGTAGAGAGGGAGGAAGCAGGCTGGGCAAAGCTCAAGGAAGTCCATGCAATAACTGACCTGTGTCAGGTTGGGGTCTCCTTCTAGCAGGATGTCTGTAGGGGGAGGGAAGAAGGACTGCAGGGCTCTCTGGTGTGCCAGCTGCCAGCTCTCATGCAGCACTCAGTTTTCAGTGACTCTCATGTTAATTCAGCATGCCAGCTGTTCAATTTAATGTCTATACCAATGGGGAATGGGAGAGAGGTAGATAATGAGGAAAGAGAAGAAATAATGAGGTAATATGTCATCTCCTAAAAGCTCATTTTGTAACAGAAATTGTCCAGACTGTTACTGCATTACATTTTAGGTTTTTCTCAATCCCCTCAGAAAACAAAGAAGCTCATACAGAACATTGCCCCTACCACTAGCAAGAGGCAAATCTTTCAGCCCTCCCAAGGCTGGCTTTCAGGCTCCTGAAGCTGTGCCTTCTGAATGTGACACCTTGTCCTGGCGACATCTCTGGAGAGACGCCACACACATCAGTGTTAAGTGGTACACATGGTCCTTTTCACCACAAATGTCCTGAAATCGAGGGACTATTTAGAAAACAGGCGGCTGCTTCATTCTATTGTGGGAGTGATGTGACAGGAAGGGAGGCTCAGGAATGACCATGACAGGAAAGCATGTGGAGCACTCACAGTAAAGCTTCACAGAAGCCCTCACGGCCAGGCGCAGCAGAGCACAGCGACTGCCCAAGGAGCTGCTGTCCTAGCCACCCTCCCAGTCATCTTCAAGAAGAACAAAAGTTCACTGATCGCCTCAGTTCCTTTATTCTCCTCTTGTTCTTGAGGACTGACCAATGGGTGTGTGTCCCTGTTTGCCTCTTTGCTGGGGTCACAGAGGAACCCAGGAGCTCACATTGAGTGGCCCCCAGACATGTCACTGGGGCCAGAAAGTGCCATGAGGATGGGGGTCTACACTGGGGTGTGGGGTGGCCATATCTTCTGGCCCTGACTTGAACAATGAGTCCATGTGTGGCCTCTAGTTTACATAAATAAAGAATGGCTGTGGCTGGGCGCGGTGACTCACGCCTGTAACCCCAGCACTTTGGGAGGCCCAGGCGGGTGGATCACCTGAGGTCAGGAGTTCGAGACCAGCCTAGCCAACATGGTGAAACCCCATCTCTAAAAATACAAAAATTAGCTGGGTGTGGTGGCAGGTGCCTGTAATCCCAGCTACTCAGGGGGCCAAAGCAGGAGAATCGCTTGAACTCGGAAGGCAGAAGTGGCAGTGAGCTGAGATTGCACCATCACACTCCAGCCTGGGGGGAAAGAGCAAGACTTCATCTCTAAAAAAAAAAAAAAAAAAAAAGAATGGTTGTAATCCCAGCACTTCAGGAGGCCAAGGCGGGTGGAATTCAAGACCAGCCTGGTCAAGATGGTGAAACCCCGTCTCTACTAAAAATACAAAAATTAGTCAGGCGTGGTGGTGGGTGCCTGTAATCCCAGCTACTTGGGAGGCTGAGGCAGAGAATTGCTTGAACCCAGGAGGGGGAGGTTTCGGTGAACTGAGACCGCACCACTACACTCCAGCCTGGGTGACAGAGCAAGACTCCATCTCAAAAAAAAGAATGAGGTAGACAGACTTGGACTCCCGTTTAACTGACAGGTTTATTATTCTGTACCTTTACGTGATAACACACTCCTCCCCCCCGTCTGTTCCTAGTTTTGAATGTAAATACAGTTGTTTAAATCGTCTGTTCCTAGTTTTGAATGTAAATACAATTGTTTAAATTCCTAAGTGACATCTTGGAGAAAGAGCCCAAAAGGTCTAAGTACCATCAGCTGCAGAGTCCTCACATAGGCTGCCTCTGTCGGCCTGGGTCCAACCAGGAGAGAAAACCCACACGCTAATTTGAACAGGAAAGGTTTAATATAAAGATAGAATTACTAACTCTAACAAGGTTTTGGAGTAATAAGGAATTGGCTAGTAAGAGGAGAGAAAGCAAAAGAGTATAGGAATAGCCGCTGTAAGGAGCAGCCACGGACCCTAGAGCTGAGTTAGAGTGCCAAGGGAGGAGCCCTACTCCGTGCCCGGGGTCACACTACCAGGGCATGCTGCATGCAGAAAAGTCGCTGGCACAGATTGCTGGAAATCCTCCTTTCCAATACCAGAGAAGGCTGTTCCCAGTGAGTTCCCTCACCCAAGGTACCCCCTACATAGCTGACTGCCAAGGGATGGGTGCTGCTGGCTGCATGCACCATCAGGGTCCAAGGCACTCTGCTGTAAAACTTTTGAGGGGCCAGTGCCACTGAAGCTGGTGCTAGCCACCATGCCCTGCAGGAGCTAGACACCGAAGAAGCCAGAGTGCTGCAGGAGCTTTGCCCAGGGAGCAGGCAGGACTGGGAAGCAAACCTCTTCCTCCTGCAGTGTCTCTCCAGCACCCTCTACTGACAAGGTCTCAGTGCTGCTCATAGAGGACAAAGATTCACAGAGGTAGCAGTAACTGCATCACCAGCACCTAGCAATATCCCAGTGATGCCTCCTACAGGACACAAGGGGGTCTGTCTAAGTGGGTAATTGCCATATTTTTATATATTATTGCTAGATGTATAGAATACCACTTTTTGAGAAGAGGTAAGGAATGGAATAAAGAGCTTCCTACTTAGCCCTGTGAACTGCTTTCAAAAACCATAGCTTCATTCCGTGACAGAGAATGGAGAGCTCTGTGTGGGGAGAGAGGAAGGTTGAGCACAGGAGCCTGCAGAACAAGAGGAGTGACTGAGGCCCCTGGGAGATGCTGCTAGCCTGGTTGTAGCTGGGCAGTGTTACATGAGCACCAGCTTACAGTGGTTGACCTCCTGACCTTATACTATTTCCACATCTTTTTTCATTGTACTTATGGCAAAATCTAAGTTATGGTAGCTGAAATAATCCCTTGCCTTTCTGTGTACATTTCACAAAATTTAAAGTTAATGAAAGAAAAGAAACCTTTTTAAATTCAGCAAAATATACATATATGTGTGTGTGTGTGTGTGTGTGTGTGTGTGTGTGTGTGTGTGTGTGTATTTTAGTTCCTCTGCTTCATCCTGGTCAGTATTTTCAAATGCTGTTTAATGCAGTAAAATCTACACAAAACATGTTCTGTGTCAAAAAGAAAATAACGGGCAGTGAAAGATATGTACATTTGAATTTGAAAAGGTTCATTGTTTTCACTTGACTCAAGTGAAATGTTTTTTATTCTGTTCTATTCTGAAATTCTCATGGTTTTCTTTTACCTTATCATTGAGGGAAGTAAACCCCGTGTTAAGCTTAGTCACAAAATAAAAACTCCCACGGACTTCCCTCCCAGTGTAGCTGAAGGTTAATGTCCAGGGAGATAGCCTTGACTGAGTCAGAACTAAAATAAGGGTGTTATTTAGAGCCAGATACTCTGGTGCTACAGCCACTACAGCCGTGTCAAGAGCTCCTGACACACTGGAGGCTGTCACTGGTGATCTGGGCGTTCTCCTAAGTCAGCATTCCTAGCTAAAAATACTGCCATTCTGTATTGGAAACACAGCTTCCTCTAATTTGTCTGTTTTGACCAGAACACAATGTTATCTTTTTAAAAAGCTGTTTAGGTGTGAGAATGTATGTTAATGGATCACAATACGAATAAAAATAAAAGAATGAAAAGATAAGTGATTTGAAATATAAAGGAACTAGTACAGAGACATTTTCTAGTTAAAGTTTCTAAATGGTCAGAGAAAAATCACCTAACCTATGAGAGAAAATTTTAAGATTTTTTTTTTTTTTTTGAGACAGTATCTCGCTGTGTCTCCCAGGCCGGAATGCAGTGGCATGATCACAGCTCAGTCATAGCTCACAGGCTCAAGCGATCCTCCTACCTCAGCCTCCTTAGTAGCGCCTACAGGTGCATGCCACCGTGCCCGGCTAATTTTTCTATAGAGATGGTGTGTCACCACGTTGCCCAGGCTGGTCTCCAGCTCCTGAGCTCAAGTGATCCTCCTGCCTCAGCCTCCCAAAGTGCTGGGATTACAGGCATGAGGCACCATGCCCAGCCCAAGAATGTTTTTAAATTGACTAAACACTGCTTATTTGAGGGACCATGGGAGAAAAAAAAATTGTGAGGTGGCTTATAGATTTCAAACTATAGTGATTCTGATTGATCGAGCTGTCTTTCTTGAGGAAAGTTACGCCAAAGGCAACGAGCTAGACTGAGCTGTCTGGGTGTCTGGGTAGGGACGCAGCTCACCAGGGCTTGCCCTCTTTAGATGCCCTCTGCAGGCAGTCTAGGGACTTCTCTCAAGATGTCCAGTTTGATTAATTGCATGATGACAGTGTGCTTGGTGCCATGAGGGGTATAAAGATTCAACAGAGGCTGGGCGTGGTGGTTCACGCCTGTAACCCCAGCACTTTGGGAGGCCAGGGCGAGCGGATCACCTGAGGTCAGGAGTTCGAGACCAGCCTGTCCAACATGGTGAAACCCCGTCTCTACCACTAAAAATACAAAAATTAGCCTGGTGTGGTAGCACATGCCTGTAATTCCAGCTACTCAGGAGGCTGAGGCACGAGAATCACTTGAACCCAGGAGATCGAGGTTGCGGTGAGTCAAAATTGCACCACTGCACTCCAGCCTGGCAACAGAGTGAGACTCTGTCTCAAGAAAACTAAGCACAGGCTGGGCACGGTGGCTCACGCCTGTAATCCCAGCACTTGGAGAGGCCGAGGCGGGTGGATCATGAAGTCAGGAGATCAACACCATCCTGGCTAAGATGGTGAAACCCCGTCTCTACTAAAAACACAAAAAATTAGCCGGGCGTGTTGATAGGCACCTGTAGTCCCAGCTACTCGGGAGGCTGAGGCAGGAGAATGGTGTGAACCCGGGAGGCGGAGCCTGCAGTGAGCATGGATCGCGCTACTGCACTCCAGCGTGGGTGACAGAGTGAGACTCCGTCTCAAAAAAAAAAAAATGTCTACTTAAGGGCCTCCTGGTGTTCTTAAGGAGATGAGGAGCACCTTTGCGATACAGAACACAACATTATATCCAATGAAAATCTTACCCACTCACTGCATGGGACACACAGTGGGTGCTATGGCTGCTGAACAGAAGATCGATAAGGCCTGGAATGTCAAGAAAGCTTCCTGGAGAAGATCTTGAGCAGGTACTTGAGGACTGGGCAGGTTTCTGATAAGCAGAAAGTTCAGGAGAAAAAAAAGGGACAGTGGTATTCATCCAGAAAATCGTATGTCCTTTGTATGTTTCACCCAGTGCTGGAAATGTTGATCATCACTTTTAAAGATAATTCTAAAGTCACCTTGCAACAACCCTGCATTTATTTAAGATCATATATCATATATGTGTACATGTTTTTGTTTTGTTTTTTTGAGACTAAGTCTCGCTCTATCGCCCAGGCTGGAGCGCAGTTGCGCCATCTCAGCTCATTGCAACCTCCACCTCCCGGGTTCAAGTGATTCTCCTGCTTCAGCCTCCTGAGTAGCTGGGATTACAGGCACCTGCCACCACACCCGGCTAATTTTTGTATTTTTAGTAGAGACAGGGTTTCACCATGTTGGTCAGGCTGATCTTGAACTCCTAACCTCATGATTCACCCACTTTGGCCTCCCAAAGTGCTGGGATTACAGACGTGAGTCACCGTGCCCAGCCGTGTACATGTATTTTAAAAAGAATAGAGCTCAAAATGTTAAAGTACTTGTTTCCAGTTGGCAGGAATATGCGTGATTCTTCTCTGCCTTTCATACATTTTCTGCAATAAGCTATATTGCTGTTGGGCTGATAAAAGTTGACAAATTCAACTTACCAAACCAAAACAGTACAGTTCAGTGATCCCATCCCAAAGCACTTACACATCCATGCGCACGGGCTCACAGAAACTGAGGCTTGCCATTGTTCAGTCATTTGTTAGTGTTCTGCTTTTAATGATTGCACCTTTTTGCTGCCCATTCTGTTTTCCCATCCAGTCTCGTGTCTTTCCATGATGGGTTTCCTGTGTGATGGGAGTGTCTCCATTATCATAGGGACAGGATGGCTTGTTGCAGGGAGTAAGAGCGTCACAAGAGTGTCTGAGGCACTCAGGGAGTGTCATGGAGAAAGGAGAGAGTGCTGGGAGGAGCTTGATTTCAGTCTTTCTCCTTTCCCTTCCCCAGGCTCCATGTCCTTTACAAAGTCCTTTGTGGGTAGATATTTGTTGGTTGGTTCATGTTAGCAACTTTTCTAGAGATCATCCAGGGAGAGGTGCTTCTTAAGAAACAAGCCACCACATAGGTCGTCAAGACTTAAAACTGGTTAGGATTGAGTAACTGACCTATTTATTTGCAGTACTTTCTGCCTGTTGTGGGCAGTGTCTCTGAGGCCACACAGTGCTTTCAGACCTGCCTTGTGTTGCAGAACCCCATGGACACTGAGGTTGAGCGTGGGGCCATTCCTGCCTTCTCTGGGCTGTCCCTCAGTACACCTCTGCCTGGGGCTCCTGAGTGGCCACTCTCTTTTGCCTGTGGGCTTTGGGAATAAAACTAGGATAGTTTTCCCTCAGATACTAGAGGAGGAATTTTTTATTGATACATAATAATTGTACATATTTATGGGGTGCATGTGTTATTTTGCTGCATGCATGTAATGCATAAGGATCAAATCGGGGTAACTAGCATATCCATCACTTCAAACATTTATCATTTCCTTGAGTTTAGAACTTTCACAATCCTCTTCTAGCTTTTTGAACATGCGCAATAAATTATTGTTAACATTAGTCACCCTACAGTGCTGAGGAACCCAAGAACTATTCCTGTTACTCAGCTGTAATGTTGAGTCCCTTAACCTCTCCCTCTCTCCCCTCCCAGCCACCCTTCCCACCCTCTAATAACCAACTCTGCGTTCTAATTCTGTGAGTTCAATTGTATTTTTGCTTTCACATATGAGTGAGAACATCTGGCATGTGTCTTTCTGTGCCTGACTTATTTCACTTAACATAATGTACCCCGGGCTCATCATGATGCCACCACTGACAGGATCTAATTCTTTTTTTGTGGCTGGATGATATTCCATCTGAAACGATGTATTTTAGATGATTTTAAGACTTAAATGGGTGCCTGCTAGTTTTCTTCCAGAAATATTTCAACCTGATATCATAATGGCATTTCACTCATTTTCCTTTTAAGGGAAATAAATACAGTTAAGATATCATAAAGTTTGGGATGCTAGAAACCTATCTGCAACACCGAAGAGAGTCTCTAACTCTTTAGATTAAGTTTCATTTCAGAGGGAGTTTCTTGAAGACAATTAGATGCAAATAGCCTTCTCACAATTACAACCTCATTGTAATTTCTGGACTTTGATTCCAGTGTTTGGGATGGTTTGGGCCCCTGGGATGGGGTTGATGGTGCATAGGGAGAGAATTTGTTTTGTTCATTTCATTATTGTTAGGTGATAATCTTTTAGTGACTCTTCAGTTATTTTTAGCATATGTAACAAAGCCACGGTAGCTCTGCCTTACTTTGATAATAATCCCAATAAGCAATGCTAATACAAACATGTAAAAAATGTGCTATTTTCTTTATTTTAAACTAGCTTGAGAAAATGTACATTATTTCTTTATCACTGTCTTGCTTCTGTGGTAATGAATAATTTCTTTTTGCCTGTGCATTCAAAAATTAGGAAAAAAAATTGACAAGGCAAAATGGCATATTAATTACAAATCCGTATCTTTTTCTGGCCAAACTTTGTCTGTTTTCTCACTGTCTGTTGAAAGAAAATCCAGTGCATTTGTTCTAGAAGCTACAAAATGGGAAGGAACTTCCCAGTTTCATTATCTTTACTTGCATGTCATGATTGTTTTGTTTTTAGTAGTCTGGGGGAAATTAGATTGTATTTTCCATTTGAGCAGGATAGAGGATGATAGTAGAAACAGTTCATTTTGGCATATGATAATTTCACCAGGCCACCCCAACAGTTCAAATACCCCATTATGACCTGGAAGCCTTTGAATGCAGTTGGAGAAGCTTCATCTAGTAGTTGTTATTGCCAAGTGCTCCGTTTAGCCATCAGTTATGCAAATCTATTTGTGGAATAGAATGAAGCATTTACTAAGCACTCCGCTTTTTCTATATTGGAGTCCTGTATTTTAGAGGCAATTGGTTAAAATGTCTAGTTTGGCTTTTAAATCCTACAGATATTTGGTAATGATGTACATAAGTCCATCATTACTACTTAAGAGGAGTAATTTTAAGCTACTAGTGTTTTTTGTTTTTTTTTTTTTTTGTTTTTTGTTTTTTTTTTTTGAGACGGAGTCTCGCTCTGTCGCCCAGGCTGGAGTGCAGTGGCGCGATCTCGGCTCACTGCAAGCTCCGCCTCCCGGGTTCACGCCATTCTCCTGCCTCAGCCTCCCGAGTAGCTGGGACTACAGGCGCCCGCTACCACGCCCGGCTAATTTTTTGTATTTTTCGTAGAGACGGGGTTTCACCGTGTTAGCCAGGATGGTCTCGATCTCCTGACCTCGTGATCCGCCCGCCTCGGCCTCCCAAAGTGCAGGGATTACAGGCGTGAGCCACCGCGCCCGGCCGCTACTAGTGTTTTTTAAAAGCTGCTTTTTAAAAAAATGTTGGCTGCTATTTTCATGACTTTATTCAGGCCTTAATTATTTGAGCTGCTGAAAATAGCTATAATTTTTTGCATGATATCTCCAAGTAGCTTATTTGTATTTGGCCATGGCTTATGTCAGAGGTGGAGTTAGTTTTGACTAAAATCATGAAGTTAGCAGACAGTTGGAATCTGAAGCTTTACAGCCTTCTTTACAGGACACTACTGTGTGCCAACTTTGCATCACTGTGCAGTGAGTGGGGGCCCTTAACCAAGCTATTGGACTCATGCAGCCAGGGTCCTAGATTTGCCGCAGTAGGTCAATCATTCCATAAGTGAAACACGCAGTAGATGATCAGAAAATGACAAATTCATCAACTGTTTTCATAAAGTAGAAATCACTCTGCTCTGGGTGGATTTAAGGAACATGTGGGGTTCAGACCTGTCCTGTAGGATCTCCCAAAGACCCAACTTAGCCATGAGGGCTGATTAGAGTATAGAACCTCTTAAGAAACGCCCTGGATTTGTTGGCAAGATGGCAAATAGGAACAGCTCCGGTCTGCAGCTCCCAGCAAGATTGGTGCGGAAGGCAGGTGATTTCTGCATTTCCACCTGAGGTACTCAGTTCATCTCATTGGGACTGGTTGGACAGTGGGTGCAGCCCAAGGAGGATGAGCCGAAGCAGGGTGGGGCGTTGCCTCACCCGGGAAGCGCAAGGGGTTGGGGAACTCCCTCTCCTAGCCAAGGGAAGCCATTAGGGACTGTACCATGCACCCCGGCCCAGATGTTGCACTTTTCCCACGGTCTTCGCAACCCACAGACCAGGAGATTCCCTCTGAAGCCTACACCACCAGGGCCCTGGGTTTCCAGCACAAAACTGGGCGGCCTTTAGGGCAGACACCGAGCTAGCCAGTTTTTTTTTTCATACCCCAGTGGTAGCGTTTGAGTTTTTTTCGTGCCCCAGTGGCGCCAGGAATGCCAACAAGACAGAAACATTCACTCCCCTGGAAAGGAGGGCTGAAGCCAGGGAGCCAAGAGGTCTGGCTTGATGGGTCCCACCCCCACGGAGCCAAACAAGCTAAGATCCACTGGCTTGAAATTCTTGTGCTAGTATAGCAGACTGAGCTCGACCTGGGATGCTCCAGCTTGGTTGGGGAAGGGGCGTCTGCCATTGCTAAGGCTTGAGTAGATGGTTTTACCCTCACAGTGTAAACAAAGCCACTGGGAAATTCGAACTGGGTGGAGCCCACTGCATTTCAGCAAGGTTGCTACCCTCAGACTGCCTCTCTAGATTCCCTCCTCTCTGGGTAGGGCATCTCTGAAAAAAAGGCAGCAACCCCAGTCAGGGACTTACAGATAAAACCGTCACCTCCCGGGACAGAGCACTTAGGGGAAGGGGTGGTTGTGGGCACAGCTTCAGCTGTCCCTAACTGGCAGCTCTGAAGAGAGCAGCAGATCTCCCAGCACAGCGTTCAAGCTCTGATAAGGGACAGCCTGCCTCCTCAAGTGGGTCCCTGACCCCCATGTATCCTAACTGGGAGACACCTCCTAGTAGGGGCCAACAGATACCTCATACAGGAGAGCTCTGGCTGGCATCTGGTGGGTGCCCCTCTGGAATGAGGCATCCAGAGGAAGGAACAACAGCCTGCAGCCCCCGCCAGTGATACCCAGGCAAACAGGGTCTGGAGCGGACCTCCAGCAAACTCCAGCAGACCTGCAGCAGAGGGGCCTGACTGTTAGAAGGAAAACTAACAAACAGAAAGGCATAGCATCAACATCAACAAAAATGACGTCCACTCAGAGACCCCATCCGAAGGTCACCAACTTCAAAGACCAAAGGTACATAAATCCACGAAGATGGGGAGAAACCAGCACAAAAAGGCTGAAAATTCCAAAAACCAGAACACCTCTTCTCCTCCAAAGGATCACAACTCCTTGCCAGCAAGGGAGCAAAACTGGAAGGAGAATGAGTTTGACGAATGTGACAGGAGTAGGCTTCAGAAGGTAGGTAATAACAAACTCCTCCGAGCTAAAGGAACATGTGCTAACCCAATGCAAGGAAGTTAAGAACGCTGAAAAAAGGTTAGATGAATTGCTAACTAGAATAACCAGTTTAGAGAAGAACATAAATGGTCTGATGGAGCTGAAAAACACAGTACAAGAACTTCATGAAGCACACACAAGTATCAACAGCCAAGTCGATCAAGCAGAAGAAAGGATATCAGAGATTGAAGATCAACTCAATGAAATAAAGCGTGAAGACAAGATTAGAGGGAAAAAAGTGAAAAGAAATGAACAAAGCCTCCAAGAAATATGGGACTATGTGAAAAGACCAGATCTTTGTTTGATTGGTATACCTGAAAGTGACGGGGAGAATGGAACCAAGTTGGAAAACATTCCTCAGGATATTATCTAGGAGAACTTCCCCAACCTAGCAAGGCAGGCCAACATTCAAATTAAGGAAATGGGACACCAGAAAGATACTCCTTGAGAAAAGCAACGCCAGGACACATAATTTTCAGATCACCAAGGTTGAAATGAAGGAAAAAATGTTAAGGGCAACCAGAGAGAAAGGTTGGGTTACCCATAAAGGGAAGCCCATCAGACTAACAGCGGATCTCGGCAGAAACCCTACAAGCCAGAAGAGAGTGGGGGCCAATATTCAAAATTCTTAAAGGAAAGAATTTTCAATCCAGAATTTCATATCCAGCCAAACAAAGCTTCATAAGCGAAGGAGAAATAAAATCCGTCACAGACAAGGAAATGCTGAGACAGTTTGTCACCACCAGGCCTGCCTTACAAGAACTCCTGAAGGAAGCACTAAACATGGAAAGGAACAACCGGTACGAGCCACTGCAAAAACTTACCAAATTGTAAAGACTATCAATGCTGTGAAGAAACTGCATCAACTAACGGGCCAAAATAACAGCTAGCATCATATTGGCAGGATGAAATTCACACATAACAATATTAACCTTAAATGTAAACGGGCTAAATGCCCCAATTAAAAGACACAGACTGGCAAATTGGATGAAGAGTCAAGACCCATCAGTGTGCTGTATTCAGGAGACCCATCCCACGTGGAGAGACACACATAGGCTCAAAATAAAAGGATGGAGGAAAATTTACCAAGCAAATGGAAAGCAAAAAAAAAAAAAACCCAGGAGTTGCAATCCTAGTCTCTGATAAAACAGCCTTTAAACTACAAAGATCAAGAGACAAAGAAGGGCATTACATAATGGTAGAGGGATCAGTGCAACAAGAAGAGCTAACTATCCTAAATATATATGCACCCAATACAGGAGCACCCAGATTCATAACGCATGTTCTTAGAGACCTACAAAGAGACTTAGACTCCCACACAATAATAGTGGGAGACTTTAACACCCCACTGTCAATATTAGATCAATGAGACAGAAAGTTAACAAGGATATCCAGGACTTGAACTTAGCTCTGGACCAAGCGGGCCTAATAGAACTCTTCACCACAAATCAGCAGAATATACACTCTTCTCAGCACCACATAGCACTTATTCTAAAATTGATCACATAATTGGAAGTAAAACACTCCTCAGCAAATGCAAAAAAATGGAAATCATAATGGTCTCTCAGACCACAGTGCAATCAAAGTAGAACTCAGGACTAAGAAACTCACTCAAAACCACACAACTATGTTGAAACTGAACAACCTGCTCCTGAATGACTACTGGGTAAATAACGAAATGAGGGCAAAAATAAAGATGTTATTTGAAACCAATGAGAACAAAGACACAACGTACCAGAATCTCTGGGACACATTTAAAGCAGTGTGTAGAGGGAAATTTATAGCACTAAATGCCCACAAGAGAAAGCAGGAAAGATCTAAAATCGACACCCTAACATCACAATTAAAAGAACTGGAGAAGCAAGAGCAAACAAATTCAAAAGCTAGCAGAAGACAAGAAGTAACTAAGATCAGAGCAGAAAAGGAGATAGATACACGAAAAACCCTTTAAAAAATAAATGAATCCAGGAGCTGGGGTTTTGTTTTGTTTTATTTTGTTTTGTTTTGAGACGGAGTCTGGCTCTGTCGCCAGGCTGGAGTGCAGTGGTGCGATCTCGGCTCACTGCAAGCTCCGCCTCCCGAGTTCATGCCATTCTCCTGCCTCAGCCTCCCGAATAGCTGGGACTATGAGTAGCTGGGACTACAGGCGCCTGCCAACACACCCGGCTAATTTTTTGTATTTTTAGTAGAGACAGGGTTTCACCGCGTTAGCCAGGATGGTCTCGATCTCCTGATCTCGTGATCCGCCCGCCTCGGCCTCCCAAAGTGCTGGGATTACAGGCATGAGTCACCGCGCCCGGCCCAGGAGCTGGTTTTTTGAAAAGATCAACAAAATAGATAGACCACTAGTGAGAATAATAAAGAAGAAAAGAGAGAAGAATCAAATAGATGCAATAAAAAATGATAAAGGGGATATCACCACTGATCCCACAAAAATACAAACTACCATCAGCGAATACTGTAAACACCTCTGCACAAATAAACCAGAAAATCTAGAAGAAATGGATAAATCGCTGGACATGTACACCCTCCCAAGACTAAACCAAGAAGAAGTCAAATCCCTGAATAGACCAATAACAAGTTCTGAAATTGAGGCAGCAAGTAATAGCCTACCAACCAAAAAAAGTCCAGGACTGGATGGATTCACAGCTGAATTCTACCAGAGGTACAAAGAGGAGCTGGTACCATTCCTTCTGAAACTATTCCAAACAATAGAAAAAAGGGACTCCTCCCTAACTCATTTTATGAGGCCAGCATCATCCTGATACCAAAACCTGGCAGAGACACAACAAAAAAAGAAAATTTCAGGCCAATATCCCTGATGAACATCAATGCGAAAATCCTCAATAAAATACTAGCAAACGGAATCCAGCAGCATATCAAAAAGCTTATCCACTTCAGTCAAGTCAGCTTCATCCCTGGGATACAAGGTTCATTCAACATACGCAAATCAATAAACGTAATCCATCACATAAACAGAACCAATGACAAAAACCACATGATTATCTCAATAGATGCACAAAAGGCCTCGACAAAATTCAACAGTGCTTCATACTAAAAACTCTCAATAAACTAGGCATTGATGGAATGTATCTCAAAATAATAAGAGCTATTTATGGCAAACCCACAGCCAATAGCATACTGAATGGGCAAAAACTGGAAGCAATCCCTTTAAAAAACCAGCACAAGACAAGGATGCCCTCTCTTACCACTCCTATTCAACATAGTATTAGAAGTTCTGGCCAGGGCAATCAGGCAAGAGAAATAAATAAAGGGTATTCAGTTAGGAAAAGAGCAAGTCAAATTGTCTCTATTTGCAGATGACATGATTGTATGTTTAGAAAACCCCATCGTGTCAGCCCAGAATCTCCTTAAGCTGATAAGCAAATTCAGCAAATTCTCCAGATACAAAATCAATGTGCAAAAATCACAGGCATTCCTATACACCAATAACAGACAAACGGAGAGCCAAATCATGAGTAAACTCCCATTCACAGTTGTTACTAAGAGAATAAAATACCTAGGAATACAACTTACAAGGGATGTGAAGGACCTCTTCAAGGAGAACTACAAACCACTGCTCAAGGAAATAAGAGAGGACACAAACAAATGGAAAAATATTCCATGCTCATGGATAGGAAGAATCAATTTTGGGCTATACTGCCCAAAGTAATTTATAGATTCAATGCTGTCCCCATCAAGCTACTATTGACTTTCTTCACAGAATTGGAAAAAACTACTTTGAATTTCACATGGAACCAAAAAAGAGCCTGCATAGCCAAGACATTCCTAACCAAAAAGAACAAAGCTGGAGGCATCACGCTACCTGACTTCAAAGTATACTACAAGTCTACTTTGTTACTACAAGGCTGTTTTGTTACTACAAAAACAGCATGGTACTTATACCAAAACAGATATATAAACCAATGGAACAGAACAGAAGCCTCAGAAATAACGCCACACATCTACAACCATCTGATCTTTGACAAACCTGACAAAAACAAGCAATGGGGAAAGGTTTCCCTATTTAATAAATGGTGTTGGGAAAACTGGCTAGCCATATGCAGAAAGCTGAAACTAGATCCCTTCCTTACACCTTATACAAAAATTAACTGAAGATGGATTAAAGATTTAAATGTAAGACATAAAACCATGAAAACCCTAGAAGAAAACCTAGGCAATACCATTCAGGACATAGGCATGGGCAAGGACTTCATGTCTAAAACACCAACAGCAATGGCAGCAAAAGCCAAAACTGACAAACAGGATCTGACTAAACTAAAGAGCTTCTGCATAGCAGAAGAAACAATCATCAGAGTGAACAGACAACCTACAGAATGGGAGAAAATTTTTGCAATCTACTCATCTGACAAAGGGCTAATATCCAGAATCTATAAAGAACTAAAACAAATTTACAAGAAAAAAACCCCATCAAAAAGTGGGCAAAGGATATGAACAGACACTTCTCAAAAGAAGATATTTATGCAGCCAACAGACATGAAAAACAGCTCATCATCACTGATCATTAGAGAAATGCAAATCAAAACCACAATGAGATACCATCTCACACCAGTTAGAATAGTGATCATTAAAAAGTCAGGAAACAACAGATGCTGGAGTGGATGTGGAGAAATAGGAACACTTTTACACTGTTGGTGGGAGTGTATATTAGTTCAACCATTGTGGAAGACAGTGTGCCGATTCCTCAAGGATCTAGAACTAGAAATACCATTTGACCCAGCAATCCCATTACTGGGTATATACCCAAAGGATTATAAATCATTCTATAAAGACACATGCACATGTATGTTTGTTGCAACACTGTTCACAATAGCAAAGACTTGGAACCACACCAGATGCCTATCAATCATAGACTGGATAAAGAAAATGTAGCATATATACACCATAGGATATTATGCAGCCATAAAAAAGGATGAGTTCATGTCCTTTGCAGGGACATGGATGATGCTGGAAACCATCATTCTCAGCAAACTAACACGAGAACAAAAAACCAAACACTGCATGTTCTCATAAGTGGGAGTTGAACAGTGAGAACACATGGACACAGGGAAGGGAACATCACACACCGGGGCCTGTCGGTGGGTGGGGGATAGGGGAGGGATAGCATTAGAAGAAATACCTAATGTAGATGACAGGTTGATGGGTGCAGCAAACCACCATGGCACATGTATACCTATGTAACAAACCTGCACGTTCTGCACATGTACCTACCTCGAACTTGAAGTATAATAAAATAAATACTTTCAACAGTAAAAAAAAGAAAAACGCCCTTAGGGAATTGAGGACCTCGCACAATCCTAATTCTTCACCAAAAGCCACCTAGCAGACCTGCTATTCAGACGAATCTGACTTTTTTGGTATTTTCAAACAACAGCCTCCCACCCTACTTCAATGGCTATTCTGATGCCACTGCCGTGGCAGTAGTAGTTTCAGTCAAATTTGTTTGCATTTCTTAGAGTGACATTATTAATTCCTGAAAATGATTTAACAGTATCAAAATGCCTGAATATAAAAGTTGAGCTATGGTGTTTATTCGGAATTAAACCACTCCCTTGTCCTCTTGAAAAAATAACATATTTCTTTTAGCTTTACTCTGTTGTAGCTAAATAAGATAAGTGACTGCAGGTAGTCTTTTTGGGAGAATTGTGTGCCGCCTAAACTTTCTTTTCTTTTCTTTTTTTTTTTTTTTTCTTTCGAGACGGAGTTTTGCTCTTGTTGCCCAGGCTTGAGTGCAGTTGCACAATCTCGGCTCACTGCAGCCTCTGCCTCCTAGGTTCAGGCGATTCTCCTGCCTCAGCCTCCTGAGCAGCTGGGATTACACGTGCCCACCACCACGCCAGCTAATGTTTTGTGTTTTTAGTAGAGACAGGGTTTCATCATGTTGGCCAGGCTCCTGGCCAAATCTCAAACTCCTGACCTCAGGTGATCCACCCGCCTCGGCCTCCCAAAGTGCAGGGATTACAGGCGTGAGCCACTGCACCTGACCACCACCTAAACATTCCATGGCCACACTGTTACAGATCCTTATTCACGACATACAAACAACCTTGTTCACTCAGCACTGGGCACCAAACTATGTACTGTATAGTCATAGAAGCAGAGGCTATGACTTTTATTTATTTATTCATTCATTCATTCATTCAGCAGATTGTAGTATCTTCTACTGATGGTGGGCTGGATACTTCTTAGGCACCACATTGGGCCTATTGCATCATGGGCTCATAGTAAAAGTTCCATATGTCCAGGAATGATGTAAAGCCAACAATGGAATAATGCGAGCAACTATTTTTCTAGAAGAAGTAGACTTTACCAGAATGCCAAAATGGGCTGCTAAAGGAAGGGCAGCCCATCAGTGCTGTCACCAGCTCCTGAAACCCCGGGGCCTGTTTACTCCCACCATTGCAGTGGAGGACATGTCTGAGCCTCCTGCTTGTCTTTAACCCCCACATTAGTTCCTTTGTCGTTTCAGTGTAAGTAGCTTGGGTAATGTGCAGAGAATTTCTTTGCCTTGTATTATTTATGCTGAGAATCAACTGGTTGGGTCATCAGTTCCTAGGGAGAGGCTAATGGGAAGGTGATCTATAGAGTGTGATAGAAGACAATCTAGCTTTCTTGCTGCATCTTTTCTTCGTTCAGAACGTCAGCTTCTCTTTTCCCTCCCAACTCCCAGTAGGATATTCCTGATTGAAAGAAAGGCCAAGAGGAGAGAATGAGATCTAGCAAAATTGTAAACAAAGGAACAGAGCCACAAACCTGTTTTACATTCATATAAAATGTTACATTGATTGATTAAACAGTTTAAAAATATCTTCATAGTATATGGTACCTTTGATCATAAAACCAGGTCATGTTAAGGTGACCTCTATTGAAGAGTTCTATTTAGGGTTACTGTGTGCCAACCACCCTCATTAAAATAGTCACAGATGTAAGTAGAGGAAACCAGATAAAAGGAAAGATCTCTATCTGCTTCCCCGTAGTAATCTTTACATAGCATAACTTGAGTTAAGAACAGCCAGATGGAAGAGATAATGGGGCAAGGTGTGGGGAAACAGAGCAGAGCTTCTCTCCTCTGGGAGCGCCACCCTCCCAGCACCTCCATATGTTCAGCAACCCAGAAGTTCCCCTAAACTGTCCTATTGAGTTTTTATGGAGGCTTCTTTTCATAGGCATGATTGATTTGATCATTGACCACAACTCCTCTCCCTTCCAAGGGGTTGGGGCTGGAGCTGAAAGTTGCAGCCTTCTTATTGCATGGTTGATTCTCCAGCAGCCACCCCCACACCTGTCACATTAGCCTACAAAAGACACTTACCACTTCAGAGAGTCCAAGAGTTTTAGGAGTCCTGTGCCAGGAAATGGGGGCGGAGACCAAGAATAGATTTATTATTAAAAGTCACAATATGACAGGCAGTTTCTTTAAAACCTAAGCATTCACTTACCATACAACTCAGCAATTTTACTGTTGGGCATTTATCCCAGAGAAATAAAAATATATTCAATACAGAAATTTCTATAGTTTCATTCACAGTGCCACAAATTGGAAGGAAAGTACTTAAATGCCCTTCAGCGGGTGAACAGTGAAACAAACTATGCATCCATGTCATGGAATACTACGTGGCAGTAAACAAGAGCAAACTGGACATGTGGAGCAACTTGGATTGATCTCAGGGCATTGTGCTGAATGAAAAGCCTTAAGATGTCACATGAACGATTCCATTTGGTAACATTCTTTAAATAACAGAATCATATAAATGAAAAACACATGAGTGGTTGCCAGAGGTTAGGAGTGTTGGAGTGTGCAGAGGTATGTGATGGTCAGAGATAACATGAAAGAGAAGTCTGTGGTGATGGAATAGTCCTGTAACTTGATAGAGGCTGATGTTACAGGAAGCTGCCCATGTGATGAAATGACAGACACCCGCACACATGCATTGTTGCAATGTCAGGTTCCTGGTTTTGCTCCTGTACTGTAGTCACGTAAGATGTGAGCACTGGGGAGACTGTGAGGGAGAATTCTGAGCAGAAGGCTCACGTGGCTTCCTGCCTCCTACCATGCCACCCCCACCGGATGCATTAAATTTCTGGTCTGAGTCAGCCTGCCTCTGTCCCCATCCATCTGTCTGTCTGTCTCTTTCTTCCCCTCCCTCCCTGCCTCCTCACTGTTTCACATGGTCATTGTAAAAAAAAAACCTAAAAAATTAGGAAATATAGATAAATTGAAAGGAAAAATTTTAAACCATGAGGTTGTTCCTTTCTTATTTAAATATGGTGGTTCCCTTGTTTCATGAGCCATAGGCTTTGGGCCTGGGCAGGATCTGTAGCCCACAGCCTTTGAGTTCTTGACCTATCCTCTGAGATTTTTAGGGTTCAAAGTAGAAAGACTTGGTCCCCTGCTTCCAGTCCTATCTGGTACCCACTCCCTCATCTTTTCTGGCTAACCATTGTGCTTCCCAGTAATTATGTTTAACATTTTCTCACATAGGGATTAACAACATAGGCTCTGGACTCAGAGTGCCTAGGTTTAAATCTTGACTCCACCACCTCCTTAGTAGTTATTCAGTCTCTTTGTGCCTCAGTTTCTTCATTTGTAACTAACACCTATCTCAGAAGCCGTGGGAAGGATTAAGGGATGTGATAGGAAGCACTCACTGACTCTTGGATATCATTATTTATGGTTGTTACTTGGTGTCTCTGGCTGCATTTTGTTTGTCGCTGCTGGTTCCGTGACTGTCCATCAGTGTGCCTTGCGCCTGTTCTGTAGATTTTATTTCACAGTCTCTTGGTTTTGGTGGGTGGCACACTGCCCTGAGAGGATGGGGACGTGAGAAAGATTCTGAGCCCTTTAGTTGTCTCTAGTGCTACATCATGATTGTCATCATTGCTGTAAGCCAAAAAGTATATGAGACAAGTCTTACTCAATTTAGAACATGTATTTTGCCAAAGTTAATGACGCACCCATGACACAGCCTCAGGAGGTCCTGACAACATGCGCCCCGGGGTGGTCGGGGTACAGCTTGCTTTTATACATTTCAGGGAGACATGAGACATCAATCAATATATGTAAGATGTACATTGGTTCAGTCCAGTAAGGTGGAACAATTCGAAGTAGGGGGTTTCCAGGCCAGAAGTAGATAAGAGACAAAAAGTTGCAGTCTTTTGAGTCCTTGATCAGCCTTCCGATGAATACACAATTGTGTCTGGCTCAGTGAACCTACATTTTTACGTGAACAATAGGGCAGAGGAAGCAATCAGTTATGCATTTGTCTCAAGTGAGCCTCAAAGGGATGACTTTGAGTTTGTGTCTGTCCTTTTTCCATAAGGAGTTTTCTCGCGGGCAAATGGTGAGGGAGGGATGTAGGTTGTTATCTTTGTAGCTATCTTATTTAGCAATAAAACAGGAGGCAAGTTTGCCTGACGTAGTTTCCAGCTTGACTTTTTCCTTGGCTTAGTGATTTAGTTTCCTTTCGCATTGCTAACTCAATCACAGGAGACAGGAGTGTGAACTGAATATAGCAAGAATGCCAAAGTATGTAACAGTTTCCTTAGTCATGATAGAGACTGAGAAACATCGGCTCACCTAAGCTTTGAGGTTAGCTGGAGTCCAGTAGAAGAGTTATAACTAAACACTGGCCCTTGTCTGTTTCCACTTGTGCCCATTCATTGAAGCTGAGATTGGACTGAGTACATTTGTGACTATGTACCAGTAGCAAAGGTGATAGAAGTCAAACATAGCTCTTAGTTTTAGGGGCTCATGGCCTCCTGGGGAAGGGACCCATCAGGCATAGCTGGCAGTCATGGCCAGGGTTGTGGAAGCCCAGGTCCAGGCAGGGTTCAAATGCTCCTCAGAGTGTGCCAGCAGCCTCAGCCTCAGGGAGAGCTTGTCAGGGGATGTTTTACAAGGTCTCCAAAAGCCTCTTATGCCCTCCAGAGTGAAAAGCACGGCATTGTTGATGAAGTCTTGTGGCAAATATGCAAGGCACGTGTGGATATTTCTTTCTCTTGGAGGCTTACAAGGTAGCCCCGGTCTCCTGGTGCAGTGTTTATAGCATAGTCCACTGGGACTGCCGCTCTGACAAAGACTGTGTCACTACTTTGTGGAATGTTATTTTAGAACTTCCAGAATGCCTCAGTAAATCCTGACTGCCATGTAACTGTGTACTGTGCTGCTGAGCTCTTAACATGAAGCAGCAGTAGTGACCCTGGCGGGCCAGGCTGACGTGCGTGGGAACAGTGGGAGTGACCCTGGCTGGGAAGCAGGGAGGCCTGGATATTGTTTCTCCTGGCTCTGTGTCCTGCCATTCTCGTCCCTGTGCTCAGAGCTCTCAAGCACCCACGATGGCCTTCTCAGGCCGAGCGCGCCCCTGCATTATCCCAGAGAACGAAGAAATCCCCCGAGCAGCCCTTAACACTGTCCACGAGGCCAATGGGACCGAGGACGAGAGGGCTGTTTCCAAACTGCAGCGCAGGCACAGTGACGTGAAAGTCTACAAGGAGTTCTGTGACTTTTATGCGAAATTGTGAGTGTCTCCTCTCCTGGAGTGCCCTCTTCCAGGTCCAGCGTTCTTGGCTGTCTGTTCAGGAGCCATCCTGAGCTGGCCCATACAATTTTATTGACTGGACTTTGGGTGGGAGTTTTCCAGGGTGGTAGGGCTCCGAGGGGCTCGCAGCGCAGCATGTTTAGGGAGACAGGAGACTGCCTTGTCGGTAAGACATGCAGCGACACGCAGATGGGAGGGAGGTGCTGCCCTCACTGTGAGAGCATGGCGGCCCCGTCTTTAGTAGGTTCCTGATCACTTGGTAACTAACTGCATTTTCATCATGTCGTCCGCAAGGGAGGCTTAGTGTTGTCATTGTCAGTAATTACGTTAGAAAAATTCTGCAGTCTAAAACGGCCCAAAGATAAGGGGCAGATGGGTTGGGACAGTGAAAAAAACAAATTACAGACTGTTGGTAAAGATAAATATTTTTGTTTTGTGTAATAATCAACAATTTGAAGTAAGCTAACTGGGTTTCTTAATTGAATGAATAAATATATATATCGTATAAGTAGCAGCTCAATACACATATAGAACATACTGTTAACTCTAAAAAGCTAGGCTAATTTATATTATTAAATAGGTTTTAGCAAACACATTTTTTTAAGAAAATGCAGAGTAGCCATCAGACCAGCTCAAGATTATTGACCTCATTCAAAGTTGTGAGCTTAGAATTACTGCGTATCCCAAATTTGTCAAGTAAGAGTTAATGAGAATTTAACTGACCCGGTTCTCTACTTCCATAATCCGTGCTCTGTGGTACAGATGTCACTTATCTTCACAACTCACAGAGAGCTCTGTTTGACAGTAACTGGGGAATTGTAATAATACAGTAACCAATATTTTGACTGCTTGGTGAACTCTCAAGAAGATTTTTGGATTTATACATTGCTGCATTTTAGGACCAAACAATTTGTTTTGCATACTTGAATAATGGAAAGCAAGATATCAGTTGTGCTGTGTGAGGTTGATTTGTGGAAGTAGATCAGCTTCATCAGTCATGCCTGTCCTGACTTTTACATATAAATATCTATCTATCTATCTATAGATAGATAGATAGATAGATAGATAGATAGATACTCCCCCACTTACATATTTCTTGTCATCAACACTTTTTACTGAAAATCTTTTTCTGAAAAATTAGCTAATTAATTATAACTAATCTGATGGTAGCTATAACTGTCACTAATGACTTTTTTAAAGTAATTTCTGTCATCTGTAGTATTAAATATAAAATCAACATTTAAAAAAAAAAACAACAGGCATTGTGCCAGAGGGTCAAAGGCAAAAGAGGAAAGGGAAGCCTGACTGGTTCAGGGGGCAGCAAGGTGATTGTTCTGTTTCCTTTTTCCCCCTGCTTGTGATGAAAAGGAATACTTCTTGCAAAATATATATTATATTACCTCTAAAACTAGCGGATTTTTCCTGTGTGTGGGAAGTAACTGTGTGCTTGTTTTTATGATGTATCTACCTATTTCCTAATTCTACTTGAGTATTTGAACTTAAGTAGAAACAATCTATATTATAATGAGTTTAAACTGGTCAGTGATAATCAAACGTTTTAATCTAAGGGCCTCTTAACACTCTTAAAAACTATTAAGGTTCCCAAAGGACTTTCATTTATCAGTATTTACCATATGAGAAATTGAAACTGGGAACAATTTAAAATACTTATTAATTCATTTAAAAACAACACTAAGCTTATTACGTGTTAATAATAGTAAATGTTAATATTAATGTTGTCATGAAAAATAACTGTTTTCCAAAATGGAAGAGGCTTAGAGGAAAGGATGGCATTGCGTTACATTTTTGCAAATCTTGTTAATAAAAGTTTCTCAGATTTGTTTCTGCATTCAACCTATTACAGTCTATTGTTTTAGATGAAATATATGAAGAAAACATGGCCTCCCACAGAGATGTAGTTGGAAAAGAGGACTTTTCTGCCTCCTGAAAGGGTCATGGTGACGCTGACATTTTGAAAACGACTGATTTAGGTGATAATGATCCAGGACATTCTAGAATATTCTTTTTGGGCTTTTTTAGAGTCCCATTAAGATTGTTGAGGTTTGGTGAATCTTTTGAGAGGGTTTAGAATTAACAACAGAGCCATATATATGAGCAGCATCTTACGGTTTCCAAATAGTTTAAAATACTTTTTCCTCAGAACAATAATGAGAACAGCACTGAGAATGACCAGGCAGATGTGGAGCTTACCGTGCTCCTTCATCCAGGAATACCTGTGGACTTTGGTCAGAAAGAGGGAAGAAGCACAAACCCCTCCAGAGTTTTGTAAAACTGCCACAATCATCTGGCTTACGGCAAAGCTGGGCGATGATGAGAATTTTACAGATTTTTTCCCCAACCTACAGTAACTTTGAAATGACAGAATGGAAATTCATTTTAACATGAGGCTTGGGCCAGGTTTACTGAGCAGTGAAGCTGCTTCCCTTTCTCCCTTCCTTCCTTTTTTTTGTGACATTTTAATTCTGCATTCAAACCTGTTAAATAAAGTTGAGCTTTGACGGGTCTGAAGTGATGAACATGGTGTGTCTGCACGCAGTTATTTATGGCAAGGCTACAAAACAGGATGACTGTTTTGTGAAACATTTTGGGGAGAAAGGCAAAGGGAAAGTTGTCTTCCAGAGGTGTGGAGGGGAGTGAAGCAAGTAAGTGGAACCACTTTTGCTAAGGAAACAGCAAAACTTGGAAACCAATAGGGGCAAGGCAGTTAGTTACTCTGTTTATAGAATGGAGACTGTCTACCTGTCTGTCTCACTAGTTGGTTGTGAAAATTCAGGAGAACATTGGTAATAACTTCATGAAGTACATTGATTAAATATCTGGAAGGTCAGAAGCTGTACCAGGGAACTAGACACACAGGTGTAGAGCTCATGCTGTGGGTAGGCCTGTGAAAATAAACTTGCCAAAAATTGAAGGACCGCTTGGCATGGGGGACCTTCTCCATTTCTAGGACTTTTAAGAAATAAATAGGTCTTCACGTGAAATCCTCATCTAATTGTATGCCTGTCAAAGCCATGTTGCTTTTCTTTTCCTTTTTCTTTTTTGAAATGGAGTTTTGTTCTTGTTGTCCAGGCTGGAGTGCAGTGGCAAGATCTTGGCTCACTGCAACCTCCGCCTCCCAGGTTCAAGTGATTCTCCTGCCTCAGCCTCCCAAGTAGCTGGGACTACAGGCATGTGCCACCACACCCGGCTAATTTTGAATTTTTACTAGAGACGAGGTTTTACCATGTTGGTCAGGCTGGTCTCGAACTCCTGACCTCAAGTAATCCACTGTCCTCAGCCTCCCAAAGTCCTGGGATTACAGGCGTGAGCCACTGCAGCCATCTGCCATGTTGCTTTCCTTCTTCCAAACTGCACAGTGGTTAGAGCCTGAGATTATTTATTGAATGCCTTCTGTGTTTTAAGGTGTAGTGAGGCTACCGATGGGGGAATTTCCCACGTCACCAGCCGCAGCAGTGGTTACTTGACAACCTGGTGTCACTTTCCTAACCTATGAAACGTGGTGGTATCCCTGTCATGTCCTTTCAAGTGTTTGAAATTCGTGGTGTAATCTGTTTTGATTGACAGTGTGATTTTATGAGCAGGGGACCTGGATTTCTAGTCCTGCGCCTTCCTTTAACTAATTAGCCTTGTGATGTTGGTCTGATCCTTCCATCTCTGTGAACCTGTTTTGCCATCTGTAAAATGATCTTTATTATGTAAAATTCTGTGATTTTAAGATACATTTTATAATATTGGTAATCAGGTTCGTCTTACCGATTAGGTAACAGGACTGGGGCATCTTGGCTGGTTTTAAGGCTACTTAAGCAGTTGTTTTCCACAGGATTTAATCAAAGGGATAACCCGTGTCTAGGTTATATGACATGGCATTTAGTTGACATGCATTTTAGAT
Organism: Homo sapiens; assembly: GCF_000001405.40. Classification (NCBI taxonomy): domain Eukaryota; kingdom Metazoa; phylum Chordata; class Mammalia; order Primates; family Hominidae; genus Homo; species Homo sapiens. The sequence continues at coordinate 108,659,188 of NC_000002.12, forward strand.
TCTGTTCTCAGAAGGGAAAGAAACTGGCCTTGAGATGTTGACTTTTGGATATTTTAATTAAGCTACTTATTAAGCTATAAACCCAATTCCTTGAGAGCAGCTTGTAACTTTCATCTCTGTCTCAGGTGCCTAACACATAGTAGGCACTCACTCATAGTATATTCAGCAAGAAGAATGCCAAAAATGTTAGAAACAGAATCAAAGTGGGACACCCTTACAGAGCCTCAGATGCTACGGTAAAGAGGCTGAAGAGTCCGAGTTCAGAGCATGTAAGGAACAAGCAAGAAATTGAGCTTTTTAGATAAAATAGGGTTTTTGTGATCAGATAGAATTTGCTGCTCGGTTCTTAGTGTTGTTTGATCTTCGATCTAAGAAGTGGCTGACGGTCTGCAACCTGCTGTTCTTTGCGTGTTACAGCAACATGGCCAACGCCCTGGCCAGCGCCACTTGCGAGCGCTGCAAGGGCGGCTTTGCGCCCGCTGAGAAGATCGTGAACAGTAATGGGGAGCTGTACCATGAGCAGTGTTTCGTGTGCGCTCAGTGCTTCCAGCAGTTCCCAGAAGGACTCTTCTATGAGGTGAGTTGCACTGGACAAAAGCAGGGAGGTGCCATTCCCCGCCCTCCCGCTTCCTGCCCTTCTTTCCTGAGGCCTCCTCCTTCATGTTCAGTTTCATGATGAAAGACTGAAGTGCCACATGCATGCCAGGTATTTGATAGCTGTGAGGTCAGAGGTGGCATCTCTATGGCCCATATGGGCAGTGGCATGATTGGGACACCCTCACAGACCCTGCATTTGTATTGCTCAGTTCATCGTCCTATTTCAGAACCCAGAGTCCCTTATGACAGAGCCTTTCAGACCTAAGCAGCTCAGCTCCACATAGAAAATTCTTTCTGAGTCTTCAGCCACACTCAGGCCCCCCACACACCTCACCCACTCCTGTCTCTGTGTCTTTCCCCCTTCTCAGAGGACCACTGGACCTGCTCTAAAGGAGAGCGTGTGGTGTACGTCACCCCCTCCACAACTTCCCAGCCTCGAGCCAGGAGCGTCCATGCATTTATTTTCTAAGGGAAAAAAAAATAAGTATTTTAGGGAACTATACTGTCTACATTTAGCTCTCCTGGGTGTCTATGTTCTTTTCTAAATATTTGTTTTTCTTGATCCTCGGGTGTTAGCATATGGTCTGCACTTCCTTTGTAGTGTATTTGGTATTTTCAACATTACCGAAACCCCTTTCTTGTTGTTTTTTATTGTTTTGTTTTGTTTGAGACAAAGTCTCATTGTATAGCCCAGGCTAGAGTGTAGTGGCATGATTATAGCTCATTGCAGCCTTGAACTGCTAAGCTCAAGTGATCCTCCAGCCTCAGCCTCCTGAGTAGCTGGGGCTACAGGCACGTGCCACCATGCCCGACTAATTTTATTTTTCATAGAAACGGAGTCTCCCTATGTTGCCCAGGCTGGTCTCAAACTCCTGGGCTCAGGTGATCCTCGGCCTCCCAAAGTGCTAGGATTACAGGTATGAACCACCATGTCTGGCCTACTGAAACTCCTTTCTCACAGTAAACATGTATTTTGGGGGATAATCTAGAAATGCTGACCCCAGGCTATAAATGAAGGTGAGAGTGAGGTGTATGTGTGTGTTAGATCAAATAGGTAATTTACTTTTACCACCTTACTTCTTACATATTTGTACGTAAATGCACATCTATATATGATAATATATGTATATAGAATTATTTTATAGCTGGAGATGGCTGCTCTTTGATTTCTTCTTTTGCCTAGCAGATTTTTATGTTTCCCTGTTATATAAACCATGCTTGAGCAAGGAAAGGTAGTTGACAAAGATCATTGGTAAGTCCATTGTATGCCACTCCGGCAGCATTTTCCCATAGAAACAAACATGAGAGTGGGGTTCCCAGGCCAGCCCACAGAAAAGCTGTTTACCCCATCATGGGTACATGAAATACAGGGCTAGCAAGTATGTAATAATGTCAACTTGGAAACAGCTTTAAGGGTTTGGGTTAAGGAATGCTATTTTATTCACTAGCACACATTTTTTTAAGCTCCTATTGTGTCCCCAAAACACACATTCCCAACAACAAAAACCTTAGCAGTGGAAAGAGGTTTTCGTTTTCTCTTTTCTTCTAGTTCTTTTTTTTTTTTTAACTTTATTTCTTTAGGCCTCCAAACATGCTCTATGTATCTTCTTACAGTTCTTCCTGTTCTTCCTGACTCCTTCCCTGGGCAGTGGGAATCTTTTGGGCAAGGATGATGGATTTAGGGATGGGCAAATGACAGTTGTGAAGATGGACAGGAGCAGGAGAGGCCAATGTACCACAGCAGAAGAGGGCAGGAGAGGAGCTCCAGAGGTGTGAATGGAGGCATCAGGCATAGAGACCCCCTACTGAGGCTATAGGTAGATTGTGATTAGCTGGTGAGGAGAAGGAATAGGAAATCCCTAGGTGCTGCGGCAGCAAGAAGAGAGGGCGTTTGCTGGTGGTAGTGGTGGTGAGCCATGACTCAATTCAGTTAAAGGGACCTGAGGACCTACTTCTACCTCGGCACCATGGAGGCCTGCGGGGACTATGGCAAGGAAGGAGGTGAGACTCCCAAGGCACATTGAAGGGAATTCTGGAAAGCTGGCTTGGAGAGAGCATGGTCTTCTCACTATATGAATCCCTTCTGTATCCCTCCCTTCTTTTTTTTCTCTCCTGTAGTCCAGAGAGGTTGAAATGTCTGATAACATAGCAGGTTTGCGACATGAAAGAGATGAGAGCCTAGCTGGTCTCCTAGTATCTAATACAATATTCTTTCCCTTACATATTCTTTTTAAATATAAGATATTTTTATTGAAATGGGCAATTATGACAAAGGCCTTAGGAGAGCTCGGTCCAGGGGAGCAATAGAGAAGAACTCAGAGAAAAAGACAGGCTTTGTTTTTCCAGACATTTTCCTTATATCCCTGGCTTGCTCTTTCCCCTGTGAGCACCCTGTAGCTCCAGCCCTCCGTCACCTTCTTTCTCCCATTTTGCCTGTGACTTAGGAACGAACATGATGGTTAAGCTACCTTCATTAAGCAGCATGACCGCTTCCTGAGCTCCTGCTGCCGCATTTAGGCCCTGTCAGCTGTGAGGCCACTGGTGCTGAGTCAGAGGGAAAAGCTCAGAACAGCCTTGAGCAGTGAAGAATAAAGTGTGACTCATCTCGTCCTGCCCACCCCTCACACTGGACTATAAATACCCTCCCTGGGTCTGTGTGCTGTTATTCCAAAAGATGCGATGAATACCCAGAACTAGGCTATTCATGGGCTGTTGCCCAGTTCAAGATCTGTTGGGTCCTGAGGAAGATTACTATTTTGGCTAAATTGTTTATCATTAAAACCAGCCCAGGGATGTGTAAACCTGCATCTGGAGAATAAGACATTTCTTTTTGGTTAAATGATATTAGAGAAAAAAACTATCCAAGACTGCTAACAAATAATCTTCACTTTCAGTTATATCCAGCAATAAGTTGTTTTCCAGAAAAGAAAGCTTGGAAACTTACCCAGTTTGCCTTCCATTTGGGACATGACTGATGTGCTTCAGTCTTTGTATAATAAATGCATCTTCGCCACTCTATATCTTTGTTATTGCTTTTGTCTCGTTATCAGAACAACTTCCTTCCCTGATTTCCACAGCCTCTATTTTTTCTTTTCTCTAGAAGACTAGTTAGGGAGACTTAGAAATGGGGTCTGTGCACTCACTTCCCCTTGAAAATGTGATTTACTTTTATGGTAGAACTTTCTGGTACTTTGAATTAAATAGGACATTCTTCCCTTTGGCCACAGAGGCAAGTATAGAATGAGATCCTTGTTTCCTAACCACTTACCAGAACATATATCTGAAGAAATGAGCACCAGTATTTCTGTCTCAACTACAGTTTCTCTTTTTTTTTCTTTCTTTTCTTTTTCTTAAGACAGGGTCTTACCGTGTTACCCAGGCTGGAGTGCAGTGGCACAATCATGGCTCACTGCAGCCTTGACTTCCTGGGCTCAAGCAATCCTCCCACCTCAGCCTCCCTAGTAGCTAGGACTACAGGCACACACTACCACAGCCAGATAATTAAAAAAATTTTTTTTGCAGAAACAGGGTCTTGCCCTGTTGCCCAGGCTGGTCTCGAACTCCTGAGCTCAAGTGATTAGATGCCATTTACCCAGGGAAATACCCTTTCAACCCAGAGGCCCTAACGCTAACTATAGTGGTTCCTAAATCTTTGTGACATCCAGCATTATCTCCAGTAAAAGAAGTATTTTAATTTTTCCCATAAGAAAATACTTTTGGGAGTGAAGCGGAGCCAACAGTTACAAGAGTGATTTAAGTCCAGGAAGTATTGCAGAGTGGGATGGACTGAACCAAGGACTAGGGACCTGGTGTGCAGCTGATTAACCCTGACTTAGTACATGCTCAGGGCTGGGTTCTTTGTTGGTGCTTCACATTTCTCTCTCCTTAGTTTGGATTTCACAAATGTGTCCCTTTTTTCCCATCACAAAATGCATTAACAGTAAAGACCCATTTTTTTAATTTTTTATTTTTATTTTTATTTTTTTTGAGACAGAGTTTCACTCTTGTTGCCCAGGATGGAGTGCAAATGTGCGATCTTGGCTCACCGCAACCTCCACCTTGCGGCCTCGAGTGCTTCTCCTGCCTGAGGCTCCCAAGTAGCTGGGATTACAGGCAGGCGCCACCATGCCCAGCTAATTTTGCATTTTTATTAGAGACGGGGTTTCTCCATGTTGGTCAGGCTGGTCTCAAACTCCCGACCTCAGGTGATCCGCTCGCCTCGTTCTCCCAAAGTGCTGGGATTACAGGAGTGAGCCACTATGCCTGGCCAGGAAAGACCCGTTTATGATGAGTAGTCTTGTAGCAAGATGTTTTACAAAGAGGTTTCTTCACTCATTTACTCTGATTATTCAGGAAGGCAGAAACTGAAATGGAAGACCCTTCCAACCAGCACATCTGTTTATCTGTGGATCCACTCACTTCAAGGCAGTTTATGACAAACCAGTATAAAGTACCAAAGGAAGATTTGCAACTTTGCACTTGACTGGAAATGAGACTTTCAGCTGGTTTCCGGTTCTGAGCTTACTTGAAAGCAGCTCAGAATAATTGTTTCTTCCCCTAAAGGGAATATTTACAGAACTCCAAAACTTAAAACAGTTAGAGCCATTCTTGGAGCTCATCTTCCCCCACACAGAGCGACCCATTTCCACAAGCGGTGGGACCCCAGGGTTCTTAAGGCATTTTGTTTATAAACAATTTGGACCATACTAATTTGGACCATTAATATTTCTAACAGGCTTATTGTATTCGTTGTTTAAATCAGTTTGGGGATGTAATGTGTAGTTACCTAGAAAGGCTATATTTATAGAAATTTAAATCTTCCCAATTTATGATTCTTGATTTTTAAAAAATTTTATATCATAGAGTTTTACTTTGGATCAACTTCTGGCCTTTCTCTCAGGCTCAAAAGTTGAGCTATACTATGTTTGATCATTTCTACACACTGTAGAAAAGAGGCAGCTCATTATAGCAGAAGTTCTCCACCTGGAATTAACAATAGTTGTGACACTGGAGAAGCATAGCCCAGAGTGCAAGAGATTTGCAGGATGAATGGTGGCAAGGAAATCTATTTCTAAGTCCTCCTATTCTGGTTTTGAAGGACTCAATTTCTGGATCCTTTTCTCTTTGCCTGAAAACATATTTATATTCACAATAGTACTTCTCTCACATTGCAAAAGAAAGAGATCCCAAATCTTACTATCATTAATTGCTCCAGGATACCCATCAAAAAGGATTAGTTAGGGAGTGCTGAAACCCATAAGGCTCAGTCTTTCCCTGCCTTATGTATTTTCTCATTAAGTAGAAGCTTGGCTTTAGGAACTGTGTTGGATATTCTGTATTCAGGTACAGATATGCACGCCCCTTAACCACAGGGAAATGTCTGAGAAAGGTGTCATTAGGCAAGTTCATTGTTGTGCAAACATCAGAGAATGTATTTAACAAACCTAAATGTCATAGCCTACAACACATCTAGTCTATATGGTATGGCCTATCCCTCCTAGGCTACAAACCTGTACAGCATGTTACTATACAGAATACTGCAGGCAGTTGTAACACAATGGTGAGTATTGTGTATCTAAAAGTATCCAAGCAGAAAAAGTACAGTAAATATACCATATACCATGGTAGTATATATGGTCCATTGTTGACAGAAATGTTATCTGGCGGATGACTGCATATGCTGAATTTAGAGACGTAGGCAGTAGTTACAACAGCTTTCCTTTTTAATTTATTTTTATTTTTTATTTATTTATTTTTTTTGAGACAGAGTTTCGCTCTGTCGCCCAGGCTGGAGTGCAGTGGTGTGATCTTGGCTCACTGCAACCTCCACCTCCTGGATTCAAGCGATTCTCCTGCCTCAGCCTCCTCAGTAGCTAGGAATCCAGGCGCATGCCACCACGTCTGGCTAATTTTTGTATTTTTAGTAGAGACAGGTTTCACCATGTTGGTCAGGCTGGTATCGAACTCCTGATCTCATTATCTGCCCACCTCGGCCTTCCAAAGTGCTGAGATTACAGGCATGAGCCACTGCGCCCAGCCAACAGCTTTCCTTTTAGGACTTAGCCTTTTTCATCCCCTGACTAATTTCAGAAGAATTTATCCATTTTAAGGGAAAGCTCTGGGAGAGCAAAGCAAAGAACATTGGTAAGAAATTGTGAATGAGGTGGATAGAAAACACAAACCATTTTCCCTCTGCTTGCACACCACAACAATCAACACAAGTTCTTCTGTGACCAAACGTGTGGGAACTTCACCACACGCCAAGCAAGCAATCGGTTCTGCAGTGGACACCAGCTGGGCGTTCTCCAATTCAATTCCCACACTATCTACCTGGAGACCACAGACTGAGGGGCAGCCCCAGGACTGTCCTCCTTCTGATGCCAACTGAAAGCCCCAGATTGCTTCACCTGTCCTTCTGGCTGACATGCTCTGTAAATTGGGAATCCCACAGCTTCCTCTTCTGGTTCTATTAATTTGCTAGAGCAACTCACAGAGCTCAGGGAAACACTTTTACTGGTTTATTATTAGTATTATGTTTATTTGTTTGTTTTGAGACAAAGTCAAGCTCTGTCACCTAAACTGGAGTGCAGTGGAACAATCACAGTTCACTGCAGTCTCCATCTCGTGGACTCAGGCAGTCTTCCTGCCTCAGCCTCCCCAGTAGCTGGGACTATAGGCACATGCTACCATGCCTGGCTCTACCAGTTTATTCTAAACAATATTACCAGCCAGGCACGGTAGAGCACACCTGTAATCCTAGCACTTTGAGAGACTCAGGTGGGAGGATTGCTTGAAGCCAGGAGTTCAAGAGCAGCCTGGACAACATAGTGAGATCCTGTCTCTACAAAAAATAACAAAATTAGCCAGGCATGATGGCACACACAGTCCCAGCTACTTGGGAGGCTGAGGTGGGAAGATCATTTGAGCCTAGGAGTTGGAGGCTACAGTGAGCTATAATCATGCCACTGCACTCCAGCCTGAAAAAACAGGGCAAGACCGTTTCTGAAAAAAAAAATAATAATAATAAAATAAATTTTTAAAAAGGATATTACAAAGGATACAGCTGAAGAGATACGTAGGGTGAGGTATATAGGGGAAGGTGGTCAGAGCTTCCACACCTTCTCTGGCTGCACCACCCTCTGGGAAACTACACTGTGTTCAGCTATCCAGAAGCTGTCTGCACCCTGTCCTTTTAAATTTTTACGGAGGCTTCATTATGTAGGCATGATGAATTAAACACTTGGCCACTGGTGATCAACTTAACCTTCAGCTCCTCTCTGCCTTTCCTGAAGGCTGGAGGGTGGGGCTGAAAACCCCAACCATCCGATTCTGCCTTGGTCTTTCTGGTAACCAGTCCCATCCTAAATCTACCTAGGGGCTGCCAGTCAGGAGGCACCTCATTAACATATACAAAGACATCACTTTTAAGATTCCAAGGATTTTAGGAGCTGTATGCCAAGAAACTGGGAGGAAGACCAAATATGTATTTCACAATGTCACAGTGAGGGTATGCCATGAGCTAGAACAAACAGACCAAAGCAGTATCGCTTTTTGACTCTTGGGAGGCCCTAAGAGGTTAAGCAACTTGCCCAAGGCCACACAATGAGTCTTTCAGCCAGATTTTGAACGCAGGCAGTCTGGATCCATGGTCAGTGTTCTTGACTCCTACCTGTCTTGTTAAAAGATGTTTCCAAATTATAGTTAATCCTAATTTTATTTTATCATATACAGTGATTATATTTTCAACCTTTTTTAAAAAAAAAAAAAATATATATATATATATATACTGCTGGGCTACTTTTTAGTGTTTTTATGCAATATACATCTTTCTCTTTCATTTAATACAGAATAAAAGTTGATCATTTCTAACTAATGGAGTTATTTATGAGTTTTTACACAGTCGTCTTATGGTATCCACAGAGGATTGGTTCCAGGACACCCCCTCCACCCCACTCCCACCTCACCCTCAGAGCTTACCAAAATCTTTGAATGCTCAAGTCCCTGATATAAAATGGTATACTTACTTGCATATAACCTATGCACATCCTCCTGTATACTTTTCATTATCTCTAGATTACTTAAACAATAGCTAATAAAATGTAAATGCTATGTACATAGTTGTTACACTGTGTTTTTAAATTTGTATTATTTTTATTTTTCTATTGGTATTTTTTATTGTTTGGGGTTTTTTCTTCCACATATTTTTTTATCCTTGGTTGATCGAATCCAAGGATGCAGACCCAGCAGATACAGAAGGCTGTTTTGTGGTCATTTTGTTTTTTTGTTTCTAATTGACATAATAATTACACACATGGGGCACAGTGTGATGTTTCAATACATGTATACATTGTGTAAAAATCAAATCAGGGTATTTAACGTATCCATCACCTTGTACATTTATAATTTCTTTGTCGTAAGAACATTCAAAATATCCCTTTTCTAGCTATTTTGAAATAGCTATTTTGAAATATTTTGAAATGCAATATATTATTAACCAAAGTCACTCTACTGTGCAATAGAACACTAGAACTTATTCGTCCTAACTGTAACTTTGTACCCATTGACCATCTTCTCCCCATCCCCTCCACTCCATTCTCCCCAGCCTCCAGCAACCTCTATTTTACTCTCTATTTCTATGAAATCAACCTCTTTAGATTCCACATATGAGTGAGATCATGTAGTATTTGTCCTTCTGTGCTTATTTCACTTAATGTAATGTCCTACAGGTTCATCCATGTCGCCACAGATGACAGGATCTCATTCTTTTTTATGGCCAAAGAGTACTCCGCTGGGTATATGTACCATATTTTTTTAATCCATTCATCCGCTGATGGAAAGTTAGGTTGCTTCCAAATCTTGGCTGTTGTGAATAGTGCTGCAGTAAACATGAGAGTGCAGATATCTCTTCCACATACTGATTCCATTTCCTTTGGATATATTCCCAGTAGTGAGATTGCTGGATCATATGGTAGTTCCATTAATTACTGCTAAAAGCTAAACATCAGATTTTTATACATATAGATGGCATACATTCATCAGAAATATATCGTGCTTCATAAATACTTGTACTTTTGGCTGCACATTATAATGTAGTATGGCATAGTATCGAGTAATAGCATATCAATTTATTCTCTTCTGTTAATAAACTTTAAAAACCAAATACATTAATCTGGGCAAGGTAGTGTGTGCCTGTAATCCCAGCTACTCAAGAGGCTGATGTAGAAGGATCACTTGAGCCCAAGCGTTCAAGACAAGCCTGAACAACATAGCAAGAACTAGTCTAAAAACAAAAAGATACATTAAATATATTACAGCTTATTCATTTGAATTAAAAAGTGAAAGCTGGACATAGTAGCTCACACCTGTAATCCCAGCACTTTGGGAGGCCAAAGGCGGGAGGATCACTTGAGGTCAGGAGTTCGAGACCAGCCTGGCCAACATGGTGAAACCCCATCTCTACTAAGAATACAAAAATTAGCTGGACATGGTGGTGGGCGCCTGTAATCCCAGCTACTCAGGAGGCTGAGGCAGGAGAATCGCCTGAACCCAAGAGGCAGAGGTTACAGTGAGCCAAGATTGTACCACTGCACTCCAGACTGGGCAACAGAGCGAGACTCTGGGAAAAAAAAAAAAGTTATTTTTTCTAGGAGAAAATCTGCTTTGGTTGGTTCAACAGTAGGAACTGACTTTGCCAGTTAAGCTGTGGTAGATATGTTCACTAAATTGGATGCACTAAATCTATAGCCATAATTTGAGGAAATTGAGTTGCCAACTGATACATTAAAAATGGATATCATTAAAAATGGATTTTAATAATCAAACAGTGTATGACTTTTGGCATATAACTTGTAAGGAGCTCGAAGACTCAAGGGGAGACATTACTATAACATTTCTCACAAGTTAGTAATGTGAAAAAGGCTTCTTAGCATTTCTCTATTAAAAAAAAAAAAGGAACACCCAAAATAGAAAATAGACCTAGAATTAATATTGAACCTGAGTCTTCTAGTGGAAAGCCATATTGATGCATGAGATACATGAAATAATTGTGGGAGGAAAGGGCAGCCCTACTCATTTCACTATCACTAAGATATGCTTTTCAAGTAAACATAGTATAAAAAAATTAATATTTGTGTCTTGCTTGTCCTATACTAATCATTCTAATGATAATACAGAAGAAAATAAATGTTAACCTTTACAGCCTTATGGATTCAGAAAGCACATTTTAAAATTTCATGTTATATATATTTTTTAATTGCAGAAAAGTATGATAGGGTGATCAGTTAAAGACAAGTACAAAAATATACTAGGATAAAATTGGAGCACATAAAATGAAAACAGTTCAAGAAATGAAAGATGTAAAAATCTTGGCTGTTAAGAGAATGTTTTTTAATGGATTTTGGTCATTTTAAAATGTGCTAGGGCTGAGCTACTGGCTAACGCCTGTGGTCCCAGTGCTTTGAGAGACTGAGGTAGGAGGATTGCTTTGGGCCAGGAGTCCAAGAACTAGCCTAGGCAACATAGCAAGACTCCCATTTAAAAAAATAATAAAATACAATGTGCTAAAATATTTGCCCTTTGTAAATATTTGAGGTTACAGTGAGAATTACAGATATCGACCTGAAAAATGTGGGAGGAGAGTTGTATGTATGTGCATATTTTCTGGAGGGAGAGGTGATCCATAGCTTTCATCAGATTCATTAAAGGCAGGGTATTTGAGCCAGAAAACAATTCAGCACAGTCAGAGGCCAGGTCACCAGTCCCTGTAGGTGTACTGTTCACTCTAGCCTCTACTTATTCCATATGTCTTTCCTGTACCAACATGTAGATGTATGGATGGTGCAAAAGAGTATCTGCTTTTTAAAATCCCAGTAGAGTTATAAATTCTTAGAGTAGAACTCTTAGTTTAGAAACATCTTTCCTGTATATCTTCATCAAATAATTATATTTCTCCTGTGATTGTTTCGTGTTTGTAAGTTGGTGGTACCCTCTCTTTCAGTTTGAAGGAAGAAAGTACTGTGAACATGACTTTCAGATGCTCTTTGCCCCTTGCTGTCATCAGTGTGGTAAGTTTTACTGCTAAATGTCAAGTAAAAAGTAAGTTTCCGGCCAGGCGCGGTGGCTCACACCTGTAATCCTAGCACTTTGGGAGGCGGAGGGAGGAGGATCACCTGAGGTCAGGAATTCGAGACCAGCCTGGCCAACGTAGGGAAACCCCGTCTCTACTAAAAATACAAAAATTAACTGGGCATGGTGGCAGGTGCCAGTAATCCCAGTTATTCAAGAGGCTGAGGCAGGAGAATCGCTCGAACCCAGGGGGCAGAGGTTGCAGTGAGCTGAGATTGCACCACTTCACTCCAGCCTGGGCAACAGCAAAACTCCATCTTGCGGGGAAAAAAAGTAAGTTTCCACATTACTTCAGTCATTTCACACTGGTGAAGTATCGATGGTAAAAATGGTTTTTAGTGCTCATTATGAATAACTGTTGGATACTTCATCACTCCTCTTCCCTATTGTTAACATAGAACAAGCTGGAGGAGTATCAAAACCTAGAGATCATTGATTTTTAAGGACATTTAAGGTAGAGGTATTTTGGGATGAACTAGGACTCCTATCGGGTGGCGTTTGGGAGTGTTCTTTTCCTGTGTTAACACAACCTTTACCAACTTGCTTTTGGTTTTGCCCAGAAAGAGGCAGGGAAGAAATCAGTGAGGTGCTTCAGAAGCTTAGGGATGCTTAAACATTGCTTGCACGGCGCATAAGTGATGGACTTGCTTGCACGTTGGCCACTTCACTGGTTGCTAATACCTCTGCCGGGTTTCCAGAGATTGAAGAAACTGGGTAGAATGTTCTAAAGGTTTAATGAAAGAATAAATTAAGTATGGGTTATAAGAAACTGTGCTGTAGATTTCAGTTGTCTATGTTGACAATGACCAGAAATAACCAAAAGGCATTCAAGAGAGCCTAGTAGCTCGTTTGGACAGGAAAGCTAGATTCAGAGATGACACAAAACAGCCCAAAAATGTGGCTGTTGAATCAAAAACAAAAATTCAGATGAAATAAAACTTTTTTGCTAATGTGCTTACTCTGGTAGACACATAAAAAGTTCTTCTACTGGCCACGTGTGGTGGCTCACGCCTATAATCCTAGCACTTTGGGAGGCCAAGACGGGCGGATCACCTGAGGTCGGGAATTCGACCAACATGGAGAAACCCCGTCTCTACTGAAAATACAAAATAGCCGGGCGTGGTGGCAGGAGCCTGTAATCCCAGCTACTTGGGAGGCTGAGGCAGGAGAATCGCTTGAACCCGGGAGGCAGAGGTTGCAGTGAGTCGAGATGGTGCCATTGCACTCCAGCCTGGACAACAAGAGCGAAACTGTCTCAAAAAAAAAAAAAAAAAAAAAAAGTTCCTCTATTGAGAAAGGCTTCAACGGTTTTTTTCCTCATTGTTTTTCCTTAATTACTCTCTCAGTAAATAAAGTGCCATGCCTGTTACTTAGGATGTTACTTAGTAACATCCTTTGTGTGTTGCTTTCCCACAGGTGAATTCATCATTGGCCGAGTTATCAAAGCCATGAATAACAGCTGGCATCCGGAGTGCTTCCGCTGTGACCTCTGCCAGGAAGTTCTGGCAGATATCGGGTTTGTCAAGAATGCTGGGAGGTAGGTGGATTTTCATCCTTGTCAGATGTGGGTGGACAATGTGACTGTGACAAGATCATGTGTATTCTCCATGTGGGATGTAAGGCAGTTCTGTAGGACACTGAATTGAGGGCATGGGAACTCAGACACTGCAGTGTGTTGACTGAGTGCTGCTGCTGGGAGTGGACCCTTGTGTTGCTGTTCACAGGGCATAACTGCTCCATGCATGGCTGAACTACCAATGGGGGATGTACCTAGATGGAGTTTCTTAAAAATCAGTCATATTAGGGTTGGAACACATTTTTCATGTGGCTTGATTCTGCCCCGTGAAGCACAGGAGTGATTTTTTTAAGAAATGGTTTGTTTAATTTCTTTTCAGAGATAAGGGAAGCATATTTCTTTTTAACCATTAGAAAGAACCTAAAATTTTAAATTTAAGTTTTGACTCTGTTTAGACACCTGTGTCGCCCCTGTCATAATCGTGAGAAAGCCAGAGGCCTTGGGAAATACATCTGCCAGAAATGCCATGCTATCATCGATGAGCAGCCTCTGATATTCAAGAACGACCCCTACCATCCAGACCATTTCAACTGCGCCAACTGCGGGTACTGGAATTGTTTCTTTTTTATTACACAAGCAGTGGGAATGAAAGATTACATTTATCTATATTTCTGTTACTCTAGCAAACCAAATTGTTTTTCTCCAATTTTTAGTCTAGAAAATTTTAAACCTATAGACGAGTCAAGAGAATGATATAATGAAACCTGTATACACTTAATTTCGTTTCACCAGTTGACATTTTGCCATGCTTGTGTGTATACAGTCCACATTCTCGTTTCACCCTCCTATGTATGTGTGCACGTGTGCCTGTATACGCATACCTCTAAAATTTCTCATGAGTCCCAGTATGCGTCTCCTGAGAATAAGAGCATTTTCCTATGGAACCACGATACTTTTTGTAAATTTTTTTTTGCCTTGAGACAGGGTCTCTCTCGCTCTATTGCCCAGGCTGAAGTGCAGTGGGCAATCAGAGCTCACTGCAGCCTCACCCTCCTGGGCTCAAGCAGTCCTCCCACTTCAGCCTCCAGAGTAGCTGAGACCACAGGCACACACCACCCTTCCTGACTAATTTTTTTAAATTTTTTGTAGAGATGGAGCCTTGCTGCGTTGCCCAGGCTGGTCTCAAACTCCTGGGCTCAAGCAATCTACTCATCTCAGCCTTCCAAAGTGCTGGGACTATAGGCATGAGCCACTGCACCTGGCCAGAACCACAATACTCTTATTATGCCTAAGAAAATTAGCAATAATCTTATAATATCAACTATCAGTCCATATTAAAAATATTCCCAGTAGCCCCAGAAATATTTGTCATCACTATGTTTTTCCAATCGAAGATCTAAAAACAAAAAAAGGTCTTATCTCTGTACATGCATAACTTTTACAGTTGTAATAATTAGGTATTATCTTAAAAGATGTTGTTACATTTATTTAATTTGGCTTGGTTTATATCTAAAAGAAATATATTTAATTTTTTGTCTTCAATAAGTTATGATAAATTGTTGGGCTATGAATTTTTCTCAGTTTGCTGCCTAGTATAAAAATTTAGTGGATAAAGATTCTTGGCCGGGCGTGGTGGCTCACACCTGTAATCCCAGCACTTTGGGAGGCCGAGGCGGGCAGATCACGAGGTCAGGAGATCAAGACCATCCTGGCTAACACGGTGAAACCCCGTCTCTACTAAAAAATACAAAAAAAATTAGCCGGGCACGGTGGCGGGTGCCTATAGTCCCAGCTACTTGGAAGGCTGAGGCAGGAGAATGGCAGGAACCCGGAAGGCGGAGGTTGCAGTGAGCTGAGATCGCACCACTGCACTCGAACCTGGGAGACAGAGCGTGACTCCATCTCAAAAAATAAAAATAAAAAAATATTCTTTACTGTAGTTAATGTGAACTTACTTGCTAAATTATAGTAGGGATGGAGAAGAAACAGTAAGCCAAATACTAAGAAAACAGTTTGGGCCAGGTGCAGTGGCACACGCCTGTAATCCCAGCACTTTGGGAGGCCGAGGCGGGTGGATCACGAGGTCAGGAGATCGAGACCATCCTGGCTAACATGGTGAAACCCCATCTCTACTAAGAATAAAAAAATTAGCCAGGCGTGGTGGTGGGTGCCTGTAGTCCCAGCTACTCGGGAGGCTGAGGCAGGAGAATGGCATGAACCTGGGAGGTGGAGCTTGCAGTGAGTGTGGATCGCGCCACTGCACTCCAGCCTGGGCAGCAAAGCAAGACTCGTCTCAAAAAAAAAAAAAAAAAAAGAGAAAGAAAGAAAACAGTTTGGTTGTATAAGTTCAGCCATCTCATCTTTTGTGATTGAATTATCAGTTTGTGCCTTATCTCGTTTTCTTGCCTGTCCTTCCTCTTGGGGATTCACCTCTGTCCACTTTTCATTAGCATCTCTCCTAGAGAATTACATAAAAGGGATGAAATTCAAACAAGTCCGTTTGACTAATTGGGACCATCTCTGACCAAATGTTTATTGATGCAGGAGACTGAAAATAATATTTAATTTGAGTATTTGGAGAAGGAAAATTCTGGGCATTTTGTTGTTTATGAAAATAAACCTATTAACCTATAACTATTTTCAACAGCTTGTGACAATTTAAATAATTGTTAGTAAATGGAACTAGTCTCCCAACTTCTCAGTTTGCTTGGAAAGGTCGTGTGTTAGTCTATTTTATGCGCCTGTAACAGAATACCACAAACTGGGTAATTTGTAACCAACAGAAGTTTATTTGGCTCATGGTTCTGGAGGCTGGGAAGTCCAAGATCAAGGGGCTGGCATCTGGTGAGGACCTTCTTCTGCATCATTACATAGCAGAGGGCATCACATGGTGGGGGAAGAGGAGGGGGGAAGGAAGAGAAGGAAGGAGGCTGAACTCGTCCTTTTATAAGGAACCCACCCCCTCAGTAACAGCGTTAATCCATCTGTGAGGGCAGAGCCTTCATGATGTAATCACCCCTTAGAGGTCCTACCTCTCAACACCTCAGAATTGGGGATCATGAACTTTGGGGACACAGTCACACCATAGCAGATAGTATTACTGAGTCTACCCTCAGCACTGTGATTATTCCCTGTAGCTTTTAGAGGAAGACAAATGGACTAAAATGTAATGTGATAATATAAGAAGGAAATTATGAATATGACTGGTGTGGTGGTATGTATCTGACCTAGTCTTGCATCTTATCCTTTTAAGATACAGATGTTTTGGTAGGAGTCTGAAACCTGTTCAGGCCTATTAATTCAGGTTATTCTGATCACCTCTAAAGGGGAAAAAAGAAATTTGCAGGGATTGTCATAGTAATGTCTTTAAAAACCTTCTAAAAAGTGTGCTAGCCCCATTGGTTGGCCACTTTTCTCTCTTAGTATTAAGCTGTGTGTCTTTCTCACGGACAGGAAGGAGCTGACTGCCGATGCACGGGAGCTGAAAGGGGAGCTATACTGCCTCCCATGCCATGATAAAATGGGGGTCCCCATCTGTGGTGCTTGCCGACGGCCCATCGAAGGGCGCGTGGTGAACGCTATGGGCAAGCAGTGGCATGTGGAGGTGAGTTCTAAATGGCAAAGGGTAACCAATCCTTTCAAATCTCCATGATTAAGGGGTAACCAATACTTTCAGATCTCCCATGATTCAGGGGTAACCAGTACTTTCAAATCTTCATGATTCAGGTGTCCTGGCAAGATTAGGAGACTCTAAAGATTAAACGTGGACATTTTAAAGACAATTGACTTTGCTGACAGCTAAGAATATATAATGTACACTGCTTTTGTGAATGTCTCAGTAATGATACAGGATGTGTACTTTTGCTCCTAAAGCCTTCTTGAAGCAGGAAGTGCCATGGTCTGTATCCAGCAGCAGCTCCTCCTTTATAGGTGCTACTGAGATGCTCACCTCTATTCTCTTTTTGGGCTATTATAATAGGCTATGTCTTAAAGTAACCTTCAAAGACAGACACCTGAATTACAACTGCAGAAGTATTATATTATGGGGCCACCTATGGCCAAATGAAATGACTGTCTCAAACTTTCCTTCATCTTCTCTGAAAATAGGTTAACTCTGGTATTTACTTTATTAGATATAAAATATGGCAATTCAAAAATGACCTATAGCAATTTTTTTTCAGCATTTTGTTTGTGCCAAGTGTGAGAAACCCTTTCTTGGACATCGCCATTATGAGAGGAAAGGCCTGGCATATTGTGAAACTCACTATAACCAGGTATTGACCTTAGTCACTGGATGCTAGATAGACTTTTATGAACCTAAGCTTATCAGTAGTTTAGCTACAAGGAAATCTCTTGGAAGATGTACATTGTTCAGTAGAGATTTGTTTTTAACTTTTTATTTGGGAAATAATTTCAGACTCAGAAGCTAACTATAAAATATACAAAGAATACCTGTATGTCTTTCATTCAAGTCCACAGTTTGCTTTATCATTTCCCAAGCTCAGTCTTCCTGTGTAAAACACATAGTTACGTAAATATTATATACAAGTACGATGGCTGTTTTGCCAATAAGTTCATCATACTCCTTTATCCCTAAATACTTCAGTGTATATTTCCCAAGAATATGGGACTCTCTAACATAATTGTAGTTATCAATATTGATACCGTACTCTAACCATTTATTCCAGTTTTGTCACTTGAGTCAATATCCTCACAGCATTTTTTCCACTCCCAGACTGGACCCAGCCTCTGGCTGTGATGTTTCTTTAGCCTTCTTAAATCTGGAACGTTTCCAGAGTCTTTTAAAATTTTTGATGACATTGACATTTTGGAGGGATGCAGAGGGCCCCTAACCCCTTTTTAATAGACTACTTTCCACTTGGGTTCACCTGGTGCTTCTCTGTGCTTAGATGAGGTTATACACAGCAGGTTGTGGCCTCATACAGTGGCAGGGCATCTTCTCAGAACCTTGCCCCTGGAGCATTTTATACCTCTCCTGCCCTGGTGATCTCCCAGGCATGGTGCTGGCTGATAACATCACTGTGAATTACAATTTCCTTCCCTCCTCTGTAAGAAAGAAGCAATCTGTGGGCAATCATTTTATGACCATGGAAATGTCCTGTTCCTCATCAACCTGCCCTAGATTCAGCACCCCTTGATGATTCTTGTCTCTGCGCCAGCTGCAAACGACACTTCTCCAGCCCCATGCCCTCCACCCATAGTCTGGTCCTCAGCGCTCTGCCTGAGCAAGAACCCACCTCCTCTCCCGTCTATAGGTTTATTCATTTATCTATTTCTTATCCATATGGACTCACAGATTTCTATATTTTGCATCACTTATTTGGGTGTTCAAACTGTCATCTGGAAAGTTTTTCTTTTAATTGATGAGAGTGAATTACTTTCATTGTAAGAAGTAAAAACTTGTCAAAGAACTTTTACTAAATTTCTCTAGTAGTGATAAATCCTCAATTTAGATAGCCAGCTATTTTTAAATGTTCAGTGTTCTAAAAATTCTAACACATCTTGAACTTTGACCACCTTTTTTTATTTTCAGCTATTTGGTGATGTTTGCTTCCACTGCAATCGTGTTATAGAAGGTGATGGTAAGTATCTGTGTGAGTTTTAGATTGGTGCCACTTTGACACAAAAACACTTGGGTAATGTGGAAATTCAGGTTGGTGATTGTATGGTTTGAAATGTGATCGTTATCAGTTACTTTTTCTCTATCTTTGGCGTATTTTCCAAGTAATCTGTAGCAGTAAGATGATAATATCAAAGAGTTGGATTTGTTACTGATTTATGACACTACTTTCGGCCACTGCTGCAGTGTTGTATGCCAGCAATCATGGGAACTGTCCCTGGTGGACCCTAAGACCTGTTTGTGTCCAGTTTCAGGAAGCTCTAGAACAACGTTTATTAGGAACAGTTTAATCTGCTATCGTAGTTAGGAAGAGGCACTTTAACCTGCACATGCTAAAAGCTGGCAGTTATCAGCAAGCATATCTAGGACTTACCACCCTTGTACTGTGGTAATTAGGCTGGGCTGATTGATTGGAACAGAAAGGAAGCAGCTGTGTTTGCTAAGACTCGCTAACACACTTCTGCCAGAGACTTCCTGGCAAAGTTTTGAACAATCCTGTTTTCAGCATGATTCATGGCTCCCTGCAGACATCACCTAATTCAGGAAATACTTTTGAAACACTGTTCATGTGCAGTTTGTGAAAACAATCCAGGAAAACAATCTTTAGTGCCATTGAAAATAAAACTTACCTCCCTCCTCTGTGAAATAGATGCCAGGTGAAAGAAGCTGCAAAGGAAACTGTCTTCTTATCATCAGCTCTGGAAAAAAGACTCCTACAGGGGCAAATAAGTTAATGTCTGGATTTTTGAAAATTATTTACCTAGTTCATATTTCCATGTTGGGCCAACAGCAGTAGGGACAGAAACAGCAAGCTCACCTAAACAACATGGTGCATGGACAGTTGCCACATGTGCCCAGGCCAAGGGGGCACAGTTGCTGGTGTAAGACATGGCACACATCATTTATAACTTCACAGGATACTTAAGGATGGGGGAAGATTAAAGTCAGCCCTCCGTATCCAGGGGCTGGATCCAAACATCCGTGGATTCAACCAACTATGGATCAAAAATATTTAGAGAAAAATAACAATATAACAGTACAAATAGTACAGTATAATGACTATTTACATATCATTTACATTGTACTAGGCATTATAATTAACCTAGAGATGATCTAAAGTATACGAGATAGGACCAGGCTCAGTGGCTCACGCCTGTGATCCCAACACTTTGGGAGGCCAAGGCGGGCAGATCAACTGAGGTCAAGAGTTCAAGAGCAGTCTGGCCAACATGGTGAAACCCCATCTCTACTAAAAATACAAAAACTTAGCTGGGTGTGGTGGTGCATGCCTATGATCCCAGCTACTCGGGAGGCTGAGACAGGAGAATCACCTGAACCCGGGAGGCAGAGGTTGCTGTGAGCCAAGATCACACCATTGCACTCCAGCCTGGGCAACAAGAGCAAAAACTTCGTCTCAAAAAAAATAAATAAATGTATACAAGACAATGTACATAGGTTATATGCATTTTATATCAGGGACTTGAGCGTCTGAGATTTTGGTATCCTCACAGCATCCTAGAAACAGTATCCTGCACATACTGAGCAACAACTGTATACATAAAGGTTGAGGGCCGGGTGTGGTGGCTTATACCTGTAATCCCAGCACTTAAGGAGGCCGAGACAGGAGAATTTCTTGAGGCCAGGAGTTCGATACCAGCCTGGGCAACAGAGCAAGACCTCCATCTCTACAAAATAAAAAATTAGCCAGGTGTGGTAGCACACACCTATGGTCCCAGCTACACAGGAGAACGAGAGGAGAAGATTGCTTGAGCCCAGGAGTTCGAGCTGTGATCGCACCACTGCAATACAGCCTGGACAACAGAGCGAGACCCTGTCTGAAAAACAAAAGAAAAGAAGCTCTCAGGAAAGAGGTTCTTGGCTGGGCATGGTGGCTCATGCCTATAATCTCAGCATTTTGGGAGACCGAGGCAGGTAGATTGCTTGAGCCCAGGAGTTCAAGACCGTCCTGGGAAACATGGCAAGACCGTGTCTCTATAAAAAATACAAAAATTAGACAGGTATAGGCCGGGCGCAGTGGCTCACGCTTGTAATCCCAGCACTCTGGGAGGCCAAGACGGGCGGATCACAAGGTCAAGAGATTGAGACCATCTTGGCCAACATGGTGAAATCCCGTCTCTATTAAATACAAAAATTAGCTGGGCATGGTGGCACGCACCTGTAGTCCCAGCTACTTGGGAAAATGAGGCAGGAGAATCGCTTGAACCCAGGAGGCGGAGGTTGCAGTGAGCCGTGATTGCGCCACTGCACTCCAGCCTGGCAACAGAGCGAGATTCCGTCTCAAAAAAAAAAAAAAAAAAAAAATTAGCCAGGTGTAGTGGCATGCACCTGTAGTCCCAGCTACTCAGGAGGCTGAGGTGGGAGGATCACTTGAGCCTGGGAGGTTGGGGTTACAGTGAGCCAAGATTGTGCCACTGTACTCCAGCCTGGGCTATAGAGCAAGACCCTGTCTCATTTAAAAAAAAAAAAAAAAAAAAAAAAGGTTCTTGAGAACCTCCACCAAGTGCCACAGACACAGTCGTAGTTCTGTTTTGGAGTTGAAATTCTAAGCTGCCCTGCTCCCCATACTGATGTATTTCCATGTGACCAGATCTCTTTCCTCTTTCTCCAGTGGTCTCTGCTCTTAATAAGGCCTGGTGCGTGAACTGCTTTGCCTGTTCTACCTGCAACACTAAATTAACACTCAAGTAAGTGTACGGTTTTGTCCAGTGTGAATCCTAAGACTGAAAACTTTGGGGAGACACTTAAAAAAAATCCTAGAATTTAGAAAAAGAGAATTATTTGATTTCTTATTTCCTCTTTCTGTTCAGGCCTTCTGAAAGTAAAGGTTCTTCCTTTAACTGTTCCCTGTTCTTTCTTCTATTCCTTCTTTGTCCTACTCAAAGGGATAAGTTTGTTGAAATTGACCTAAAGCCAGTCTGCAAACACTGTTATGAGAAAATGCCAGAAGAATTTAAGAGGCGACTTGCCAAACGGGAGAGAGAAGCAAAGGATAAGGACAAGCAGAAAAAGAAAAAGCCAGTCTGTTTGTAAACTTTTCTATCCCTGTGTCATCATTTTCACTGCTTTCTCCTTTGGTTAGTCCTTTGGAATATGTTTTTGTTCTGTTTCTGTCTTTTGCTTTCTTCCCCCCCTGCAACTTTTGGGCATGTATTTGTAGTCATCAGAGATTGAAATACAAGTATTTGTCCTATGTAGAACTGGTCCTTTTGCATAACTGCTAAAATTACAAAAATTAAATGAATACACTCCATACTTAATACAGTTTTGTGGTCATGTATTTCACTTACTCTGTAGACTCACTCACCTCATTTTTTAAACACCATATAGTATACATTTCTTTCTTTTTTTTTTAATGGATTTAAAGGGAAGAATTCTAATCTCTTAATAGACCCTGGAAAACATTTTAAAGGATTTTTGTCTGATTAACTGTAGCTTTTAAAATCCTGGTTTTTGGTTTCCTTGCCACGATCATTTAATTGATAAATTATAAGTGTTGTTTGATATTTTTAAAAATGCATATATTCTAAGTTATGTATTAAATTATTTCAGCATGGCGAGGCATGGTGGCTCACGCCTGTAATCCCAGCACTTTAGGAAGGCAGAGTGGAAGGATTGCCTGAGCCCAGGATTTTGAGACCAGCCTGGACTACATGCCTAGACCCCATCCGTCAAAAAAAAAAAACAAATTAGCCAGGCGTGGTGGCCCATACCTATAGTCCCAGCTACTCAGGAGGCTGAGGCTGCTGCAGTGAGCCATGACTGCCACTGCACTCCAGCTTGGGCGACAGAGTGAGACTCTGTCTCAAAAAAAAAAAAAAATCTTTCAGCATGTTTCGTATCTAAGCAAAGTCCATCTGATTTACGTAAGACATCTTCTTCTGTGATGTTCGAATGTGCATTCATACAATACCCATATGCTACTGTTTATGAATTCATTTCCTCAATGTCTTCAAACTCTTTTTTTATTCCTGATTTTTATGAGAAGTATTTCAATCTTTGAAATTCTTTTGAATTACCAGCATGATTGTTCCAGTTTTCCCTCATAGTTACCATTGTGTTTGGAGCTCTAAAAATATTTTGTTCCAGTTTACATGTTTCCTTCTATAAAGAGGAATTAAATGTAAATGTAAGATTAAAACAATGAGGCCGGGCATGGTGGCTCACGCCTGTGATCCCAGCACTTTGAGATGCCAAGGCAGCAGATCACTTGAGATCAGCCTGGGCAACATGGTGAAGCCCCGTCTCTACTAAAAATACAAAAAAATTAGCCAGGCATGGTGGCGGGTGCCTGTAATCCCAGATACTCGCGAGGCTGAGACAGGAGAATCGCTTGAACCTGAGAGGCGGAGGTTGCAGTGAGCCGAGATCGTGCCACTGCATTCCACCCTGGGCGACAGAGTGAGACTCTGTCTCAAAAAATAAAAAATAAAAAAGATTAAAACTGGAAAGCTTGCTAAGGTAGTCTGTCTGAAAACAGGAATAATTTTTTTCTTTTATCAAAAAAATGGCAGTTTTAATAGCTTTTGCTCTAAGATGACCTTGGGAGAAAAGCCGTAAAGTAATTCCCAGTGTAGTGTTTTAAAATAGAAGATTTTTCATTTTAGATATGTGTTTAGGAATTTCCTTTGTTACTAACATTGTCCTTTAAAATGATCTTGAAGCAAAGTCTAGTTTAATATAATGTTTAAATGCAGTAAAAATATCAGCAGATTTTATAATTTTTGTCATAGATAGCAATATACCACTAGATTTATTTCACAAATGCTACCTGAATATAATTTCACAGACAGTGAACAAGTTACCAAGTTGTATATTTACTCAATTCAAAATTAAACACTCTGGATTTCAACAGTAATAAGCTCCTGTAATTACCTGTTGGAAATGCATTACAGATGATCAGGAGGCTATCTGAAAAGTTGTCTTCTCCAGGACCATTTTAAAAATAAATTGATAATGTGTGTTGCTCTAGCTTTTCAAAAGAATAGTTGAGTTCTTCAAATAGCTACCGCTTACAATGCAACCACAGGTGATCTGGTTACATTTATGTTAAGAGTGATTAAAAACTTTCTTCCAACCTTTCTGTCAGATAACCAAAATAACCCCTTATAATTTAAAATTAATTAAACCTCATGGCTACCTAATTTAAAGTACTAAGTAAGATCATGTTGCCTCCAATAAAGAAATCATTCACATTATAAAAATATGATTCTTTCCTTTAGATAAATTTATCTTTAAGGTATTCTAAAATGTGATTACCATCCTAGGCAATACGACAGGACCCTGTCTCTACAAAAAAAAATTTTTAAGTTAGCCAGGCATAGTAGTATGCACTTGTGTCCCAGCTATTCAGGAGGCTGAGGTGGGAGGATGGCTTGAGTCCAGGAGTTAGAGGCTGCAGGGAGCTGTGATCACCACTGCACTCCAGCCTGAGTGACAGTCGAGGCTCTGTTTCCAAAAAAAAAAAAAAAAAAAAGTGATTGACTGTACTTAAGTTAATTATATTTACATTAGATTTCCTGTTTACTTAGTACTGAATAAAATGTAATCTACAGTCTGTGTTACACAGATGGATGTATAGAACCAATTTATAAGGACTTTTTTTTAAAATTATACTGAATTTTTATATATATATCACAATAAGAATTGAGGTTAGGATTATGGTTTTTTTACTAACATGAATATAATATCATCACCTAGTTGCCTTCGTTTAGTTCAGTACAATTACTGCACATCATTTATATATCTTTGTTGAATATGTTTCCACTAACTTCTTTTTTTTTATAATTTTTTGTCTTTAGGAATAAGTTTGTGGAGTTTGACATGAAGCCAGTCTGTAAGAAGTGCTATGAGAAATTTCCATTGGAGCTGAAGAAAAGACTTAAGAAACTAGCTGAGACCTTAGGAAGGAAATAAGTTCCTTTATTTTTTCTTTTCTATGCAAGATAAGAGATTACCAACATTACTTGTCTTGATCTACCCATATTTAAAGCTATATCTCAAAGCAGTTGAGAGAAGAGGACCTATATGAATGGTTTTATGTCATTTTTTTAATTAAAAAAGAAAAATTCATATAATCGTGTTTAAAACACAAATGAAGTCAGTATTTGCCTTTGTTAACCCTTATCCATTTGTTGACATGTAGACTGTTTACAAAAAAAAAACACATGGTTAAATGTTAAATTTTAATTAAGGCCCCCAAAAATTAAATATAACTTTTTAAAATGAAAGGAGTCACCTTTTACATGACTCAGGTGAAAAAACAGTATAAACATTAATTTACTTTGTGTTCAAAAGAAAATTCCAACTGCTGTTGGGGAAGGACACAGAAAAGAAAAATAACCACCCAAGAAAAACAAAAACAAGAAAAACAAATCTTATACAATCTTAGTATATTTATCAAACTAGTAGCTAGAAAGTGAATATGCACATTACTAAGACAAAAAACAAGTGTAATTCAGAACTACTTGATTTTTTTTAGTTAAATGCAATAATTATTATGCTTAGTTTTATAACCTGCTCTCCTTGTGAATTCTTCCTTCAAATGATTACTTAACGCAGTAGTAATAGCTAGCTGTAGGATGTCCTTTAAATTTTTGTGCAAAAAAAAATTTATACCAGGTATTTGGAAATATACTTTACAATATTGGAAAATGAAGTATTTTTAATGTATTACAGCAATTATGTTTCTAAGCTTAATGTTAAGCATGTAGTCTTAGAATAGGACATGAAATTAAATTGTATGTAGCTTGGAATATATTGCTTCAGAAAACTGAATGTGTATGTCGGTCATATTGCCTTTATAACCATGCTAATATCTATGCTTTATACATACTCAAACTTGCCTTGCCTTAAAAACATACATACTACATACTTAAATCAGGAATTCTAGCCATCTCACAGAATACCAACTAAAACTAAGTGCATTGAGATCTGAGATTGGTAAACCCAGATTCATTTACCACAGCTGTAATTAAGTTTTTAGAAACTATTCTCTTTTTGGGGAAATCCATTGAAGTTAATTTCTGTTATCTTATTAGAAGAAAATGATGTTGATATGTGTTTCAGATTTTCCATTTGAAATCTTATAATTAATTTGATTTATTTACTGTAAGTAGGAGGTATAAATGACACTCTTAAATTGGAAGGAGGGGTGTTTTAGTGTCTGTTTTAGGTCAAAATTAGTGATTCTATTTTTATCAAAAGTTTTATCCTGAAGTTTCAGGACCACTCTTCCTTAATAAACTTGTTAATGGAAAGCGAGCTTTATGAACATTTAAAAATGTTGCTGCTGCTTTGTTGCTTAAAAAGAAAGTTGCCAAGAGAGACTTCTTAGGGAAAATATTTGGGTTTTTTTTCCAAAAATTGCTGAAATATTGTTTTGCCATTTTTAAAAAGTCTCAGGTTATTACCACTCTGCCATTAAATATTTGTATGCCTGCATTTTTAAAAATTCTGTGCATGTACTTTATGGAGTACATTCTATTTTTGTTTTCAGATACCCTACAACCAATTTTTTTTAGTAATCTTTTAGAATTGAAATTATCATAAATGATCGAGAATAATCATCACATAGTTTAAGATTGTATATGTTGAGTAGTTTAAAACAATCTTTGCATTTTACAGTAAGAATCAAAGTCCCTTCAGTGTGCCTTTGTCAGCTAATATGTGACCAGCAATGACAACCTTGGGAGTATTTATTAAATATTATGCTATGAATATAGGCAACACAGAACAGGGTTTGCAGTATAGCGTCTTGATGCTAAATTCTCATATACCTCTACACGAGAAATATGGAGGAGAAAAACAAGCATTTACATATATTCTTCGTCACTTTGAAGATGCATGGCCTGAACTCGACTGCTTGTGTTTGTTTACATATCAGGCATACCCAGGCATCTCCTGCAGCCAGAGGTTCCATTGCTGTCTTTGCTCAGTCCTCTTTTAAAATATGAATTAGTGGACAGGCACGGTGCCTCACACCTGTAATCCCAGCACTTTGGGAGGTCGAGGCAGGTGGATCACGAGGTCAGGAGATCAAGACCATCCTGGCTACCACTGAAACCCCATCTCTACTACAAAAAAATTAGCCGGGCGTGGTGGCGGGCACCTGCAGTCCCAGCTACTCGGGAGGCTGAGGCAGGAGAATGGTGGGAACCCGGGAGGCAGAGCTTGCAGTGAGCCAAGATCACGCCACTGCACTCCAGCCTGGGCAACAGAGCAAGACTCTGTCTCAAAAAAAATAAATAAATAAATTATGAATGAGTATTTTCTAGAAATTCAACTTGCTAAGCCTGTAATACTTAAGGGTAGTTTATCTAGATACAGTACTTTCTTCCCTGATAAGTAGTATCATTGGAGCCCTTAGGTATAGGAGAAGAGGAAGAAGTTTAAAAAGTGTAAGTGGGCCGGGCGTGGTGGCTCATGCCTGTAATCCCAGCACTTTGGGAGGCCGAGGGGGGCGGATCACGAGGTCAGGAGATCCAGACTATCCTGGCTAACAAGGTGAAACCCCGTCTCTACTAAAAATACAAAAAAAAACATTAGCCAGGCGTGGTGGCGGGCGCTTGTAGTCCCAGCTACTCGGGAGGCTGAGGTAGGAGAATGGCTTGAACCCAGGAGGCGGAGCTTGCAGTGAGCCGAGATTGCACCACTGCACTCCAGCCTGGGCGACAGAGCAAGACTCCGTCTCAAAAAAAAAAAAAAAGTGTAAGTGGATTAAAAGAGAAACTTGGTCTAGTTCATAATATTTTTAATAGGGCTTTCCCTGGCTGCTGGAAAACTTAGGCCAGTAAGCATCTCTTTGTTTAAAGTCCTACAAGACAATTTGAAATAATTCATTGTTCATGCCAAAATTCTAAGTACTGTTTTTCTTAGCAAGTGTAACATAATCAGGAACAATGGGTACAAGTAAAACATTCTTTGGATGATATTCAAAGCCTTATTAGCACTGCACCTGAATAATAGGTCATTTTGCCTCACTCATTTGCCAAAGTAGCCATTTCTAAGTTAAGGAAGTTTTTAGATAGGCTCATAGCCTTGTATTTCGTTTTAGATTGTAAGCTCAATGGCAGGGATACTATATTGGTAATTATGTTTTCATATAGCAACCACCACAGTATATTCTTGGTGCTTAATAAATGTTTATAATTGTTAACAATAACCTGTTGTATATTGTTTATTTTGAATGGTATATATGTGAAATACATATGAAAATTGAAGTATTCATGAATATATAATAGAAACAAGTAAATGAATAAAATGACCTGGTTACTATAGATAAGCCAAATTTTGAACCATCTAGAACAATGGTGTAGTCTTCCCTCTACTCAATGTAAATGCTGGGTTTTTTAATTATTATTATTATTAAGAAGGAGATACAGTCCAGGCACAGTGGCTCACACCTGTAATCCCAGCACTTTGGGAGGCCGAGGCCAGTGGATCACTTGAGGTCAGGAGTTTGAGACCAGCCTGGCCAACACAGTGAAACCTCATCTCTATTAAAAATACAAAAATTAATAGGGCGTGGTGGTGTGCACCTGTAGTCCCAGCTACTTGGGAGGCTGAGGCAGTAGAATCACTTGAATCCAGGGGGCAGAGGTTGCAGTGCAATGGTGTGCTGGGATTACAGGCAATGAGCCACTGTGCCCTGCCCTCAGCTGGAGTGCAATGGTGCAATTAAGTTCTTTCTTTTTCAACTCAAAATTTGTCTGCATCTTTACCCAAATATCCAGATCTGATACTCTAGGCTTGGGCTAATATAGTGGGGTGGAGGAGGCTTGGGTTAAGGTTTAAAGTTCCAAGGGCTGAACCGGAATAAATGGTGTATTTATCAAGGGAAGAGCAAGGCAAAACCAGCAAGTCCAAACCATGGAGGCCTCAACCGAGGTGAGGGGAAAAGTTAGGGAGCCTTAGGAAAGCTCTGAGGAGGGACCCCAATTAGGGGGACCGTAGTTAGGGTATGAGGTTTGTGAGATCAGGACTGGAATTGCTGCAAGAGACCCTATGATTGGGTGGCAGCAGCACGTTGTGGAGATGAGCCTGCTTCCTCAGCCTCTTCCTCTTGTCAGAACCCTTTGCCTCTCCCTACACACGCACACACACATGCATGCACCATGCTACAGAAACCTTTCTCAGTCTTGCCATTCTCTCAAATTATGCTTTGGTCTTCCCTTCATCTTCAGATTCTTTAAAGAGAATCAAAGTTCCCACTTCTAGCATGATGAAGTGAGGAGGTCAACAAATCTTTCCAAAATGTAACTGTATAGCTGGACAAACCATTTAGCATTCTGTAATTTTACCAAAGGCACCGCACAAATGGGGATGTGTTTAAGAATGAAAGCTGGCCAGGCGCGGTGGCTCACGCCTGTAATCCCAGCACTTTGGGAGGCTGAAGCAGAAGGACCACTTGAGCTCAGGAGTTCAAAAACAGCCTGGGCAACTTGGTGAGACCCCCGTCTGTACAAAAAAAAAATCAAAAAAGGCATGGTGGTGCACACTTGTGGTCCCAGCTACATGGGAGGCTAAGGCGGGAGAATCATTTGAGCCCAGGAGATTGAGGCTGCAGTGAGCTGTGATCACACCACTGCACTCCAACCTGGGCAACAGAGTGAGACAGACCCTGTCCCTAAAGAAAAAAAAGAAGAATTAAAGTGAGCCTTGGATAAGACCAGCCTGTGTCTGTGGCATCTTTGCCCAGGCTGCTACCCCCATTTACCCCAGCTGTTGATAACACACACAGCGGCCCCCAGCAGGGCAGCCTGTGGAGATAAGCTCCCCTGCCACCTCGTTGCAGGGGCTGGAGGCAAGAGTGAGGAAGGTTTTGATTTGCAGCATGGCTAGTTAAGGTGGTGATATCAGTGACCAGGAGGAAGAAAGGCCACTGACTCCTAGCCTGAGGCTCTGGGCCTTTGGAGACGAGCAAATGACCTGCAGATTAGTCATGGATGTAAGAGGGAGCTCCGGGAGGTCGGAGAGCCAGAGGGAGCTTAGTAAACTCTTCACACTACCCAAATGGACTGAAGGCTCATAGCTGGCAGAGATTAGAGCAAGCCCAAGCCATGTCCATATGCCCAGGGCACACAGCCTGTGTGTGTGCCGGTGCCAGTGTTAGGAAGTAAAAGCCGGAACACCCTTGCAAATGGCCCGGGGCGTGCCTCCTCCCCATTGCACATAGATCCAGCAGCAGATGGTGGAAACCATATTGGCTTTAACTGATGTTTGACAAACTATGCAAACAAGAAGCGACCTCTAAGAAGCCATTCTGAAAAATTAAAGCAAACAAATGCCAACAATAAAACTGAACAATGACCTGAGTGAGTGCACACTGTGGAGGAGACAGGCTTCCTGCATGGAGTCCAGCCAGGAGACAGTACAGAATGCATGGAGCAGCTATTGGAAGACAGTGAAAACTAAATAGTTGCAGGCAGCTTTCCCAAGAAGACCAGAACTTGAAGTACCACCAAACCAGTGGTGAGATAACCATGTTTCCCCTACGGCATCCCGTGACTAACCTGGCAGTGGGCACCAGGGTGCAGATAGAAAGAGCTCCAGAAGATGCCCTCTATTTCTGGCTCAAGTAACGGGAAAAGGGTCTCCTAACATTCCGAGGGAATCCAGAAGTTCGTTCCTCCCCATTTTTCTTTTCCCTGTTCTCTCATACCTCAGCCCACAAGCAGTCCCACAGTGGCACTGGCACCAGCCCCAAGAGGAGCCCAGGAGCCAAGATGTAGGAGGGAACCTTCTCCAACTGACAGAGCTGTGGTCCCAAGAGGGCAGAAACAATCCATGTTGCTTCTCTTCCAATTCAGTCCTCCCACTTCTTGGCTTCAGATGTAGAAATGCATGGTAGAGCCAGATACCGAAAGCCTGTTTTCTGCTTGGAAGACTAAAAAGAGAAGCCTCAGCAAATGAAAGCAACAGGGTAATTGCTGAGAGAGAGTTAATCAGTGAAGCAACCCCATTAACCTGTCTATAAACCCCAGGGCTCATTCTTGAGCTGCTCCTGCATAGATCTCGTCCTGTTCAACACACCAAAGATTGACAGCTGAACTGAGAGACCATCACCCACAGACACAACTGGCCACTGGGTGGTGCACAAGTCAGACAGAACTGAATAGTCCTGTGAAGACTTTGGACACTGAACTGACTTTGGAACCAGACTGCAGAATGGAGGGGTGGGAACTTGTGGCTTGAACCTAATCAGGTAGATTGCCTGGCCAAAATGAAAATACCTATCATCTCCATAGGATTTAATTTCATTCAATGATTTTTTTTTTAGTAAATTTGCAATGTTTTACAGCCATCCCCAAAATCTAATTCCAAAATATCTCTATCACCCCAACAAGAGACTCCATTCAGGTTGGCAGTCACATGCACTCCCAGATTTCCCCTCTGCCCAGCCCTTGGCAATCACTAGTCTACTTTCTGTGTCTTTGAGTTTGCCTACTCTGGATATTTCATATAAATGAAATGATATATGAGGTTTTGTGATTGGCACCTTTCATTTAGAATAATGTTTTCAAGGCTGATTCATGTTGTAGTATGCATTGGTACTTCATTATTTTTTATGCAAAAGTAATATTCTATTGTATGGCTATACCACATTTTTCTTTGAGACAGAGATCTCACTATGTCGCCCAGGCTGGAGTTTAGTGGCTCTTCACAGGCCTGATCACAGCTCCTGCATGGATCAAGGAGCATCACTGCAGCTTCAAACTGCAGCTTCAAACTCTCGGGCTCAAGCGACCCTCCTGCCTCAACCTCCCCAGTAGCTGGGACTACAGGCACGTGTGTCTGTGCCAAGTAATACCACATTTTAAAAATCCATCTTCAGTAGATGGAAATTTGGATGTTTCCACCTTTTACTAATAAAAATAGTACTGCTATAAACATTATGTATAGGTTTTCTTTTGTTTTTGTTTTTTCTTTTTTTGTAGAGATGGGGGTCTCGCTGTGTTGCACAGGCTGGTCTCAAATACCTGGACTCAAGTGATCCTCCCATCGAAAACTCCCAAAGTGCTGGGATTACAGGCGTGAGCCACCATGCCTGGCCTGTATACAAGTTTTTGTGTAGACATGTTTACATCCAATTAATGAACACAGGATGTCTTTCCATTGATTTAGCTCCTCTTTAATTTCTTTCAACAGTGTTGTGTAGTTTCCAGTCTACAAGTCTTACACTTTTGGATTAAATTTATTCATAATTATTTTATTATTTTTGATAATATTATAAATGGAATTGTTTACTTAATTTTACTTGAATTGTTCATTGCTAGTGTATAAGTAGGCAACTCATTTTTTTTAATTGACCTTGTATGGTACAATCTCTTTGAACTCATTTATTATCACTGATGGTTTAGGTCTTTTTTTTTTTGAGGTTTCATTAGGGTTTTCTGTATATAAGATCATGTCATCTAGAATAGAGATAGTTTTATTTATTCTATTCCTATTTCAATACTTTTTGTTTGCATTTCTTGCCTAATTGCCCTGGCTAGAACATCCAGTACAGTGTTGAATAAAAGTGAAGAAAGAAGGCATCCTTGTAAGTCACTATTTTTTTTTTTTTTTTTTTTTTGACACGTAGTCTCGCACTTTGGCCCAGGCTGGAGTGCAATGGCACGATCTTGGCTCACGGCAACTTCCGCCTCCCAGGTTCAAGTAATTCTCCTGCCTCAGCCTCCTGAGTAGCTGGGATTACAGGCGCCCGCCACCATGCCTGGCTTACTTTTTGTATTTTTATTAGAGATGGGGTTTCACTATTTTGGTCAGGCTGGTCTCGAACTCCTGACCTCGTGATCCCCGCCCACCTTGGCCTCCCAAAGTTCTGGGATTACAAAGCACTTTGTAAGCCACTGTGCCCAGCCGTAAGTCAGTTTTTATACCCCTTCTTTCATCCCTGATTTTAGTAATTAGAGTCTTTCTTTTTTCTTGGTCAATCTCAAAAAACAAAAGCTTTATGAATTTAAAAACGTTTTTCAAGCCGGGCACGGTGGCTCACTCCTGTAATCCCAGCACTTTGAGAGGCTGAGGCAGGCTGATCACGAGGTCAGGAGATCGAGACTATCCTGGCTAACACGATGAAACACCATCTGTACTAAAAAAATACAAAAAAAAAAAAATTAGCCGGGTGTGGTGGCGGGTGCCTGTAGTCCCAGCTACTCAGGAGGCTGAGGCAGGAGAATGGCATGAAACCGGGAGGCGGAGCTTGCACTGAGCCAAGATCGCGCCACTGCACTCCAGCCTGGGCAACAGAGCGAGACTCTGTCTCAAAAAAAAAATTTTTTTTTCAAAACAGCAACTTTTGCCTTTGTTGATTTTCTCTACTCTTTAAAAATGAGTTTTAAAAAATTTAATAGTGATTAAAAAAAAGATTTACCAACTTAACTTTTTTTTTTTTTTTGAGCCAGAGTTTCGCTCTTGTTGCTCAGGCTAGAGTGTACTGGTACGATCTCGACTCACTGCAACCTTCACCTCCAGAGTTCAAATGATTCTCCTGCCACAGCCTCCTGAGTAGCTGGGATTACAGGCATGCACCACCACGCCCCGCTAATTTTGTATTTTTAGTAGAGACGGAGTTTCTCCATGTTGGTCAGGCTGGTCTCCAACTCCCCACCACAGGTGAATGCCCGCCTCGGCCTCCCAAAGTGCTAGGATTACAGGCGTGAGCCACCGCACCCAGCCCAACTTAACCTTTTTTTTTTTTTTTTTTTTTGAGATGGAGTCTGTCACCCAGGCTGGAGTGCGGTGGCGTGATCTCGGCTCACTGCAAGCTTGCCTTCCGGGTTCACGCCATTCTCATGCCTCAGCCTCCCGAGTAGCTGGGACTACAGGTGCCCGCCACCACGCCCAGCTAATTTTTTTTTTGTATTTTTTTAGTAGAGACGGGGTTTCACGTTGTTAGCCAGGATGGTCTTGATCTCCTGACCTCATGATCGGCCCACCTCGACCTCCCAAAGTGCTGGGATTACAGGCGTGAGCCACCGCACCCGGCCCAACTTAACCACTTTCAAGTGTGCAATGCAGTAGCCTTATGTTGCTGTGCAATGTATCTCCAGAAAGTTTTCATCTTTTATTTCTATTTATTTATTTATTATTTTGAGACATGATCTTGCTGTCACCTGGGATGGAATGCAGTGGTGCGATTATGGGTCTCTGCAACTTCGAACTCTTGCGCTCAATCAATCCTCCTGCCTCAGCCTCCCAAGTAGCTGGGGACTACAGGTGCGTACCACTGAGCTGGGTTAATTTTTTTTTTCTTTTGTAAAGAGAGAGTCTTGCTTTGTTACCTAAGCTGCTCTTAAACTCCTGATTTCAAGCAATCCTCCCACCTCGGCCTCCCAAAGTGTTGGGATTACAGGCACAAGCCACCACTTGGCCCAACTTTATCTTTTAAAACTTGAACATCTATACCCATGAAACAACAATTCTCCATTTCCTCCTCCCCCTAGTTTCTGATGGCCACCATTTGATTTGCTGTTTCTGTGAATTTGACTACTTTAGATACCTCATATAAGTGGAAGCATACAGTATTTGTATTTTTGCGACTGGCTTATTCCACTTAGCATGATGTCCTCAAGGTTCTTCCATGTTATAGCATGTAACAGAATTTCTTTCCTTTTTAAGGCTGAGTAATACTCCATTATTTGTATACACCACATTTTGTTTTTCCACTCATCTGTTGATGGACATTTAGGCTGCTTCTGCGTGTTGGCTATTGTGAATAATACTGCTATAAATACAGATGTGCAAATACCTCTTACAGGCCCTGTTCTCCGCCGGGCGCGGTGGCTCACGCCTGTAATCCCAGCACTTTGGGAGGCCGAGGCAGGCGGATCACGGGGTCAGGAGATTGAGACCATCCTGGCTAACACGGTGAAACCCCGTCTCTACTAAAAATACAAAAAAATTAGCCGGGCAGGGTGGCGGGCGCCTGTAGTCCCAGCTACTCCGGAGGCTGAGGCAGGAGAATGGCGTGAACCCGGGAGGCAGAGGTTGCAGTGAGCCGAGATCGCGCCACTGCAGTCCGGCCTGGGCGAAAGAGTGAGACTCCGTCTCAAAAAAAAAAAAAAAAAAAAAAAAAAAAAAGACCCTGTTCTCAATTCTTTTGGATATATGTCCAGAAGTGCATATGGCAATTCTATTTTTACTTTTCTGAGACCCCATCAAATTGTTTTTGGTAGTAGCTACACCATTTTGCATTGCACAAAGGCTCCAATTTCTGTGCATCCTCTTTAACACTTGTGATTTTCTGCTTTTTTGATAGTAGACATCCTAATGGGTGTAAGATAATATTTCCTTGTGATTTTGATTTGCATTTCTCTAATGATGATTAGGAATGTTGAGCATTTTTTGTTTTGTTTTTGTTTTTGTTTTGAGACACAGTCTCACTCTGTCACTCAGGCTGGAGTACAGTGTTGGGATCTTGGCTCGCTGAAACCTCTGCCTCCTAAGTTCAAGCTATTCTGTGCCTCTGCCTCCCAAGTAGCTGGGATTACAGGTGCCTGCCACTATGCCCGGCTAATTTTTGTATTTTTTTTTGAGGGTTTCAAAATGTACTTTATTTCTTCAATAATGCCATATCTTAATGGGTACACAGTGTTTTAACTTGGCATCAATTATGAGCTGTTTCTTAAACAATTCATTATTACACCAGCTGGGATGATTACTGATCTCTCCATTCCTTTGGGGTGACTCTGCCACCAGGGCACAGGTTCCATTCTATTCTGATTTGTGTTGCTACATATGTCCATATAGCAATACAGAAAGTGGCTCCACTAGCTAATACAGCATTATCGTATTGTCATGAAAATCAGGTGTACTTTTCTGGTGGCTCTGCCTTGCCATTGTTTGCTGAATGCTTTGATCTTGGAGATGACTTACTGCATTTTTTGAGCAAGCGAAACATCGTGAAGGTGAAGATCGAACTGTGGGAATGCAGCTGCTGCTTTGGTGCAAATTCCAATTTTTGTATTTTTAATAAAGATGGGGTTTTGCCACGTTGGCCAGGCTGGTCTCGAGCTACTGACCTCAAGTGATCCACCGTGCCTTGGCCTCCCAAAATGCTGGAATTACAGGCATGAGCCACCGCACCCAGCCTAAGCATCTTTTCTCACGCTTTTTTTTTTTTTTTTTTTTTTTTTTGAGATGGGGTCTCGCTCTGTGGCCCAGGCTGGAGTGCAGTGGCGCAATCTCGGCTCACTGCAAGCTCCGCCTCCCTGGTTCACGCCATTCTCCTGCCTCAGCCTCCCGAGTAGCTGGGACTACAGGCGCCCGCCACCACGCCTGGCTAATTTTTTTGTATTTTTAGTAGAGACGGGGTTTCACCGTGTTAGCCAGGATGGTCTCCATCTCCTGATCTCGTGATCCGCCCGCCTCGGCCTCCCAAAGTGCTGGGATTACAGGCGTGAGCCACCGCGCCCGGCCTTCTCACGCTTTTTATACATTTCTGTATCAACTTTAGAAAAATGTCTAGTCCAGCCTTTTGCTCACTTATGTTTGTTGTTGTTAAGGTCTCTATTGTTTTTCTAGTTTCTATTTCACTAATTTCAGCTTTGACCTTTTTGTCCTTCCTTCTGCTTGCCTTAAGCATGGTTTGCTCTTTTTTTTTCCCAGGCTATTGATTTGAGGTCTTTTTTTTAAGTCCACTGATATTCAAGGTAATTATTGATAGGTAAGGATTACCACTGTCATTTAAAAAATTGTTTTCCTGGCTGGGCGCAGTGGCTCACGCCTGTAATCCCAGCACTTTGGGAGGCCGAGGTGAGCGAATCACCTGAGGTCGGGAGTTCCAGACCAGCCTGACCAACATGAAGAAACCCTGTCTCTACTAAAAATACAAAATTAGCCAGGCGTGGTGGCACATGCCTATAACCCCAGCTATTCAGGAGGCTGAGGTAGGAGAATCGCTTGAACCCGGTGCGGGGAGGTTGTCGTGAGCCAAGATCATGCCATTGCACTCCAGCCTGGGCAACAAGAGTGAAACTCCATCTCAAAAAAAAAAAAAAAAAGTTTTCCAGATGGGCACAGTGGCTCATGCCTGTAATTCCAGCATTTTGGGAGGCCGAGGTGGGCAGATCACTTCAGGCCAGGAGTTCGAGACCAGCCTGGCCAACATGGTGAAATCCTGTCTCTACTAAAAATACAAAATTAGTCCCATGAGGTGGTGCACACCTGTGGTCCCAGCTACCCGGGAGGCTGAGGCACAAGGATTGCTTGAACCTGGGAGGCAGAGGTTGCAGTGAGCCAAGAGTGTGCCACTGCACTCTCCCAGCCTGGGTGACAGAGTGAGACGGTGTCTCAAAAAAAATTGTTTTCTAGTTGTTTTATAGATCCTTTGTTCCTTTCTTCCCCTCTTACTGTCTTCCTTTATGATTCAATGACTTTCTGTAGTGGTATGCTTTGATTACTTGCTTTTTAGAGGTCATTCTTTTTTAAATATAGTCTTTACAGGTATACATTTCCTTCTTAATGTTGCTTTAGCTGTATCCCATAAGTTTTCGTATGTTGTATCTTCATTTATCCATCTCAAATTTCTCTAATTTTCTAATTTCACGTCGTGATTTCTTCTCATTTCCTGTGTACTTTCTAATTTCCCCTGTGATTTCTTTTTTCTTTTCTTTTTTTTTTTCTTTGAGTCGGAGTCTCGCTCTGTCAGCCAGGCTGGAGCACAGTGGCACGATCTCGGCTCACTGCAAGCTCCGCCTCCTGGGTTCACGCCATTCTCCTGCCTCAGCCTCCTGAGTAGCTGGGACTACAGGTGTCTGCCACCACGCCTGGCTAATTTTTTTTTTTTTTTTTTTTTTTTGTATTTTTAGTAGAGACGGGGTTTCACCGTTTTAGCCAGGATGGTCTCGATCTCCTGACCTTGTGATCCGCCCGCCTCAGCCTCTCTAAGTGTTGGGATTACAGGCATGAGCCACCGCACCCAGTTTCCCTTGTGATTTCTTTTTTGACTCATTGGTTATTTAGAAGTGCGTTGTTTAATGTCCAAATGTTTGTAAATTTCTCAAATTTCTGTTGTTGATTTCTAATTTCATTCCATTCTGGTCAGAACACATATGCTTTATGATTTCAATTCTTTTAAATTTATTGAGGGTTTAGGAGTACAAAAGGCTTATTGAAAAAAGAATCATTGAAGTTTTTCTTATGCTCTAGCATATGGGTTATGCTAAAGAGTGTTCCAAGTGCACTTAAGAAGAATGTGTATTTTGATATTGTTAGGTGGAATTTTCTATAGATGTCTATTTGGTCTAGCTTGTTTAAACCATTGTTGAAGTCTTGTATTTTCTTGATGATCCCTGTCTAGTGGATCTATCCATTATTGTTTTTAAAAATACATTTGATGGTTGAAAGCAAAAATTAGGCCAGGCGTGGTGGCTCACACCTATAATCCCAGCACTTTCGGAGGCCAAGGCGGGCAGATCACTTGAGGTCGGGAGTTTGAGACCAGCCTGACCAACATGGAGAAACCCCGTCTCTACTAAAAATACAAAAATTAACCAGGAGTAGTGGCGCATGCCTGTAATCCCAGCTACTTGGGAGGCTGAGGCAGGAGAAGCACTTCAACCTGGGACAGGAGGTTGCAGTGACCCGAGATTGCGCCATTGCACTCCAGCCTAGGCAACAATAGCAAAACTCTGTCTCAAAAAAAAAAAGAAAGAAAGAAAGAAAAGAAAGCAAAAGCAAAAATTTTAACATTAGTGGAGTTTACAATGCATGTAAATGTAATAGAAAACATCTATAATATAAAGAGGGAAAGGTAAAAATACCTATCCAGCTGTAAGATTTCTACCTTCCACTTAAGTGGTAATATGTTCATTCTGTGAAAAATTAAGTGCATTGTAATCCCTAGAGTCACCATTTAAAAAACTATTCAAAGAGATATATTCAAAACCAATATATGAATTAAAACAGAACGCTAAAAATCATTTAAATAACCAAAAAGGAGGCGAAAAGTGGTAAGCAGAAGGATAAAAAATGGAGCAAAAAAAAAAGTAATAAGATGCGGCTGGGCCCAGTGGCTCACACCTGTAATCCCAAAACTTTGGGAAGCTGAGGTGGGTGAATCACTTGAGGCCAGGAATTTGAGATCAGCCTGGCCAACATGGTGAAACCCTGTCTTTACTAAAAATAGAAAAGTCAGCTGGGCGTGGTGGTACACGCCTGTAATCCCGACTACTTGGGAGGCTGAGGTACAAGAATCACTTGAGGCTGGGAGGCGGAGGTTGCTGTGAGCTGAGATGGCGCCACTGCACTCCAGCCTGGGTGACAGGGCAAGACTCTGTCTCAAAAAATAAAATAAAATAAGATGGTAGACATATATCCAAACACATAAATAATTACAGTAAACATAAATGGACTAAACCTAAATCTTAAAAGACATTGTCAGAATGGATAAAAGCAGTGCCCAGCCATATGCTATTTACAAGAAACTTGCTTTATTTTTTTAAATTTTTTTCATTTTTAAAAAAATGTTTTGCATTTATTTATTTATGTATTAGAGACAAGGTTTTGCTCTGTTGCCCAGACTGGAGTGCAATGGAATGATCATAGCTCACTGCAGCTTCCAACTCCTGGACTCAAGCAATCCTCCTGCCTCAGCTTCCCCTGTAGCTAAGACTACAGGCATGTACCATCATATCTGACTAGTTTTTTGTTTTGTTTTGTTTTTTTATAGAGACAGGGGCTCACCAAGTTGCCCAGGCTAGTCTCAAACTCCTGGCCTCAAGCATTCCTCCCACCTCAGCCTTCCAAAGCACTGGAATTACAAGCAATAGCCACCATACCCAGCCAAAACTTTCTTTAAATATTATATATGTAGGTTAAAAATAAAGAATAGAGGCCGGGCAGAGTGGCTCATGCCTGTAATCCCAGCACTTTGGGAGGCCGAGGCGGGTGGATCGCTTGAGGTCAGGAGTTCTACACCAGCCTGGCTAACATGGCGAAACCCCATCTCTACCAAAAACACAAAAATTACTCAGGTGTAGTGGTGTTGCCTGTAGTCCCAATTACTCAGAAGGCAGAGGCAGGAGAATCACTTGAATCTGAGAGGTGGAGGTTGCAGTGAGCTGAGATCACGCCACTGTACTCCAGCCCAGGTGACAGAACAAGACTCCATCTCCAAAAAAAAAAAAGAAAGGAAAAGATATACCATGGAAATATTAATCAAAAGAGTTGGTGTGGCTATGTTGATATCATACACAGCAAATTCCAGAGCAATGAAAACCATTAGGGACAAAAAAGGATCATACATCATGATAAAATAGTTAATTCACCAAGGAGACATAACAATCCTAAATATGTTTGCGTCTTAACACCACAGCTTCAAAATTCTCAAAGCAAATAGACAAACCCAAAATTATATCTGGAGACTTCAATACTCCTGTCTCAATCATTGATAGAACTATTAGAAAATCAGCAAAGAAGGCCGGGCACAGTGGCTCACGCCTGTAATCCCAACGTTTTGGTAGGCCAAGGTGGGCAGATCACACGGTCAGGAGATCGAGCCCATCCTGGCTAACACAGTGAAACTCCATCTCTACTAAAAATACAAAAAATTAGCCGGGCACGGTGGCGGGCGCCTGTAGTCCCAGCTACTTGGGAGGCTGATGCAGGACAATGGCGTGAACCTGGGAGCTTGCAGTGAGTTGAGATCGTGCCACTGCACTCCAGCCTGGGCGACAGAGCAAGACTCAGCCTCAAAACAAACAAACAAACAAACAAACAAAAAAACAAAAAACAGAAAAAGAAAATCAGCAAAGAAGAGGAGAATTAAACAGCACCACTAGCCAACTAGATCTAATTGAACTTTGAGAAGACTCTACCCATAAACAGCA
This sequence comes from Homo sapiens, assembly GCF_000001405.40. Taxonomy (NCBI): domain Eukaryota; kingdom Metazoa; phylum Chordata; class Mammalia; order Primates; family Hominidae; genus Homo; species Homo sapiens. The sequence goes on from NC_000002.12 coordinate 108,699,920, forward strand.
GACTATGCATTATTTCCAAGTGCACATAGAACCATTCACCAAGATAGACTATATCCTGGGTCATAAAACAAACCTTAACAAACTTAAATGAAGTGAAATCATGCCAGGTATGTTCTCTGACCATAACAAAAGTAGACCAGGAATCAATAAGACAAACAATAGGAGAATCCCTGAACACTTATAAATTAAACAATAGACTTCTAAATTAATCTATGTATCAAAGAGAATGTCTGAAGGGAAATTAGAAAATATCAATATTCCTCATGAAATTAGATGCGAAAACCCTAAAAAAAATTGCAAATTGAATCAAGTAGTTTATAAAATGTTAATACATATTCAGTCATTAAAAGCCACAAGGTCGGGCACAGTAGCTTATGCCTATAATCCCAGCATTTTGGGAGGCTGAGGCAGGCAGATCACTTGAGGCCAGGAGTTAGAGACCAGCCTGGCCAATATGGCGAAACCCCATTTCTACTGAAAATACAAAAATTATCTGGGTGTGGTAGCACACACCTGTAGTCCCAGATACTAAGGAGGCTGAGGCTTGAGAATCACTTGAAACCAGCAGGCGAAGGTTGCCGTGAGCCAAGATCATGCCACTGCACTCCAGCCTGGGCGCCAGAGCAGGACCCTGTTTCAAAAAACAAAACAAAGCAACAAAAAAAATGCTAGTAGGCAAATTCATAAAGACAAAAAGTAGAGTTAGGGTTACCAGGGGCTTGTGGAGTGGGGAGTGGCGAGTAATTGTTTATTAGGCACAGAGTTTCTATTTGAGATGATCAAAAAGTTTTGGAAATGGATATTGATGATGGTTACACAACATGGTGAACAAACTTAATGTTACCGAATTGTACACTTAAAAACAGTTAAAATGGTAAGTTTTATGCTATGTGTATTTTACCACAATAAACAAACAAATGCATCACAACCAAATAGGGTTTATCCTGGGACTTTCAAGGATGGTATAACATATATATATATATATTTTTTTTTTTTTTTTGAGACAAAGTCTCATTCTTGCCCCCAGGCTGGAACGCAGTGGCGCGATCTCGGCTCACTGCAACCTCCGCCTCCCAGGTTCAAGCGATTCTCCTGCCTCAGCTTCCTGAGTAGCTGGGATTACAGGTGCCTGCCACCATGCCCAGCTAATTTTTGTATTTTTAGTAGAGACAGGGTTTCACCATGTTGGCCAGGCTGGTCTTGAACTCCTGACCTCAGGTGATCCACCCGCCTCAGCGTCCCAAAGTGCTGGGATTACAGCCATGAGCCACCGCTCCCGGCTGGATGGTATAACATTTTAAAATAAATCAATGTAGTCATATTAACAGTGTAAAGAAGAAAAATTACATGATCATATCAATTGATGTAGAAAAAGCATCTGACATAATTCAATGTCCATTCATGATAAAATCTGTCAGCAAACTAGGAATAGGAAATTTCCTCCATCTGATAAAGGCATCTATAAATATCTGTGGCTGGCCGGGCACAGCTGATAAAGGCATCTATAAATATCTGTGGCGAGCCAGGCTCTAGCCTGTAATCCCAGCTGTTTGGGAAGTCAAGACAGGAGGATCGCTTGAGCCAGGGAGTTTGAGACCAACCTGGACAACATAATGATACCTCATCTCTACTAAAAATTAAAAAATAAAAAACAAAATAGCCAGGCATGGTGGTTAATGACCTACTTAACAGTGAAACTCTTTCCCCTTAAGATCAAAAAGACTTTTATCATTAAGTAGGAGAGAATATCCTCTCACACCAGTCTTATTCAGTATTGTACTAGAAGTTTGAGATGTTGAAATAAGGCAAAAAATAAATAA